>NC_000005.10:155761324-156064354 GCF_000001405.40 Homo sapiens
GCATCACCCTCTCCATCACCCTATTCATCATCCTCTCCATCATCCTCATCATCACTCTCTCCATCATCATCTCCATCACCCTCTCCATCATCCTCTCTATCACCCTCTCCATCATCCTCACCATCACCCTCTCCATCATCCTCACCATCACCCTCTCCATCACCTTCTCCATCATCCTCTCCATCACCCTCTCCATCATCATCTGTCACCATCTCCATCATCCTCACCATCACCCTCTCCATCAACTTCTCCGTCATCCTCTCCATCATCTCCATCACCCTCTCCATCATCCTCATCATCACTCTCTCCATCATCATCTCCATCATCCTCATCATCACTCTCTCCATCATCATCTCCATCATCCTCTCCATCACCCTCTCCATCATCTCTCCATCATCTTCACCATTGCCCTTTCCATCACCTTCATCATCCTCACCATCACCCTCTCCATCATCATCTCCATCACCATCTCCATCATCCTCACCATCAACCTTTCCATCACCTTCTCCATCATCCTCTCCATCATCATCTTCATTATCATCTCCATCATCCTCCCTATTGTCCTTACCGTTATTGTCATGTCTGCCAATTTTTGAGCCCTGACTATATGCCAAAAAATGTGCTAAGTACATTTCCTAACTATTTCATGCTATTCTGTAAGGTAAGTATTGTTATCTCTTCTTTACAAATATACACTTGAATCTCAAGAAAGTAAAATTATTTTTAAAAAGTCCCAATTGCCACTAAGTGGCTGCATTGGAATAAGATGCTGCTTCTGTTTGACTCTGAAGCCCATGCTAAGTGTGATTATACAATTATACAATTTGTTCTTTTTCTGACTACCCCCACCCACCCTTTCCCAGGCTTGTTGAGGAGGGATAAAACAAATACAAGGCCTGACAGATGTGAATGAATGCTGGCCAGCTTGAGCATGTTCAGACAAATCACAATTGGAATTTAGGTTATCTATCTGAAAAAAAGACAGCTGAATGAAATTATGGTTAATGCATCTTATAGTCAAAACTTCTATGATTTTCTGACCTCTCTGCTAACCACCTTGGAAAACAGCAATAACATCTTTGACTTTTCCTTAAATTTCTCCCTGATAATAACTATGACATCTTTCTTGCTTTATAGTTTGCAATGTACCTTTGTATGTTTTAATAACCATAGTAATAGCAATAGCTGTCACCTATTTGGCACTCATTTAATCTTCATGGCAGCTCTAAAGGTTTGTTCTTAACCACAAGCTTGTGAGGGGCCTAGTACATGTATTAATGCTGCTACATATAATGTAAGTGATTCATCCAGGATCACCCAGGTACAAGGTCACCCAGCAGCTGGACCAGCTGGGACTCTGACCTAGTTTTTTCAATCTAGAACTCACAATATTTCCATTAAACATGGTTGCCCCTCCAGTAGTGTCCTATTTCACTTTACTGAAACTTACCTGTGTATCATAATACAATTCACTGTAGTATGGCAATTCCTCTAATACTTAGTTCCTTATTTCTTGTGTTTCTAACCTAACAATAGAAACATGTATTAGGAATCAGGAGTACCCTGGGTAGGTTAAGTCAGCCAGCATATAGTCAGGAACACATCAAAAGGGAATGGACATTACTTATATGGGGTGTCTTCTTTCCCCACTCCTGAATTGACATTCTGGTCTTGGATCACTGCTACTGAAAAGACAATATGCTGAGAGCAGAAATCTTTGAATGGTGCTTCACTTTTATTCCAGAGTAGTACAGTTGTTTCTTTTGTTTTAATTTAATTCTTCAATTGAACTCTCTTGTTATTGGGATTAAAACCATTGTAACTTGCCCCAGTTTTTGATCATTTTGCTCTTTGAAGACATGATAGTACTGAATTTTCTAATTTCAGGGATGAAGGAATTATAATGAAATCTGATGTGTTAGAAAAGTGAATCTTAACCAGAGAGGCTGACCTCTTAGAGGGCATATTATCTGAATTTTGGAGACAGAAGGTGAGAGGGCAGAGGGAGTACCAATTGAAGAATAAAACATATTCAGTATTCTAAAATAATATTATAACAGTAATGGAAAGTAATGAATATTATTCTGTTAACTAAGTTGTGGAAAGTCAAGCTTTATAAAAATCTCCTTTACTAGTAGGGCATAAGAGTTAAATGCTCCCAACAAGATGGGCATTCCTCTCTCAGGGTCAGAGTTTGAGAATGTCTGATGGGATGGGCCACGTTCAAGAGAAAAATATAGGCGTGTTCTCAGACACATCATTTGTAATAGACAATAGAAAAAACTAAAGCGACATCAAAGAGAGTGTGGCTGCATAAAGTATTATATCATAGAATGGGATATTATTGAGCCATTGATGTGAATGAACATATGTGTTGATATTGGAATTTCTCCAATATACATTTTAAGTTGAAACAACAACAATGTGAAGAACACAATGAATAGTATGAATCTTTTGGTATAAAAAGCAATGACCCCCCACCAAAACCCTATAAAAACTGTAAACATCTCTCATTCTTTCCCCCCTTCAATTATATACCTCTCTCTCTCTCTCTCTCTCTTTCTCCTGTGCTATACATGTAGACAGACTTTTTTCTTCTTTTGGAAGGACAAACAAGAATTCTTCTAGTAGAATTATTTGGAAAGAGAGACTGCAGGGAGAGAAACTTAAACTTTCATTTTGTACCTTTTTGCTTTTTGAAAATTGTCAAACTAATTATCCCCTTCTTTGTTCAACAAATACTTAAAAGGCTACTGTGTCCCAGTCAGTATAATAATCTCTATAAGATTGGCCAGATCCCAACTCTTAGAAAGTTAAATCTAGTGAGGAAACAAACAGTAATAAGAAAATATGCAAAAGATAATTCCAGAAATATCCAAGAGCTAATACAAATTTAAAGGTTATTAGATAATGGTTAATAGGGAGAGGCCACTTTAAATAGCATAGTAGTTAGCCAGTACTCCTTAAATGCTACATAAACAACATCACCACCAACAAAAAACGTCCCCAAACATAGTGCCTTTTGACAAGCATTTATTATCAGGCTGAATTCTGCAGGTCAACTGTGGCTCAGATAATTGAGGTTGGGCTTGGCTGGCCAGAACTGTTTTGAGCTGTGGGTCATCTGTGCTCGTAGGTTGCAGGCTGAACTCAGATCTGCTCTGCATTTGTTCATTCTGGAGGCTGAAAGGTCAGCAGCTGTTCAGGAGGCACTTTTCATGGCAGATCAAAAGAAATCACAGAGTACAAAGGTGCCAAGCCAAACTGCTGGAGCCCATTGAAAACCTTTGCTGGCATCATGTCTGCTGATGTCCCAGTGGCCAGAGGGGGTCACAAGACCAACCTCCGCATCTGTAGGGTGGGGAATTATACTCCATTCATGGGGACAGTACATGGAAGTGAGTGTTTTCTGTAAAAAATTGACACCATCAGTCAAGGCCTCTCTGATAGTTGAGTTGGGAAATGAACAACAGCAAGACAGCCATGCTAAGACCATGATAAGATCTGGGGGGAGGCAGAGGAAATCATTCTGGGCAGCAAAAACAATAAATACCTAGAATTACTATCTACATTCTCAACTTCAACTGATTGACTCGATTGGAAGCCATCTTTTCTTTAAAGTTTTCTATAAAAATAAACTCTAATAAATGTTGTTTCAAAAGAGAGTAGCATGGGTTAAACATGTCTAAGATGCGTGTAATCTCAGTGCTTTGGGAGGTTGAGGTGGGAAGATCACTTGAGGCCAGTAGCTCAAGACCAGCCTGGGGAACATAGTGAACCCCCATCTCTACAAAAAAATTTAAAGATTAGCAAGCATGGTGGCATGCACCTGTTAGTCCAAGTTACTTGGGGGGCTGAGGTGGGAGGATCACTTGAGCCCAGGATGTTGAGGCTCCAGTAAGCTGTGATTGTGCCAGTGTACTGCAGTCTGGGCAATAGGGCAAGACCCTGTCGAAAGAAAGAAAGAGAAAGAAAGAAAGAAAAAGGAAGGAAGGAAGAAGGAAGGAAGGGAAGGAAGGGAAAGAGAGAGGGAGGGAGGGAGGAAGGAAGGAAGGAAAAAGAGAAGGAGGGGAAGGAGGGGAAGGAAGTGAAGGAAGGGAAAGAGGGAGGAGGGAGGGTGGGAGGGAGGAAGGAAGGAAGGAAGGAAGGAATGAAGACTTATGAATCTGAAGCCATATAGGCAATCTAATATAATCTAATATAATCTTCTACAGAGAAGAGAAATTATGATCATTAAAGTAACAGGACACAAAATTGAACTTTTCTTCTGAGGCATCAGGATGCAACTGATGCTGCATTCCAAAGGAAGTGCTGGACCATATGCAGTATTTCAAAGTGAGTAACCAAAAATCAATTGGATAATCGTTAAACCTCCCACTCACATGGAGGAGTAATTAAAAAAACAAAAACAATAAAGAGATAGTTTTTTAAGGATTTTCTTGAAAATGCTGTGCTGGGATTCCCAGCTCCTCCCCACCACCATCAAATCCAGCAAGAAGTCTTTGGTGGTACCTCCTGGGAAGAAATTAAGCTGTGGTTGGCGAAGCTGAACTCACACCTGAGAACACTCAAGCAGCCTGTGAAGGAGACAGCTGTGCCTGGGCGTGACTGCATTTCCTCTTATGGGCTCAGAAGTGTATGAGTCCTAGAGCCAGATACAGAACTTGTATCTGCTGGCCTTGGGTCATTTTAAAGGGATCCTACCCATCAGGGTGAGGGGACTTGGACTGGAAGAGGCTGGGTTGTTCCTCTAGGGGTAGAAGATGTGAAAGGTAGAAACCAAGGGGAACTGCAATGGAGGCACCTAGAAGGGAGAAGCCATAACTGTTATCATGAGAGATAGAGGGTGCATTAAAAACCTGCTAGTCTCAGGGAACAGGAAGCCATCAAAGGATAGTCCAATCCACATACATTCATCCCTCTTACTCTCCATGCTTTCCCATGTACACTTGAACAGCT
Source organism: Homo sapiens (assembly GCF_000001405.40). Taxonomy (NCBI): domain Eukaryota; kingdom Metazoa; phylum Chordata; class Mammalia; order Primates; family Hominidae; genus Homo; species Homo sapiens. The sequence goes on from NC_000005.10 coordinate 155,766,284, forward strand.
CACACAGCGGCTACCTAAAGAAGAAGGGAGTAAGCAAAGAAGAAAGCTGAAGCGCACCACATCCCTTCTTCAATGGCAGCTGTCTATAGCTGGCTGTAGCTGGGGGTGTGTTGGAGAGGGAAGGGGCCCTGGCTTTGATAGAAGAATGGACTATGTGTTTACCTGCTAGACTAGCTATGGTAATTCCTCAATCAAATCCAATATTGAGTGAGAATGATGAAAAAGCTTCCTAAGAATGATTAGAAATGCCATTTGATTGCCTGCATTTTTATCTGGGGTACCCTTCTGCAAAATCACAAAGCAGATTTTAGGGGTAGAGCTAATAAAAAATAAATTCACTTTCATGATTATGTCCCTTTGAATCTTGTCCGACCTACACATTACATTAAGAATTACCAGAAGATGGCAATTGAAGCATTGTGTTAGGGATTTTATAGATATTATCTTACTCACTAGAACTCTATAAGGTAATTACAGTTGTCACCATTTTACAGATGAGCAAATTAAAACCAAGGGAGTCTGAGTGATTGTCCAGGGTCACAGAACAGTGCATGTCAAAGCTAGGATTCAAACCAACTCCATTTCACCTGACTCCAGAGTCGATGCTCTTAGTGGATCTGACTTCTTTCCCTCGAGTAGCCACTCCAGTGTGTGTAGAAAGTGACCAACCATGCTCTCCCAGGCTTCTTCTCCAATCCCCAGACCAAAGGGACCCCACTTCTACAGCCCATCCTTGAATGACTGGGTTGTGGTCTGTCCCTATCCAGGTTACTCTCCTGACCTTGGTTCTATTAGTCATGCATAGCCCCCTGAGCACATGTGAATGCTAAAAATGATCTTTCACCACATACATGTGTAACTTCGCAGATGCTTCAGTACCTAACTATCAGCAGCTCCATGGAAGTGGGTCAGGCTGCTGGTGCGCTTTCCATCGGCTCTCATCTCTTGCTGTGATTTTCACCAGGATGGCTGAGGAGGACCCTCCATGGGGCGGCCTGAGGAAGACATGTCAGTTGCCTGAACTTCCCCTTGGGGATCCATTCTGCTCATACAAATAGAGAAATCATTGCATCCGCTTCTCACCCAGTGAGGCCCATATTGGCAGTGGCACCTTGTTAAAATGAAGGACTGTCTTTTGTATTACAGATAATGTGAAACAAACTACATTTTCTGCTTACCGATAATATGCTTTGCTGAAGATAAGGTCCAGGGAGAGTTCTTGGTAGGTTTACCCTGATTCAAATCCTGTTTTTAAGGAACAGCAGTTTTGAAGATTGTTTTTATAAAGGGAAGGGACAGGAGGAGTTGTATTTTTTGTTTGGCAGGAAGTACAGTGGAGCAAGTGTGATTTTGAAAATGACTTGCTAACCACAGTGATATTACACATACCTGAAGGCTACTGACAGAGTATTAAGGCTGTCCTGGTACACTGCCTTCATGCATCATCTGTTGTTCTGATTACTAACTTCTGCTAGCTTGCTTCCTACTTTAAAGCAGTCTTACTAAGCCACGTGTGCTGTTTCCCAAACGTCACCCATTCAAATTCCATCTTCCCAATGGGTGCTGTTTCTCTGTACCCTTTGTGCTATTATTTGTTTAATATATTTATTTGACAGATTTTTACTTCTTCTAAGAAATAATGTCTGAAATCATGGGTGTGGTGCATCAGTCATATGTATTATATATAGAATTGTATAGAGAGAATTTTATACCTGTAAAATGAATATATATTGAAGAACATGGACCCCTGTACTTCTTAAAATCTTCCAGGGTTTTACCAGTGGTACTTTCAGTAGTACTGTTAGATGATTTTCAGTGAGTTCCATTTTTAGAGGAGAAAAATAGGTGAGGGGAAAGCTGGAGATGGGTGGAAGGAAATGAAATTTGTATTAGGAATTGTCTATGTTATTCTCCAGTATGTTTCTTACATTTTATGAGATGCAGTGAGAATTTGATATTGGTAGTTTTTGTTTTGTTTTGTTTTTGTTTTGTTGTTGTTGTTGTTTTAGTTTTTTTTTTCCTAAACTATTTTGAAATAGTTTTGTTGTGTGGCTTCTCATTTACCCACTCATTCCTGCATTCATCCATGCAACAAATGCCTGTTGAGCATCCACTCTGTATTAGACACTGAGATACAATAAAGGAAAAGGAGCTTCCTGTTTTTGAGGGGCTCAGAATCCTGACTGGGAAATGCGTAAATAAGTCAATTGTCATGCTCTGGTGGAAGAAGTGCTAAATTGAGGTGTGAACCAAAGGCTGTGAGAGCACCCAGGAGTTGGTGATTGACAATGTTCAGAAATGTTAGACTGTGTTAGTCATGGTGCTGGGGCTAAATCAGAAAAAACGAACCGGCTCCAGAACCCCTCCTTTTGAGTTCTGTCTTTATTTCACAGAAAATCACTTGTCTCCTAGAGGGCCAGGAGAGATGAATGTTGTGTCTTTCATCCAGAAGGCCCTATTTGACCTTGAAGTGAATCACCTCAAAAATTCCTCTTGTTTTACATGTTGTCCTTTTATAAAGAGAGGCTTATGCGGCTCAGTGAAAGGGTATGTCCTCGATGTCCTTTTCAGATCTCATGTTTCCTCCTGGATTGCTCTCTGGAAAGGTTTAGTTGTTTAATACTTTTGCCATGTGCTTAAAGAGACAACCAAATTGCTGCAACAAAGATATGTATTCAAGGATGTTCATTGCAGTATTGCTTATGATAACAACTGAAAATATCCTAAATAACCATCAATGGAAGATTGAGTAAATACATTACAGAAGATGCCATAAGATAATACCAAACTGTCCATTAAAAAGATGAGTAGGATTTGTATATATTGAGTAGGAGAATTATTCATAATATATACAGTAAAAAATGTAAAGAAGTGAATTAGAGAACCACATGTATAATATTACATTGTTTGTGTAAAAAAATTTGAGTTAATACACTCTATGCATACAAAGTATGCTAGAATGTATTCCAAACTGTGAGGAGGCTATTGTGGAGAAGGTGGTATGTGAAGTGATTGAAAGGAAATTTCACATTCTTATTTAAGCGTACACCTGTATTTCATGAATTTTAGATTATTTTTAGAAACAGCCAAAAAAAAAAGAAAGAAAAAAGAAAAAACCAAAAAACCGGAGGCATATTCAATTGTAGAAATGACCAAAAAAAAAAAAAAATTTGGAAGGGAGACTTGCATAGCAGAGGGAGAACATGCCAGAGGATACAAGTTCATGAGTCTGGTTCTTCCACTTTGCTCCCAAATGGTTGAATGGTAGCCAGGATGGAACCCATTGTCTTCCTACTCTAACTCAAAATCTTCTCTCTTCCCACATCCCCCAGTTTTTAACCTTGGCATAGTCCTGGAGGATTCTTCTTTTCCTTATTTACTTGCATTCTACATCCAACTAGCCTCAAAGTATCTTTCATGCATTGTCATTCTTTCCTTTTTCTTTGTTATTCTTTTGTAATATGTTGTTCTGGCCTATTGGCGTGGCCTTCTTCCAAGTATCCATCTATTATACATTTGTACTCACGGCACAGTAATCCTTCTAAAACACAGAGGTAGTCCTTTTTGTTAGCCCTCAAGAGTCTACCTGATGTCGCCTCACCAATTCTGTCCTTTCCTACGCCCTACACAAGATTTCTTTCACTCCTTAGGCCATGCTTTGTACCTTTTCTCTTTCATTTTTTTATTCATAGGACTTGCTTCTCCATTTTTTTTTCTACTATGCAAACTCTTAAGGTATATTACTTCATGTTATAGTTATGGTGATTGTACTACTCTCCTTTTCTCACGCATTCATTCATAGTGTGACTTCTGGGTACCTGGTATCGTGCTGGGTGCTGAAGATACAACAGACCACCACACCCCTGTCCCCTCCCCAGGCTTAGGCAAAGCCCAAGGAGGCAAGCAAATCATATTTTACAACTTGGGAGAAGCACTGGGGAGAGACCAAACATAATACCAGGAGAATAATAGCAATGATAGGGTGGGCACAAAAAGGAGGGTGTGGTTAGGAAAAGTCTGTTTGAGGAGTGACATTTAATTTGGACTTGAAGAGCATAAAGGAGCCAGCCATAGGATGTGGGGGGCAGGGGTGGGTGGGAAGAACATTCCAGGAAGATGGAATATCGCATAGAAGCAGATGTTCAAAGACCTTGGAGCAAGAAAATGCTTAGCTGTATAAAGGATCTGAAAGAGGAGTTTGGCTGGAGAAAGATGATTGAAAGGCACAGTGGCAGAAGATGTTAGAAAAGTAGTAGCCTTAAAAGTTAGGAATTAAAAGTCATGTTATAAATTTTGATTTTATTCTGAGGGCAGTGGCGTGCTGTTGGAGGGTTTGAAGCAGGGAGGTGAGATTATAAATCCAGCTTTATCCCTTTCTGCTTTCCCCCTAGCACCTGTCACAACATCCTGCATATAATTGTTTCTCAGTAAGTACTTGTTGCATTATTGAATGCTGTGGCTGTGATTGATTATAGAATTAGCCACATGTCAGCATGGTATGAATTTAGTCCTCTTTATCAGTTTTTATCCCGCAAGCTCGATAAGTTCATAAAAAGGTAACTTTCTTAGTAATCTCCTATTTTCAGTTCATTAATCACATACTGAATGATGGCTCTGGTTTTGCTTTAAAAAACAGACGTGATCTCTCTTAAGTATTCTGGATATTTGAACCTTCGTTTAAATCCCACTGAGAGGTTTTAATTTTTTTCTTTAACAAAAGAAGTTTGAATTTTTGACATCAAAAAAACCACAAAAGTGCTCCTGTCATCTGAACCAAAAGTATATGTATTTGTAGTGACTTAGAACATAAATGGTCCTTGGCAATTTGTAGATGAAGAAAATGAAGCCCAGAGAGTCTAAGTCCCTTGCGTGCAGTCATTCAGTTTGTTAATACTCGGATTTCCTGGGTTCCACCATGCCCTGCCATGTTGCAACTCTCATTTTGCTGGGGTATTTCTCTTTTCCTAGATTTTTCCTTTTTTTAACACAGTGCCTTGTTCTGTCACCTAGGCTGGAGTGCAGTGGTACCATCATAGCTCACTCCATGCTCAAACTCCTGGGCTTAAATGGTCCTCCTGCCTCAGCCTCCCAAGTAGCTAGCACTGTAGGTATGCACCATCATGCCTGGCTAATTTTTTAATTTTTAATTTTTTTTTTTTTTACAGAGTGTCACTGTGTTGCCCAGGCTAGAGGGCAGTGGCGTGATATCAGCTTACTGCAATCTCCACCTCCCAGGTTCAAGCGATTCTCCTGCTTCAGCCTAACTAGCTGGTATTACAGGCGTGCGTCAATGTGCCCGGCTAAATTTTTTTTTTATTTTTAGTAGAGATGGGGTTTCACCATGTTGGCCAGGCTGTTCTCGAACTCCTGACCTCATGATCCACCCGCCTTGGCCTCCCAAAGTACTGGGATTACAGGCTTAAGCCACTGCACCCGGCCTTAATTTTTTATACAGATGGGGTCTCCCTATGTTGCCCAGGGTGGTCTTGAACTCCTGGGCTCAAGTGATCCTCCAGTCTTAGCCTCCCAAAGCACTGGGATTATGGCCATGAGCCACCAAGCTCAGCCTCTGTTTCTAGATTCTTATCTAATGCACTATAATGTTGATAAGCAGACTGCCTAATAATTATTAGCATTATTCTCTTTCAATAAAAGCTGCTTATTCGATTTTTAAGAAGATATAATTGAGAAGTTTCTCCTGTTTATGTTTTGTGAACAAGTAATAATTACGAATCTCTTTATTACAAGTGACAGAAACCAAATTCAAAGTGGAGAATACTTGGTTTCCATAGTTAAGCTATGGGAAGTAGGGCTGGCAGTAGGTACTACAGGGTCACAGCACTTCAGAACTTGCCTCTTCCTGGGAAAAGGCAGCAGTTTCTGTTTGCACCAGTGGATAAATGGAAAGGGGGAGCAATTCACTCTCACATATAAGGAGGGCGCTGTTTCTCAGGGGAGGGATGCTGACACAAAGCAACAAATGTTGGCCCTACTTTAGAGAAAACAGTTATTTAGAATAGTAATCATAGTGGCAAATATTTGTGTAGCACTTTGATATATTCCAAGTGCTTTCATCTTCACAAAAATCTTCTGGGCTCTCAGGAGGGACAGTCTGGCTAGAGACAAGTGAATAAGGTAAAGAGCAGTAGCAGCCAGGTCAGAGGGACATAGGGATTGCCACTTCATCAGGCAGAGACAGGGATGGATGGAGCAGAGGTCTGTCCAGATCTAGAATCCCTGCTTTTGACCACGTAGTGTTTTATAGACCCCCTGTTATAATGACTCCTTTACTTTAGCTATGTATTGGATTTTTCCAAATGAATGTTACTTCGGAGTTAAGTCTTCCAGATACAATAGATAAACAAGTTAGGTAGCAAGGTTTTAAGTTATTAATGGTTTTCTGGGTGGCTGCATTTGTGTACTGATTTTGTAACTGGGTACCCCCATTTTTTTCTAAGAAAAGGGGAATGAGTTACTATTATTATTTTTTTTATTTTCCTTTCTGTTTTCCCCTTTTCCCCTGTCCCAACTTCCTACTAACCCCTATTGAAATGCAAATAGAACCTTTTACCTCTCTTTCACCAGACACTTCCGGTAGGGCAAGTTCATTTTACTACGTAAATCAAGTCAACAGTTGATTTATAAACCAAAGCATGCCCACTGTGGAACTCTTACCCACCAGGAGGTTACCTCTAGTACTACTACTTACGAAGTAAGTAAGCACTCTCTACGTTAGTAAGTATTACTATGCTGCTGTCTCCCATTTGGGGAGTTTTTGGCCTAGTCCTGCCCACAGGGTGCCAGTAGTCATCCACTTGACCACCCAGTAGATAAGGCACCGGAGCTAGTGTGTGGAACTCCCTACCCTTGCTCACCTCTCCTGCCTTTTAGAAGTGTCCACTTCTGCTGTAAAAGTGAAGTAGTACCCTTTAAGCAGGAAGCCTGTACTCCTTCCCTTAAGCTAGTTTTGGAATAAATCTCTTTCTTTATGCCATACCTTGCTCCTGTTAATTGGACTTTGTAAACAGCAAGTGAGTAACCTGCATTTTAGTTACAATTTGTTATTATTTTTTCTTCATAAAGACGGGGTCTCACTATATTGGCCAGGCTGGTTTTGAACTTCTGGCCTCAACCAGTCCTCCTGACTTGGCCTCCCAATGTGCTGGGTTTACAGGTGTAAGCCACCATGCTTGGCCTGCCCTGACTTCTTTAATAAACTTCTTTAAAAATACCTGTGATGTTCTAGGCCTGGTACTGAGTATGTAGGATTAAAAGTTGAACAGGGTATTGTCATTGCCCAGGAGAGACTACCAGGTATTTGGGAAGACGGATATGTGAACAGATGATTATAGCAATGGGGTAATTGCTAAGGAAACTCTATTCTAAGATGATGGGAGGACAGAAGGCAGGGAGTATGTCTAGGGGTAAGTCAAATAAAACTTCCTGAAAGAGACAACATTTGGATCAAGGGTTGAAGAGTATTTAAGGTTTAGTGCCTTTTCTAGGACTTTGGGTTGGTGGATGGAAGAAGAATGCTACAAGCAAGGGATGTAGTGTGTGCACAGGCCAGCCGAAGGTCATGATGATGTCACCGGAGCACAGGATGTGGGTGGAGACCTGAGGGTGGTGTGAAAATGTTGTGAGGGGGAGCATGAAACTGTCTCCTCACCCCAGAGTCCACTGTAAAATTATAACATACATGTTGATAGTTGAGTTCTAGAATGCTTGATAAAAGTTGGAATCAGATTTTTATAATTATGCCTCCCCTCTCAAGGACCCAACTTCTGTTTGGAGTCCATTTTGCCATTCAGTTAACATGTAAGAGAAGCGACTGAGGAAATTTTATTCGAATTCCACAATGCTGGATTTTAACTTGGCTCAAAATCTTGGGTCACTTCAGGATATTTTGGGTTTTGAGAGGCCAGCCTGCTAGCTTTATTTTAGGACTGTTGCTATAGAAAGCATTTTTCACAATTTTCAGCAATTTCTACCTGTGTATCAGTAAACCCTGAATTGGAGCTCTGCCGGGGTACTTTGGTAACATTCTTTCCCCTTAAAAATGGAAGCAGAAATCAAATACTAGGAGCCATTTTCCCTTTGTCCTTGTTGTGGTTTCCTACTGTTGCTGTAACAGATCAGTGCAAATTTAGTTACTTAAACAACACAATTTACTTTCTTCTTGTTCTGGAGGTCAGAAGTCCGAAATCCATTTCACTGTGCTGAAGTCAAAGTGTTGGCAGGGCTGGTTCCTTCTGGACACTCTGAAGGGAAAATCCATGTTCCTGGCTTTTTCAGTGTTGAGTGGCTGCCAGCATTCCATGGCTCATAGCCCCTTCCTCCATCTATAAGACACATCACTCCAATCTCTGCTTCTGGTACCACATCACCTTCTCCTTCACAGACTCCTCCTGCACCCCTGTGATAGGCACTCTTGGGATGATACCAGGCCCACCTGGATGATCCAGGATCATCTCCCCACCTCAAGGTCCTTAACTTGATCATATCTGCAAAGTCCCTTTTGTCACAGGAGGTAATGCAGGTCCAGGGATTAGGTCAAGGACATTTCTGGAGGCCACTATTCAGCTTTCCACAGACCCCTACCAGTTTATGCATCCATAAACTTGGGTGGCAGCAGCTCTGGTACCTTCTCAATCACATTGATGCTGCACACATTTCAGTAGTTGAAGTTTTGTGTACTTTTTGTCTAATTTGCATCTAAATGCTTTTGAATTTACCATACAGAACCATGCAAACAAGGAATTCAGTGATCTAAATTTAATATCATTGTTTGTTAGAGTTTCTTAAGACTTGCTTGACAGTGAGGGTAATATTTAGCATAAAGTTGCCTTAGCAAGTTTAAAGAAAGAAAACATTTATTTTTAAAGAGCTAGAGTGATTGATCTCCCATGATGTCCTGTGATGTCTTTATTGTATTTTCAGGACACCTTCTCTGCTTTATATTCCTGTTGTTTGTGTACATGATTTGTCTATTAGACTGTAAGCTTCTTGGGGATGGGGCCCTTTTCTGATTTATCAGTCTATTTCATAGAGCACATAACACACCTGAAATATGATTAGATGCTTTGCATGTATTAACTTTTTAAATGCTCACAAGAAACCCATGAGACAGAGACTCAGAGGATATATAATTTGCCCAAAATTAGACAACTAATAAGATACAGTGCTGATACTCAAACATACTCTGACTCCTGCGCCCATGCTTTTTCCAACTCTATTATGCTCCTTTTGACTACTGCACTCTTTGCTGAATGAATTATAATTATTGCTTTTTAGCTAGCACAGCACTTTTACATACCTCATTAGATGCCCATTAAAAAAAAGACAGGCAACTATCACTTGCTTCTTTATTTTAGAAATAAGCAAACAGGGTGAAAATGGTCAATATGTCCATTTATTCACTCATTCAGTCTCTGATTATGCAGGCATTCACTAAACTTCTATGAGGTGCCAAGCCTGGAGGATGCCTTGGGAAACAGTGGTAGACAGGGAGAGAAGTCTGTTCCCTCAGGGAGCTTATGATGCTACAGGGAACACAGCATTACCTGGGCCAATTCTGCTCCAAAGGAGAAGTAGAGTGTTTTGTAGAAACAGACAATAGGGGATTCAATCTGGGTCATCACAAATGCTTTGCTGTCCAGGGTATATTAATCAATGCACTTTTGGTTTCCAGTAACAGAAACTGTATTCAAAAAAGTGAAAACTTTTGGCTAGGTATTGACTTACATTGCTGAAAAAAGTTTCTGGATGTTAACTAGCTTCTGACTAGGTTCAGAAATTTATATGATGTTATTAGAACTCTATTGGATTTATTCTTCACAGATTATCCTACTTGATTACAAAGGTGGCAATTGGGCAGTGATATGCCTTTATTTTTCTTAATGATAGAGACCCAGGAATATAGGACGGCAATTCTTTCTTGATAACTCCAAAAAACATAGTTCCTTAGGGGGACTCAGTCTGGCCCTGTTTGGACCACATGTCCAAATATCACTATGGCCAAGGGTTCAGAGTACATTGGACAAGTCAGTTTGCCCCCTTTGAGCCTCATTTTCCTTATCTGCAGAATATGAATAACAGTTATCATCCTCTTCACAGCTTTACTGTGGGAAATAAATGAGACAATGTGTGTATGTATTGAACACAGAGACTGGCACAAAACAGACACTGGATAAATATGGTTATTTTCATAATTATCAAAGGTGGTATTATAAAATCCTTAGGATGGAAGAAACCACAGAGGTGAAGTCCATCTCCAGTCTTCCTTTAACCCTTACTAGCTGAGTACTACCAAAGCACTTTGATTGGCAAGACTGGGTCCTTTCCGCAACACCCCCCACCCCCGCCCCACCTCCAGCCCCCTCAGCTTCACTATGCAGGAAGCAGAGCCTTGTACTTGACTTTGGAAGAGGATAGTTTTCTGAAAAGCAAATTTTCTGATATTTTTCGGGCAAAATGTCTGCTCATCTTATGAGACAAAACTAACAGATATTCCTTATAGACTCACAGAGTTAGTATAGTCAGTTATACTATGGCATGAACCACATGTTTTAAAAAATCACCACATTATGCAAAGTCAGCCAATAAAAGCCAAGAGCTTATGGGACAAATGGGGTTATGGGCACCACAATCACACTTCATCAATGAAACATCAAAGGTAGCAACCTTATAAAAACACTACTATAACTTTATCCATGGGTACTTCAATAAATATGGCACCTTAGCTTGAGAAAGATCTGAAGTGTTGCTGTTGGAGATGGACAAGAAAAGGGTTCCTGCTTGTGAGTTGTTGGGAAATAGTGGAAGAAACATTATCAAACTTGATGATCTTTTGCAGCCTTAAATTCTGGAACATGGTTTTCTGCCTTTTAGAATAGGTCTTTCATGGCATACATTTATATTTGATACATACTTCATCAAAGTTGTAAATTTGGTCCAGTATATAACCACCTTTTTCAATTAATATGTATATTGTTGCTAGAAGTTCTTTTATAGCTTTATTCTCTGCACTTTAGCTTTACCAAACAATTGAAGGCTTTGGAAATTTGTAGTTTTTTTGTTTTTTTTTTTTTTTAGACAGGATCTAGCTCTGTTGTCCAGGCTGGAGTACAGTGGCACAGTTATTGTTCACTGCAACTTCTACCTCCTGGGCTCAAGCAGTCCTCCCACCTCAGCCTCCAGTGTAGCTGGGGTTATAGGCACATGCCACCACACCCTGGTAATTTTTGTATTTTTTTGCGGAGATGGGATGTCACCATGTTGCCCAGACTGGTCTCAAACTTAGGCTTAAGCGACCTATCCCACTGAGTCTGCTGAAGTGCTGGGATTACAGTTGGGAGCCACAGTGCCCGGCCATAGAAATGTTTGAAACCACCAAACCCACCACTGTTAGCAGTGAAAGGAGCCACTGACGCATGATTTGGCCATTTCTGGTTATGGTCTTCTTATATAGATGGTGTTTTCTTTCTGTGAAAGAGGTTGTTTCTGAGTTTTTTTTTGTGTTTGTTTGTTATTCAATCCATATGCTCAACAATGTTCCCATTTCTTCTGTATTTACAGGCCTTGCAGGTCCTTGCTGAATTCACAACACTGAAAGTTGTTCCAGCCACAGACATTTTCTTGAGTTTTCTAACATTGTCTCTCATGGTTTGTAATGTGGATTTCTTTATACCTATTGCTCTAGAGAGACATATATTCTTTTGTTTCTTTTAAAATGCTCATTTTGAGTTTCTTCTCAAATCTTACAACTTTGCTTTTGCATGTACTTCTTGGCATTTTTTGAAACTGGATACTTAGACATGAAGGGGATGTCAAAAGGGCATTTTTTATGTAGACTAGTTCACAAATGTCAAAGAATAGCAAAACACAGCATTCTAGGATAATGCACATGGTAAACTGGTTGCTGGTAGATATTTGAAGTGTATGTTTTGTGTCTTGCATGGCTTAGTTCAGCTGAGTGGAGTTTTCTGTGTTCCTCCAGCATAGTAGTTTTTGGTGGAAAAAAATGAGTTCATGCATATGCAATATTCTCTATTACACTTAAATTGTTTCCTAATATATCGACTGCATTACCACAAATTTTCCTTTTCAAAAGACGAAATCCAGAAAAATTGTCTGTAATTGGAAGAGAAGAGAATAAAACCCAGAATTTCTAACTTAGCCACTTTTGTCCCCCCATACAGCAGTGCTAAAAGGGCTACCAGTTGTGTGAACATTCAGTATTTAAAATATAAATAAACGTATTGTTAACACGGAAATGCCAGAGCCTACGCATCTAATTTTATTACCTCAGGAGGTTATAAGGCTACACGTTTATTTTTAAGCTATTGCTTAAAATGCATTTGGAACAGTTTTGGTTTAGCCTTCATCTCCAGACCCATTTCAAGGTATATTCTAAAATTGCTTTTACTATTTTATTATCAGGTCTCTAACAAGTCTTCCTACTTAATTATTACTTTTTTCTCCGACTCTATCTGATTCTGAAACATATTACTAAAAGAGCTAGAGTTTGTGAGCATATTTTATAAACCTTAAAGAATTATACTAACAGAAGTTGCTACTTTATGTCTTTGGCAATAGTCACTCAAAAATGAATTACTTCTTCAGATACAAGCTTTTCCACCATTAAGAATTTCTGAAATAAAGGGCCAGGGCCTTTGAAGCCAATTCTAAAAGAAGATCTCTCAAAATAAATTGAATTTTGTTGGGAAAATTGTATTGCCATCTCTGTTGGAATAAGACTCTGTGATCTCTACTGGAATGTATGTTTACTCTCATATTTTACATTCTGCATATATATTTTATTCATGCCTGATAAAACCAAATTGTCAAAACTTGAGCACTGGTTCCATATTTTAATTTTTAAAAATATTTATCCACGTGCAGACTCCACTTTGGGAGGCTGAAGCAGGTGAATCACTTAAGTTGAGGAGTCCAAGACCAGCCTGAGCAACATGGCAAAACTCCATCTTACAAAAAGTACAAAAATTAGCCATGTGTGATGGTGCATTCCTGTGCTCCCATCTGCTTGGAAGGCTGAGGTGGGAGAATTGCTAGAGCCTGAGAGGCTGAGGCTGCAGTGAACTGTGATCCTGCCATTGCACTCTAGTCTGGGTGATGGAGCGATACGCTGTCCAAAAAAAACAAAAAAAATGATTTTATTCAGAACTTTTTGAAATCTATTTTGTTGTTGTAAACCTAGTATGTTGTTTCCACACTGTGCTCTGTAATAAGTATCTTATATTGTACTTATTTGTTTTCTCACTATTTTCATCTTACCTTAAAAAATGTTGTCTGTGTTGACCATCCTGCACATGTTCCCTTATAAACCTCTTGAGAATCTATGTGAGAAACTTTGTGGACCAGATAATGAAATGTTAGCCTCCTGGGCCATAGCACATATTTATATCTAATATGTCTGAAAATGGCCAGACTGACCTTCAGAATAGCTGTTCAAATTGACAGTCCCCTCAGTAATTCTTGCCCTCCTGCATCCTTGCCAACACTTGGTATGATGTGATTTTTCATATTTGCTTTTGTAGTGGGTATGAAGGGATATCATATTTTAATTTTTTAAATTTGTATTTTTTTATTAAGAGGAAATCTGAGTACTTTCTCATATCTACTGGACACTCAGGTTTCCTCTTTTATGATTTTCCCATCTATATAAACTTTGGGGCAATTTTTAACAATTTTAAAAGGACACACATTAATTCACTGAAAAAAATGTTATTCTTAGACTTGCAGGAATTAAGACACTAGAATAAACCTAGAAAATCTCTTAGTAGATTTGGATGATACGTCCATTTTTTTTTCTAAATGCACAGGAACAGTGTAAACAAATTCTGGATTATCTGTTTCTCCATCTGATTATAGCATGGAAGATTAGCTCATTGCATGACACCAAGTTCTTTCCCCTAAACAGCTTGACATGGCCACTTTTTAAAAAGACACTGGGGAAGCTTTGTGGTCTTTAGAGCCATATTGTGTTGTCTACATATCTGAGTAAATTGTATGTGCTCCAACAGGATTTGATTTCAAATAGTTAGAAAATACTGTCTTTGTGGAGCCAATTAAAGTAGTGACATAGATGGTGTATTCTTTTTCTTTCTCTGTAGCGGAACTCCTGTCAGAGTTCCTGTATCTTAATTGGCTCTATTTGAAAGGAAAATTCGAAATCCCCTGCTGCAGTATAAATGTACTTATTTATCCCTGAATTTCCATCTGGTGCCTTCACGACTGCTGAGAATTACTTGTCTTGCTGCTCTTTGGAAATGAGATGCAGTGGCATTTGAATTGATGAGAGCACCAGCACCTCAGATGAGGTGGCATTCCATAATGATGGCAGGTGGAATGCAGTTTCATTAGGTGCAAAGGTGAAAGCATGATTTCCAGAAATACACAGTTGAATATGAATGATTTAGTCAATTAAAATTGATTTCTAGCAGTGATTCTCAAACTTTTTGTATTCGTAATACACTTTGGAATAAAGAAAATTTTTTGACCTCTCATTTGATGGGAATAAAAGACCCCAAAGGACTCTGAGAAATATAACACTCTATGATATAGCGAGTCTGACATTATCAAAATGTCTCTCACACTTTGTACAAGCACTTGTAATTATCACACCACTGACTTGGTCATTCTTCAGCACAGTGCTACAGTTTGAGTATTAAGGTTCACCATGCTGTCTTATTTTTCCCCTGTTTGTGTGTTTAAGCTTGTATTATGTGTTCAGTTTCTTTCAGAAGTCAAGTGAGACTTTCAATTTTATTTAAATGATGGAATTTTAGGCTTAGAAATCACTATAGACATCATCTGGCCTGATCTTTGTAGAGAAGTCAGGTTTCCTAAAAGTCAAGAAGCAGTTTTAATCAGTTTCTTAGGTTTTAGGAAATTATCAAAAAGGAAATATCCCCTTGCTATGTTTTTGTTGAAGATTTTTTTGGTAAATAAGACATGGAGTCATATGGGTCTCCCGACTTCAGGTCCTTTGGGGATTCCCATCACACCTCACAAACCCTTGCACGGAAGGACACAGGGATTCCTATCACACCTCGCAAACCCTCACAGGGAAGGACATGGGAAGACGGAAATCTTTGGTATGATTCTTAGTCTATGTCTTGATATTTTACAAACCACATTTTAACCAAATAGGTATTTTCAATTACTCTTTTTTGAAACAAGGTCTTACTCTGTCACTGTGGCTGGTGTGCAGTGGCATGATCATGGCCCAATGCACCCTTGACCTCCTGAGTACCAGCGATCCTGCCACCTCAGCCTCCTGAGTAGCTGGGACTGTAGGCATGCACTACTATGCCTGGCTAATTTTTTTGTTTTTTGTATTTTTTGTAGAGACGGGGTTTTGCTATGTTGCCCAGGCTGGCCCTAAACTCCCAGACTCAAGTGATCAGCCCACCTCGGCCTCCCAAAGTGCTAGGATTATAGGCATGAGCCACTGTGCCTGGCCCATTTTCAATTATTCTTAATCTTTGTATTCTTCAAACTACTTGATCATTAAGGTCAGTCCAGGACATCATCCTAGGAAAAGAAAGACTAGGAGAGAGTATAGTTAGTGGCCACCCTTTCATCCCATGAAATGCAGAGATTCCTTATGGTTTGTCTTGAAACAGGGGTCTTATGGAGGGAAGGGCAGAGTGGATGGAGTAACTACAGGTTTTCCACATTCATTTCAATCACAGCCATACTTTTTCATTTTTCTTTTCTTTTTTTTTTTTTTTTTGAGACAAAATCTTGCTCTGTTTCCCAGGCGGAGTGCAGCAGCACGATCTCAGCTCACCGCAACCTCTGCCTCCTGGGTTCAAGTGATTCTCCTGCTTCAGCCTCCTGAGTAGCTGGGATTAGAGGCACCCACCACCATGCCTAGCTAATTTTTGTATTTTCAGTAGAGACAGCGTTTTGTCATGTTAGCCAGGCTGGTCTCGAACTCCTGACCTCAGGTGATCTGCCCGCCTTGACTTCTCAAAGTGCTGGGATTACAGGCATAAGCCACCACACCCGGCCTCATTTTTATTTTTCTTAATATACATTTGGCTTTCATGAAAGATTCCATTTTAAAAAGAATTTGGCTGCTACAAAAAATTTGAAACAAAACAAAACAAAACAAAAAAAACACTTCTAAACCTAAATCACTCCTAAACCTCCTTTAGAAAGAAGTTGAAGAAATACAGACTAGTTCATTATTAGTAGTAATTTCAGTAACTGTCTCAGGGGGGTGACAGCAAACCTTTTATATGGTAAGAGTTCTTATACTGAAAAGGAGTTTTTTCCCTAAATGTTCTAAGGCAGGGGGTCTCTAAAACCCAGACTGTAGAATGGCCTGTTATGAGCCGGGCTGCACAGCAAGACGTGAGCAGGGGGCAAATGAGCATCACTGCCTGAGCTCTGCCTCTTGTCAGATCAGCGGTGGCATTAGATTCTTACAGGAGCATGAACCCTATTGTGAACTGCGCATGTGAGGGACCTAGGTTGTGTGCTCCTTATGAGAATCTAATGCCTGATGATCTGAGGTGGAACAGTTCATCACCAAACCATCCCCCTCTTTACCCTGGTCAGTGGAAAAATTGTCTTCCATGAAACCAGTCCCTGGTGCTAAAAAGGTTGGGGACTGCTGTTGTAAGAGATTGGGAAAAAAAATGATGCATAAGGAGATAGGTTTCAGCTCCACTCAAATAAGAATTGCCTAAAATCAGAGGATTCATCTGGAACTAGAATGACTCGGTGGAGGGGAGAGGGAGAGCTTGTTACCTGTCTGAACTTCACTTCTGCCATGTGAAAATTGGGAAATAAGTATCTATTTTTCTGAAGCAACTTGAAGATTAAATGACACAATAAATGTAAATCATGCATGTATGTGCTATATGTACAGAAGAGAATTCTATAATTGTGAGTGCCTTTGGCGGGAAATTTAGTGTTCCACTTCATACACTATTAAAGCTTGGGAGAGCTTTACAAAGAAGGACGAATGACAGAAATATCAACAGAATTTAAAGGACTTTTTAAAGTTGCAAGTGATACAGACCTAAAATATAAATAAGTTGGTGGTTTACTTGAATTCATGGATGACTCATGATTAAGTGGAACTTGCATCATACTAAAATTCTGGGCTTCTGTGACCTGTGGGGCTTCTCTTGATAACAGATAATCTAGCTGGCAATGACTGATTTGGCCTAGTACAGAATTCCCATATCCTTAAGAGTGAGGATCTAAAAAGGAATTTTTTTTTTTTTTACAAACTCTGAAAGCATAGTCACTGCAAGTATTCTGTATTTGTCATAGTGGGAATTAATGGAACATGATGAAATTAAACAACCTAGAATAAAAGAGATTAATTGTCCTCAATTAATAGTAAAACACTTGTTCACTTTGGAATTAATTTATGCTGAAAATAACATTGCAGCACTATCAGACATTTCCCTGTCTAGATCTCCAATTCCAGGAAAGTGGAAGCTCGCCTAAAGCATTCTCTTCCCTTTGTGGAAATGAGTATGTATTTTGAACACGATATGTGGTAGTAACAAAGCTACAGGAACAATCTACAGCTATATGTATGCAAGAGGAAACAAGAAAGGTTGAACATGGAGAGAAGGAGTGGGTTTAGCATGATTCGTTGGTCTTCCCTCCTCATGATGTCCACTGTATGGCTCCAGGCCATGCCATTACATAGCTTAGATCTTTAAGATATTTGCTGAGGGTAAATATGAGCCACTGTAGTCAGCAAACAGGCATTGGTCCCTGCTCAGAAAGGGCCTTCTAGTCCAATAAGAAGAAACAAATAAAGATGAGGCCATATGCCACGTAGGGACTGGGATCTGGGCTGGCAGAAGCCTGGGGTACTCTGAGAGCCTGGCACCCCTCTAGGCCTTGAGGGTTACAGTGTTTTCAGGAGGGACTCACATCTAATCTGTTACCACAGGAAGGAACAGGAGTTAGTCCAAGGAAGTGGTGGATTGGAAATAGACAGGGCATGTCTGAAGACCTGGGGCTAAAAACATAGGGGGCAGAATTAAAAACCATTGAGTGATGTTGAAGCATAGAGGATTTCAGGGCGAGCAGTAAGCCGTGAAGCTAGGAAGGTAAGCACAGTGAGCCGAAGGTGTCAGTAGTGCCATGCCGTTTTGGATTTGACTGAGGAGTCCCTGAGATATTTTAAGCAGGGGAGAGTTACAGTCTACATGGATTTTAGCAGGATCACTTGGGATGCAGCTGGGAGAGACCATTTAGAGGATGGTTGCAGTTAGGCTTGGTGAGGGGCATGATGTGGTAGTGTTTCCATGGGGCTGTGTTGGTTCTGGCTGTACAATTGGATGTAAGAGCTCCTTTTTTTTTTTTTTTTCCATGTGTTTGCATCCTCTTGCCTGAATCCTTGTTTCCAGTACCCACACAAAGAGTATATGTTAAAAGTGTTTCAAAAGTTGTGAATATATGCATAAATATCAGCTATAAATAAGGAAAAAAATGATGAAATTGGTCAGATTATACATACTAGTTTTAAGCTAGGTAGGTATCCCTCGTTCTTTCACCATTGTGAGTTTTTTAAAATATGACTTTATTTTTTTAATTTATGAGGATTCTCTTTTTTCTCATTAATATTCAAGATTTTAAAATTGCTGATGGGAATGTAAATGGACCCATCCACTTTGGAAGCCAATTTATTATGAATTTGTAGTGAGTTTGAAGTTGAATATATCCCATGACTCCTATATCCATCTCTGGGCACATACCCCAGAGAAATTCTTACACAGTCTGCATAAGAGATATGTGTAATAGCACGGTGTTCATAGCAAAACTCTTTGTGGTAATGAATGAATGATGCATAGAAAATATCTGACAGACCATAATAAGGAAATTCATAAATAAATCATGATTTATGCACACATTGAAATACTAAAGAAATCTTGAAATGAATGAGATCTATCAGTTTGTCTCTCTCCACGGACAAGTTTTATTTTTTAATTTTATTTATTTTTACATTTTTAACACACACATAATTATACATATATGGGCACAATGTAATATTTCAATACCTGTATACATTGTGTAATGATTAAATCAGGGTAATTAGCCTATCCATCACCTCAAACATTTATTGTTTCTTTGTGGTGGAAACATACAAAATCCTCTCTTCTAGCTGTGCAATATCTTATTGTTCACGATAGTCACCATGCCGTGTAATAGGACACCAGAACTTCTTTCTTTGTAATTGTAAACTTGTACCCACTGGCCATACTCTCCCTATCCTCTCCTTCCCCTTCCCTTTCCATGGACAAAGTTTTAAAAGCACAAATTCAAGCAATAAATTGAAGTCTCAAAAGAATATACTATAAAGGTAAATTTTAAAATATACAAACCAATATATTTTATTACATATGCACACATATGTGGTAAAAGTACAAACACATATGTGAAAATAACTCAGGCTGACTTTGTCACCAGTCTCTTTAAAAATACCCTGCTAGTACTTTAGTATATTTATATATAAAGAGCAAGGTAAGTTCTACCAGAAGATCAATAGAGCTATAAATGAAGACTTTTTCAGTATAAATAACCTGTGTGGTCCAGATATTATTACTATGACTGTAGCTAGTTTCCAGTTATTTACTGTTTACCATATACTTTTCCCATTTATGTGCTGGACTGGCCCTTAGGGATTTCACTAATGTTACGTTGGGGTATGTGAAAGCAATACTTGTCATTCATGACAACATCTGTTTGGAATATGTGATCATATTTTCTCTCTAACTGTGCTGCTTAGGAAATGTTCAATAAAGAAAAAAGTGTGAATAGTGTTGCTTTTTGGAACAAAATTCAGTGCTCCATTTGCAATAATATCTCCTTTTTGCCAGAGCTCATTCTGTTGCAAGTAACAGAAACTGAAGTCCCACAAGTTTAAGACAAAATAAGGATTTATTGGCTCATGGAACTCAAGTGATGTTGTGTTAGCCATGGCTAGAGCCAGATGCTTTTACATGCTTAGAATATCTGTCTCCCTGTTTGGCACCAGCCCCAGGCAGAAACAGTCCCAGGTTCACATATGCCCAGCTTAGCCACCTAAGCAGCCAGTGGCCATCTCTTCTGCAGAAACATCCTGGGCAGACTTGGAATTGGCTTACTTTGGGTCACAGCCCCATTCCTGAAACAGTCATGGTGGTGTAGAGATTAATCGGGGTATTTAACAAGCTTAAATTAAAAAAAAGTTTGGGACACAGATCAGGATGAACAAAGGAGGAACATTTTACTAAAGGGAAAGAGGTGCATGCTATCAGGAGTCAGGTTAAGGCAAAATATGGTGGCAATACAAAAAACTAGAGCTGTCAGGGACCACCATCGCTTCTCTTACTGTCATCTTCCTCCTCCACACACCTAAAGAGAGAACATAATAAACAGGTTATGTATGTTTTAAGCTTAAGCGTTCCTTAATTTTAATAAAGCATAATTGACTTCTAGAAATGAATGGCCTTTCCACGTTAATAGTCATCATCAGTAGCATTTGGCTGAATGAGAATTAGGGAGCTTCTCTAAGAGACATCCCAGAAATTGCCTTGTTCAATGATAGGCTTAAAGACAAAACCTGTGCTTGCCCACTTTGAGAACATTAGCGATTGGAGCTAGTTCATTAGCTGCCTTAATTTGTGCAGATACTGATGGAAGACAGGAGGACCCACCTTCATCAGAATGCCAGCAAAGTACCATCAGAGTGCAAGCGGGCTTTGCTATTAAAAGCCCGGTAATGGCTTGCATTGGTTTATGCAGATTTGCGTGGCTGGTTACTCTGTGCCCTGGACTTGGCAATGCCCAGATCACATTTAAATCAGGAGCTAAGTGTAATTAAGTACTACCCTCAGCACATCTCTTCTTTTAGGACATTTTACTCACCATGATTTAGAACATGACAATTGGGTGAGATTAAAGCAGCAAATTGTGCCTATAAAACAAACCCCTGAAAATGGCAAGGGACTATACAATTTTATAAAGGGAATACTGCACATGCCTCCAATCCGATAAAACTTTTGTGAGCTGGGAGATTAACTGTGAAATAAAAGTAAGCCAATACAGTATGTGCCACATCCAGACTATAAATCGCATATTATTGTTTAATATCACTTTTATGTTCCCTTTCCAAATGACTCCTTAGCATCATGAGGATGCCCCATGCAGCATACAATTAATTAGCTTTCAAGGGAATCAGCTCGAGGGACACTCGGCCACTCTGCGAATGGAAGGAATGTGGGCGAAGGTGTTTCAACAGGATAGTATTTGGTCTTTGGGGGAGTGTTGTGGTTCTTCCAGTTGCTACTTTAGTTTCCTTATTTTCTTGGCTCATGTTTATGTCCTGTCTGTTGTAACGGATGGAGCAGATTGCCAAGGCTCTTGAAAGCTATTTGCTTTTTGCTTAGAATCCCAGGGTTTTTATAGCTACATGGCACCGGAACACCCATCTACTGCAGCACTTCCTTTTAAAAATAAAGAAATGGAGGTTGTAAGCAGTAAGTGCCTTGCTTAGATTTGCACAGTAAGCTAGGGGCACACTGGATTCTCCAGGGATAATCATGCCCATTCCGTCTTTTGCCTAAAGCTTTTATAGATTTTTTTCTCATTAATATTGCAAAATTGTATAGGTATTTTGTCCTGATAATAATGACCAAAAAATCCTCTTTTAGAACATTTGGAAAATTTGAAAAATAATTCGAAGTAAATTTTAGAAAACTTGCCTACCTTCTCACCAACCAAAGATATCCGCTTTTAACGTCAGCCATTTTTCTAGACACATAAAAAATATATAGGTGTGACTCTTTACCCTGAAAAATAACGAGCATTCTATTTTTTCAATTAATACACTTATTGGGAAGATTTCTTCACATGCAACATTTTCTCAAAACATGGTTTTTAATAACCTTCTACTTCAAAATAATGTTTCTTAAATAGTTTAAGTATTCTATTGTTGTTTTACTGTTAGTTCCTTTTCCCCACAGATCAAGCTACTGAAGGATTTTAAACGTTAAAAATGTCTTGGAGAGACAGGAAGAATGACAGAATATTGATGGAATGTAAATCTTTTTAGTCTTTTATGTCCAGGGTAGTTTTATGTGAATAATTGAATCAAGTTTTATGTGATAATATCCAAATTTTTTGCACCAGATTAAGATTGTATAATATTATTTCTATATCAAGATACATCTATGTTAGGTAGAATTCTTATAATTTGAATTTTCTTTATTCTATGTGTATGCTAGGTTATAGAGATCAATCTGTATCACTTTAAGATACTATGTCCTTCACTAGGTCTTCTATAGCAACCATCCATTAATTCATTCATCTATTTTTTCATTTAAATGTGCAATTAAAGTATTGCCTTTTAAGCGTATGCCAAGTATTATGGTGTGTGGACAATGGAAATATAAATATGACATTGTCTTTGCTTTCAAGGGCCTTATACTTTATTTGCAGAGGCAGATAGGTGAACAGTTTACCCATCACTAGGCAGAACATCCTGTGAAATCACAGGAAGGCCAGATTTCACAGCCTGAAGATCAAGAACGATTTTAATGGGCAGAGAATGATAGTTCAGGCCAAGAGAACAGCAAAGACATAAAACGGTCAAAATACCTGGCATGGTCAAGGAATACTAGGGTGATTGGAGAAAGCATTTGGAAGGAGACAAAGAAACAAGATCATAGACTATAAAGGGAGATAAACTTTTTAAATTTGCCATGTAGATATATAAGGATACAAGTATTTTTTTACCTGTTTCTGTTACTGTTGATAATTCAGGTAGGCAAGTAGGGATTATCAAGATTGTAAAATTAGCTGGAGACCAGGGAGTTATGAGTTCTGGTCTCTTCATGTTACTTAATGATACACGGTCGTGTTGCTTAATGTTCTTTTCTCTTTTTTTGAATATAGGCTTTGTTTCTTAAGTGTGAAGTGGCAATAGCAAAATAAAATATCAGGCATGTTCACAATATTTAGATATTGTAATTAAAAAGTGTTATTAACTGTTTATTGAAATTTGCATTGAACTAATTTTGCAGCTTTAGGCTTTTCTCTCTCACATCCAGATAGCATAAAATTTAGACTAATACTTCAGTTAGCTGGATTAATGGAGACCCTCTGGAATTATTATTGAAAGAGAAACACAGCTTTATTACTTTCATATACATAATTTGAATTAAGCTAATAAAGAATTGCCTAATAGACACCCTGATGAACCTGCTTTAATGAATACATGAAAATAATTTGTAATTATAATAATTTTATGCAAATGAAAGCTGACAAGGTTTTCAAGTGCCTGAAGATAGTTTGTTTTCTGAAATAGGGTAAAAATGCCTCTTAAAGTTATACAAATAGTGATTCTTGCATTTACATAGTGATTTCTCAGTTTTCAAAACATAATACTTTAAAAAACACCTTCTTATTTGGTCCTTACAATGACCTCACAAAGTATGTTAGAAGTGTTTAGGACCATTTCATAGATAAGAATTCAGAGGTTGGTAGAAGTTAAATTATTTGCCACACGTCCCAAAGTTAGTAATTGACAAAACCAGGCCTGGAAGCTAGGTCCCTTATTTTTAATCCATTGTTCTGTATCCCAGTGTATACTATCAATTTTCTTAGTAGTTCTTCTTTTTCATGTTAGCTGGAGTATAGATGACCTTTAGTGCATGTGTTTTGTACTTTGCATGAATTCAGAGAGCAATAAGGATCAAGTTACCTTGATTATATTCTCTGAAAAAAAATGCATATGATGTTGACCTTATGTTTGCCTCAATAAATTGAAACAAACCCGTACAATTCAAATGCTGAAACAAAGCTTTACTCTCATGTTTTTAGAATTAAGAGGAAATTTTCTAGTTTTTTAAGATATTACCATAGGTCTTCTGTTGTTAATAAGATGGAAAAATTTAATTACATCAAGAAAACTGTAGATTTAGAAAAGTTAGAAAGTTACCCAAGACAGCATGTTTGTTAAGAATATACCCTAGAAAGAGACAAGTTTACATTCTTACTCTTCTTGACTGCTTTTATGAACAAATGTGGAAAACTTAAACTTCCAGAGAATCAGAATAATTTTTTGGTTCTTTGTTTAAATGCTAGCATGGAGACAATGACCAGATCTATAATTGCAAGTTTAAGTAATAAGGTATAAAAGCAAGCCCCTGAAATGATATGTTATTAAGAATTTTATAAATATGACATGTCTATATCAAAGTGATTTACCATATTTTAGTAAAAATATCAGTGACTCTCTTCTAAATATACAGATTTTAAAAAGAAACTCCAAACCCTAAAAGCATGAGCAATGTGGAACTTGACTGTATCATTTCTTCATTATATTATAGAATTGGTATAAAAGACCTCTTCCTTCAGGTCTATGCATCAAGATTTATTGCTGAAAATAACAGATATTCTTCATTGTTCCTCTGTGTCTTTTATATAAAAGCCTGTGACATACATACTCAGGGCAGCATTAATCTTAGGCTGCAAGACAATGATTTTATAGTACTCTAAGTAGTATTGTAAATTCCTTTGCACTGTGCAAACTTCTTTTCAGGTACTTAATATAAGAATTTCCTACCTATCTGTCTTTCATGACACCCTTTGAAAGAATTGATGGACTTTATTACATGCTACAATAAACAAAAATAGAATAAGGGTTCTGAATAGGATGGAATGACTTGTGGTAGAATAGTGTTTCTTTGGAAAACAAGTAGAAAATATGGATAATCATTTTTAAAATTCTGCTTAAATATGTCAAAGAGGCTTTGAAATCATGATGATTAGAATGGCTACAATTTCAGAGACAAGAAAACCAAGGAAAGTTGAGCTGATGATTCCCTACTTTTTTCCTGGGAATATTTGCTATTTCTGAATGTAGACAGCTGGGCAGAGGGCTACAGTTATGGGAAAGAAAAGCCTGCTGAACTTAAGGTGGTCTCATGGAACAGAGTCAGAATGGGAAGGAAGGTAACTTGAGGAACTTCAAAATACAGCCTGTCAGAAGCTAGAACCATTCCTCTCGAGAACTGAAACAAAACAAGGATGCTTACTCTCACCACGCTTATTCAACATAGTACTGGAAGTCCTAGCCTGAGCAGTCAGGCAAGAGAAAGAAATAAAAGGCATCCAAGTAGAAAAAGAAGTCAAACTATCTCTCTTTGCTGATGATATGGTTCTATACATAGAAAACCCTTAAGACTCTGCCAAAAGTCTCCTGGAACTGATACATGAATTCAGTAACATTTCAGGATACAAAATCAATGTACAAAAATCAGTAGCATTTCTATACACCAATAACATTCTAGCTGAGAGCCAAATCAAGAACACAGTCCCATTTACAATAGCAACAAAAAAATGAAATACCTAGGAATACATCTAACCAAGGAGATAAGAGATATCTACAAGGAGAACTACAAAACACTACTGAAGTAAATCACAGATGACACAAATAAATGGAAAAATATTCCATGCTCATGAATTGGAAGAGTCAGTATTAATAAAATGGCCATACTGCCCATAGCATTTTACAGATTCAATGCTATCCCTATGAAAATACCAACGTCATTTTTCACAGAATTAGAAAAAACTATTCTAAAATTCATATGGATGCAAAAAGAGCAAAAATAGCCAAAACAATCCTCAGCAATAAGAATAAGGTCAGAAATATCACATTACCCCACTGCAAATTATACTATAAGGCTATAATAACCAAAACAACATGATGCTGGTACAAAACCAGATCCATAAACCAATGAAACAGAGCTGAGAGCCCAGAAATAAAGCCACACATCTACAACTATCTGTTATTCAACAAAGTTGACAAAAGCAGTGGGGAAAGGACTTCCTATTCAATAAATGGTGCTGGGGTAACTGGCTGTCCATATGCAGAAGAATGAAACTAGACCCTTACCTTTCACCATATATAAAAATTAACTTAAGATGGATTAAAGATTTAAATGTAAGACCTCAATAAAAATCCTGGAAGAAAACCTAGGAAATACCTTTCTCAACATCAGCTTTGGCAAAGAATTTATGGCTAAGTCCCCAAAAGCAATGAAAACAAAACCAAAAATTGACAAGTGAGACCTAATTAAACTAAAGAGTTTCTACATAGCAAAAAAAAAAAAAAAAAAAGTCAACAGAATAAACAGGCTACATAATGGGAGAAACTATTCACCAAGTATGCATCCGATAACAGTCTAATATCCAGAATCTACAAGGAACTTAAACAAATGAGCAAGAAAAAAAAAATTATCCAACTAAAAAATGGACAAAGGACATGAGCAGACACTTCTCAAAAGAAGACATGCAAGGAGCCAACAAACATATGAAAAAATGCTCAACATCACTAGTCATCAGAGAAATGCAAATCAAAACCACAATGAGATACCATCTCACACCAGTCAAAATGGCTACTTTACGAAGTAAAAAAATAACAGGCTGATGAGGCTGTGGAGAAAAGGGAATGCTTATACATTGTTGGCGGGAATGCAAATTAGTTCAGCCATTGTGGAAAGCAGTTTGGAGATTTCTTAAAGAACTTAAAGCAGAACTACCATTTGACCTAACAATCCTATTACTGGGTATATACAAAAAGGAAAATAAATGGTTCTACCAAAAAGACACATGCACTTGTATGTTTATTGCAGAGCTGTTCACAATAGCAAAGTCATGGAATCAACCTAGGTGCCCATCAGTGGTGGAATGGGTAAAGAAAATGTGGTACACATACACCGTGGAATACTATGCAGCCATGAAAAAGAAATGAAATCATATCCTTGGAAACAACAGGAATGCAGCTGGAGGCCATTATCCTAAGGAAATTAATGCAGCAACAGAAAACAAAATACTGCATGTTCTCACTTATAAGTGGGAGCTAAATATTGAACATGCTTGGACATAAAAATGGAAACAATAGATGCTGGGGACTACTAGGGAGGCTGGGGCATAGACTGAAAAACTACCTGTTGGATACCATGCTCACTACCTGGATGACAAGACCATTCATACTCCAAACCTCAGCATTATGCAATATGCCCATGTAACAAACCTGCACATGTACCCCCGAAACCAAAATAATAATTACAAACAATCCAAAATAAAAAAAAGTTTTTAAGTATATGGACTAGATAGTAGATTATAATATCAAGCAATTATTTTTAGTTTTGGTAGTTGATAGTTATATTAATGGCATTCTGATTATATAATAAAATGTCAGTTTTTTTTTCTTTTTTTTTTTAAGAGATGGAGTCTTGCTCTGTTGACCAGGCTGGAGTGCAGTGGTGTGATCTCAGCTCACTGCAACCTCTACGTCCTGGGTTCAAGCAATTCTCCTACCTCAGCCTCCCTAGTAGCTGGGACTACAGGCATGCACCACCACGTCTGGCTAATTTTTGTATTTTGTATTTTTAGTAGAGACAGGGATTCACCATGTTAGCCAGGCTGGTCTCAAACTCCTGACCTCAGGCAATCCGCCTGTCTCAGCCTCTCAAAGTGCTGGAATTATGGGGATGAGCCACCGCGCTCATCCAAAATGTCAGTTTTTAGATAGAAAAACAAATAAAGCCTGTTTGCCTGTTTTCCCCTCAACATATTTGCTGAATTCTGAAGTTGAATAAGGTGGGAAGCAAAAATGAAAAAAAAAAAAAAAAAGAGAGAGAAAGAATAAAACTAAGCTAAAAGTCTAAATACCTGGGAGGGAGTGTTGAAGAAACAAAGATTAGTGTTGAAGACATGCTAGGATAATGAGCATGGTGAAGAGAGTAGATGTTCAGCTGAAAGCTGTACAGCACTACACTGTAGGGGGAGTACACCTTACGGAGGTGAACTGAGCATTACTACAAGTTCAGTCCAGCCTGAAAGCAGATCAGTCTCTGGTAATCACCTCGAATTATTTTTGCCTAGCAGAAAAAAAGGCAAATCTGACCAGAGGAAGATAACATATTCTGGAACGTCTATAATTTTTAATATAATATTTGATATTAAGTATTACTGACCAAAAAAAATCAAGATTAAAAAATCCTGTCAATAGAATATAATATATTCACAGGGGATCAAGAAAATGGCATCATATGACAGAGTTTTTGAAATGACTACGATTTGTGCATTCAAGAAAATGGAACTGTGTGAAAGTGGATAAAAACATGGATTTCTTCAGTTAAGTAAAATCTATAAAAGAATCAAATGAACATTGTAGAATTAAATAATATAACACATTAATTATTCCATAAATAAATTTAACATAAAATTGAATACAGCCGTAGATGGGAGCAATAAAAAACCAGTAGACAGCTTAGTAGAACCTATCCACCTGCAGCACAGAGAGGATATAAGAGAATCTCAAATGGAAAAAGATAAGAGATATGGAATATAAGGTAAGTGTCTAATGTACAGGTAATTGGAGTACTGGGAGAAAAAAGAATTTGTGGCAGAATCAATATTCAAAGGTCTAATGGCTATGAATGATTCAAATATGATAAAAAATATTTACTCAAATTCTAGAAGCTCTGTGAATCACAAGTAGAAAAAAATGGAAAGAAAATAAAACTTAGCACATCATAGTAAAACTGATGACAACCATAAGAAGAAAATCTTAAAAGCAGCCAGGAGGTGGAATGGGGGAAAGTAGCCAAGAAAAATATGACTTATTTTCAAAAGTGCTACAATAATACTGACAGCTGACATGCTAGCAGAACAATGGAAGTCAGAAGATAATGGAATTACCTCTTAAAAGTGAAGAAGTAAAATAACTGCCAGACTCTAACTTTTTACTGAGAGTGAAAATGGAGGTAAAATATAAACATTTTAGACAAAAACTGAAATAATGTATCACTGTCACCTGTGCTCAAATATACAGTGTAAGTTCTTCCTCAAGGAGAAGGAAGCACAGAGATGCAGGAATAAATAGAATGAGAAATACATGGCTGGATATAATTAAATATTGACTGTACAAAGCAATGATGATGTCTTATGCAGTTCAATAGATTAGGAGTTCATATAGATTAAAATCAATAATGCAAAGCAACACTAATGCAGATACATTCTTGGATGAGTATAAATCAAATTGATGGTAAATTTACCAATAGTGGTAAAACATAGTTGTATGTTTTACCACTAACAGAAAGTAGAAAAAGTAATGTTTTTGACTGTAATTATTAAAGAGTGCATATTTTTGAGTAACCACTAACAAACTAGTAAATTATTTTTTACTAATAACTTACTGGAGGAGAAAAAATAATAGAAAACATTTTATTAATCTAAAAGAGAATAAATATGAACAATTGAGTACAATAAAACATGAATGATAAAATGGTGTATATTAACAATAATAGTTCAATAATCTCATAGAAAATGTATCATTTCCAATTAAAGAATAATTAAAAGACTAAAATTGTCTCACTATTATAGATAATTGCAAGTATGTACTGCTTATGAGAGACCCACTTTAAATACACAGACACAAATTTTAAAGGAGAACAGTGAAAGTTGTCCTCTACACTGTAAGCAAAAGACAGCTGCTAGAGTTTTTTAACCCTAGAAAAGTAGATTCTAAAGCCAGATGCGTAAAGAGGAATAGTACATAATTATACAGAAGGTATCACAGCCTAAATTTGAATGCACTCAGTACCATTGTTTTAAAATATTTAAAGCAGTAAATGACAAAAGAAAACTAAAACAGACCAAAACATAATCGTAGTGAGTGACCTGAACACACCTTCTCTACAACCAATAGAACAGGCATCCCTAAATCAATAAGGATATTGAAGATCTGAACAGTAACTTGACCTGATTAACAGATACAGGGCACTGCATACAATCATGAGAGAAATTATATTTTTCCAAGTGTGTACAAATCATCACCCAACTGACCATATACTGGCTCTTAAACCAAGCCTTATCACATACCAAAAGGCTTCTAGTTTATTCAGATTATATAATCTGGTTACAAAGAATTGAGGTAGAATAAAAAAACAAAAGATAGGTAGAAAAAACCACAAATTGCTTGGAAATTATACCTCACACTCTAAATAATCTGTGTGTCAAAGAAGACATCACATTGGTAATGTAAAATCTTTTTATCTAAGTCTGATGAAAAGATGAGTTATCAAAACTTGTGGGATGCAGCTAAAGCAGTGAATAGATGATAAGTTATAGCCTTAAGTTCACATATAAGAAAAAAAAAACACTTAAAAATCAATGATTCGGCCGGGCGCGGTGGCTCATGTCTGTAATCCCAGCACTTTGGGAGGCCGAGGTGGGTGGATCACCTGAGGTCGGGAGTTTGAGACCAGCCTGACCAACATGGAGAAAGCCCGTCTCTATTAAAAATACAAAAAAATCAGCTGGGTGTGGTGGTGCATGCTTGTAGTCACAGCTGCTTGGGAGGCTGAGGCAGGGGAATCGCTTGAACCCAGGAGGTGGAGGTTGTGGTGAGCCGAGATTGTGCCATTGCACTCCAGCCTGGGCAACAAGAGTGAAACTCCATCTCAAAAAAAAAAAAAAAAAAAAAAAAAATCAATGATTCAAGCTTCCATCTCAAGAAACTAGAAAAAGATTAACAAACCACAAATTGTAGACAAAAGGAAATGATGAAAATACGAGGTAAAATTAATTGAAGAAAAAAGCAAATGTATAATAGAAAAAATCAACAGAACCAGAAGTTGTTTCTTTACAAAGATTAATAAATTTAATAGCAAAACTAATCAAGGAAGAAAACACCAATACTACGAATAAAAAGGGTTAACACTACACATTCTAAAGATACTAAAAATGTGTTTCATTAATCAATTTGAAAATGAAAACTGAAAAGTACAATTCCTTGAAAAACATAACCTACCAAAACTAGCAAAAGGAAAGCAGAAAGACAGAATCTGTTATTTAAAATCTTCCCATACAGAAAGTTCCAGGCCTACATAATTTCACCAATGATATTTTTCAAACATATAAGGTAGAAATAATGAATCTTCACAATCTAATTTTGATAAATGGCTAGTGGAATACTCTCTATCTTGTTTCGAATCATCAGCATAAGCTGCAAAAACTCTAAGAACTTTGCTAAGGCTGAGAACCTAGGTATTATCCTGAATTATAAAATAAAAGGAGTTCTAATGAAAACTATTTTATTATATGCATTTTAAGTATATAGCCATGGTATTCAAAACTGTTTTGTAGGAAAAAAGGCCAATAGAATTGCTATTGAATTTTAGTAAATTTTTATATAAGTGGACAGAAGTACAGAGTTGCATTTCAATTGAGTTCCACTACAGATCCTTGGATGATAAATGTATACAACTGGAAAGTATATTCATTTGGGATTCAGAAGACCCGAGTTCTAATTTTGGCTCAAACTACTGTGACTCTAGACAAAAAATCCCCAAGCTCTCAGAGCTTTTGTTTCCTCATCTGTGCAACTAGAGGGTTGGGCCAGAAAATCTTTAAAACCCGTGTTAAATAAGATGACATCTGTGTTTTCTTTCCATTCTACCTCCTTGAGAGAGGATAAACCACCTTTGCAAGTGGAAATATTTGAAGAGATTATTCCAGGTATTGAGTTGTCCCAATTAGCAACCCAAGAAAACTCAAAAAGCCATCATACCAGTGAGATTGTTGATCATTTCTTCTGTGCAATGATGCTGACATGACCTGGAGAAAAAGTGCTATTTCGCAAACTCTTCATTTGTTCAGTTGTTCCTCACCCACTGGGAAAACAGGTAGGCACCCAAAACACCACATTCTCTAGGTCACAATCTCAAGCTACCTCCTGTTTTCTTGAACCCCTCTCCACAGGTTCTAAGTCATTTTTTCCTGCCTATAAACCACACAGATTCCATACACTTCTTCCTTTTTACTTCTTGCCATAAGAATGTTACAATTATTGAATCTCTTCATTTTTGTTATGTTGATATCTCCAAGTAACTTGCTGCCAGACATAGGTTCTGGCTAATGTTCACCCAGTTCTACTGATTTAGCATACTTTGTTTTGAATGAAGTGACACCAAGTATTTTCAAATATATTATAGCCACGTGGTTATACATTTTTCTTTATGAAACTGCTGAACAGAAAGATTTGATAGATTAACTTCATGCTTTTTTAGCTTTAGTACAATAGATTTACCTTCTGATTAATACCATCCATCACACTATTTCTATAGAAGAATTTGCATGAATTTTAATGTCAGTCTTTTAAAACAGTAGTAATTGTATGGTATGTGTTGGAACTATTTTTACCAGATTACGCTAGGGGCTCTTCCATAATTAGAATACATATTACTAAATTGCCCTCCTTAGGCAAATTTTCTCTTCTAATGTTACATCTTAGCTGCACTTTTTAAATCAGTGATCTCATCCTTTGTTTGCGGGAGGTGATAGACATGGGAATGCCAAAAACAGCAGTGTCAAAGATGCTTTTGAAGGAGTACATTTAAAACAAAAGAAAAAAATTTTGGTAAAACAATCTGGCTGTGTCCTGTGTCTGCTGCCTGTGACCCTTGCTTGGTATTTCTAGGGAAAAACATACTGTTTCCCCATGGCTTCTAAACCATTACTATGATACATATGTTCGTTCCAGATGCGTATGAAGTGATTTGGAGAGGAAACCTGGGGAAGAACTTTATGCAAGTGTTTAAATATTAGTTTGTCTTGATTTCCAGGTAATTTCCTGAGTTGTTTTTAAAGATTGTCCCTTTTCCTGTTATAATTAAATCATTTCTTATATTCATTTGGTGAACAAGGCATCATTGCAGTTTATGCCTCATTATTGTCCAAGGGACAAAGCCTTCTCTCTTTGTCCAAATACTTGTTGGTATACTTTTTTTCTTACATATTAAATAAGTAACAAATGATTCACATATCTGTTAAATATGCATTTTTATACAAAGAGGATTAAAATTGAGATCTGAACAATTGTCTTGTTAATGAGGAAGCTCAATTTTATTTGTTTTATCCCAATAATAATCACTAATCCTTTTCCTGCTATTTTAGTAAAATAGAGGTTGCTACTGTTATATGGTAGCAAAATAGAGCCACAACCAAAATGCATTGTTTCCTTCTGTTATGTCCCACAAAGGACAATGACTTTATTTTTTTTTTTTTTTGAGATGGAGTCTTGCTCTGTCACCCAGGGTCGAGTGCAGTGTCATGATCTTGGCTCACTGCAACCTTCGTCTCCCTTGTTCAAGCAATCCTCCCACTTGATCCTCTTGAATAGCTAGGATTACAGGAGTGCCATCATGCCCAGCTAATTTTTTTTTTTATTTTTAGTAGAGATGGGGTTTCACAATGTTGGCCAGGCCGGTCTTGAACTCCTGACTTCAAGTGGTCTGCTCGCCTCGGCCTCCAAAGTGATGGGATTATGGGCGTGAGCCACTATGCCCAGCCAAAGAACAATGACTTTAGAACTACTTTTATTTCCTTTTTTTTTTTCTGCCTTCCATACCCACAATGTAACTTTTTTCAAATGCTTTTATCCTCTCCTTATTTCTACTTCCTATTCCCCTTTTTTTTTTTTTTTTTTTTTTTTTGGAGATGGAGTCTCACTCTCACCCAGGCTGGAGTGCACTGGTGTGATCTTGGTTCAATGCAATCTCTGCCACCAAGGTTCAAGCTATTCTCCTGCCTCAGCCTTCCAAGTAGCTAGGACTACAGGCATGCAACACCATGCCCAGCTAGTTTTTGTATTTTTAGTAGAGATGGGGTTTCACCATGTTGGCCAGGCTTGTCTCGAACTCCTGACCTCACGTGATACACCTGCCTTGGGCTCTCAAAGTGCTAAGATTACAGGCATGATCTACCACGCCCAGCCCTTATTCCCATTTGTTTTTCTGGGATAGTTTAATAGCATAAATCTCCTTTACAGTTGCCTGTTTTGCATCATAAGTTCTTCCTTTGCACTCATATTACCCATTCCCTGGGAGGCTTTGTGTTGTTTTGTTGCTCAATGCTGTATCCTCTTTTATTCATCTTCCATATTCTCCTAAAACACAGTGTGTGCATATTTGTTTCTGGTTTGGCGTATTTTTTCCAAGTGTTTCTTTCAAATTAGACAGGTGTATGATATACTCTCTCAGTTACTGCAGATCCTAGATTGTCTTTCTTTCATCCTGATTGGGGAATTATATCTTGGCTGGTAGAAGGTTTTTGAGCTACTGACCTTTTCTGTATTCGCTTGAAGGTGTTTTGGCTTTCAGTGTTGCAGATGAGAAGTCTGATATTTATGTGATTTTGGGTTTCTTTGAAGGTAAACTTGTTCTTTTGCCTGAATGCTTATAACATTTTTTTTTCATCTTAAAACTTCAGAGATTTTACCGGAATGTGGCTGGAGTTGTGTCTTTTTTCATCATTCCTGCCCAGAACTCCCAAGCCCTTTCAATTTTCAGCTGCAGATCTTTGCGCAGTTTGGGGAATTTTTGTTTTTGTTTTCCCTAGTATTGGCAATAATTCTTACTATTGTCTTTTCTCCATTTGTTCCCTTTTCTCCATTTACGTTATCTTGAGTCTGTCCTGTTAGTCTGTGTTTTCCTTTGTGATTTCCATATTTTTTTCTTTTTGTTTTGTGTTTTGAGATATTTCCTATGCTCGACCTCCCAGGCCACTAATTGTGTTCACCACAGTTAAATCATGCTTGTCTTTAATTCTTTTACTGATTTTCTTGGTTCAATCATTTAAGTTCCAGGATGTCTTTTGTACTTGAATCACCTTTATAATGAGTGCCTTTATTATTTTGTTTATCTGGTGTTCATCTCTCTTCCTGGAGTGGAGTCACACCTATGGAGGAAGATTGGAACTGATCCACCTCTCTGCCTTCTTGGCCTTCCAAGGAGGGTAGGCGTTTTTCTCTGTTGACTCACTAGGACTCAAGTTTGGTTGTTGGAATATCCTTAATTGTAGAAGTCCTGTATCTGGTTAAAAAAAACAAAGACATTTCTTGTCTTGTGAGTGTAAGACTTAGAGCAGGTTGTTAAACCTCTCCTACCACCCCTCTGCATCTGGTCTTCCACTCTCCAAGCCCTGAGAGTAGAGAAGACACAGCTCATTCATTTTACTCCCTCTTGGCTGTTTAGAGCTCAGGGAGACTCAGCATTCTCAAAAGGGTTAATGTTGAACTTCTCTTGTCCAACTTTGCTGGGTTTTATAGATCTGCAATTATCATACTTTATATAGGACTCTGAAGCTCTCCAGCCCTTGCGTAGAATTTGTTTCAAATTCTCTCCTCTGGGACTTCAATAGATTCTGAGTTCTACTGGAAAAGTGGTAGTAGCTGCTTTCCTTAGAGAGGCAGAAGACTGAGCTGGTGAAGGAGAACAAATGGTGTAGGTGGCCATGTTTTAGAAAACTTGCTCAGTTCCTTAGGAATAATAATAGTCATAGCTATAATTAATATCTAATAATTAATAGCTGTAAGTTACCACAGTCTGCCTGTCACAGATTCTGTTACATAGGTAATAACTTGGAATTGAGGAGAAAGAATTCTAGAGATTGATTCAAGTACTGACTCACATTAATCAACTGTGCACCACTGGACAGGTGGTTTAACCCTTTTGTTCCTGTTACTTGTCTGGAAGATCAGGATAATTGTAATCATAATTCCTTGTTGGAGTTTAGATACTGTAAGGGCATCTGTGTCACCCATAACCCTCTTCCTTTCCCCACCATCTTATCTTTTAGAATTGCTTTGCCAACTGGAATGGTCTATGTAGTCCTGCTTATACTACATGACCTTGTTTCCCCAGCTATAGCTGATAGGATCAAAAGTGGACGCCTGACCCAAGCTGGGTCAGATGAAGTGTTTTTCCCAGAAGAGGGAGTTTAGAGATCCTTGTCAGTCCCAGGAGACGACTTGAACTGAAGGCAGGCTAACATAGCTGCTAAGAAGACTGTTTGAAGCAGCCAGCCATCTCAGCCATATCCAAAAAGAAGACAGAGAACTCACTGGCACAGATATGAGACCACATAAATCCCAGATTAGAGAGAGCAACATAGTGAGAGACATTCCTTGGTTCCTGATGGTTTTTTGGTTCCTGGCTCCAGTCTTCCTCCATAGGCTTATTGAATTTTCTCTTTCTGGGATTCGTAAGCTTGCTTCTACATAGTAACGAATTCTACCTATATTCTATGTACTTAGTTTAGTTGGGGTGAGTTTCTGTTGCTTGAGATTGAAGGATTCCTAAGACACTTATCTTTATAGCTGGCAAAATGAATACACATAGAAAATGAGAATGAAAAAATGTCTTGGAAAATAAAGCAGAATCATACAGACACAGTTATTATTGCTTTGCTGGCAAAATCATATGCTTGCGTATCTATAATTTTGGTGTGTTCTGCATATGTTTTTAGCAGCTCCTACACTTTAAACCAAGGTTATTAGTCTTGTGTCTAAGTCATTTCATTCAGAAATTGAAACTATTTTTAGCAATGAATTGCATTGGATATTGGTCACATTTTGGAATTTAACTATTTTCTCTTTCTCCTGTATTTTTAGAGTTGGAGAAGAGATGGGAAAAAGGGCCAACATGCTGGCCCTTTGAAGTTCAGCTTCCATTTTCTACTTTGCATAGATATTTTTCATCTGAGGAATCAGTCTCCTTTGGGAGAATGGTGTCTTTTTCCATAAAGGAAAGCTGATCCATGGGGAAAACAAGTAGTTGCTGCTTTGACAGTTTCATCTAAACTTACATTCCTAGAAAGAAGACATGACAAAATATATGTTTTCTTAAAAGTTACTACTTTAAGGCCACACAAGCAATGGGAAAAAATCCAGATATAGTCCCTTTCTCTAGCTACTCTGTTCAAGCATTCTTTCAAGATGTAGATAGGAAAAACCATCATCTCCCAGTTTGTGTCTATCAGTCTGATCAAGAAAACATAAACCACCCTATGTATTTCAGCAGAGGGAATTTAATGATACAGATAATTCATTACATGGGCAATGGAAAAGCCGAAAGAGCAGCCAGCAGCGTGAGGCTACTAAGGGATTGGAGAAACAACATCAAAACCGAGATGCCGGAGTCATCAGACAGGAATGAGAATACGGGCAGGGCTACCCTGGCAGCAGTTGGGACCATGGAGAGAAGGCCTTTTGAGAATGAGTTAGATCATGAAGGAGGTGCTGCCTTTGCCAGAGAAGAGACACTACACCAGACAGAGTAAGAGGGGAAATAAATGCTCTGACTTCTCCTATACTCCAGAGCCTCTTGCTGGATAAGCCTACCTAGAAGGAGTGGGAAAAGGAGCCTGGGAGATGTAACTCTCTAAGACTCTAAGCAGAGAAGAGAGAGGGAAGCAGGTAGAGCTGAGAGCAAGCAGGCAAACTCTGTCATATAGTTTATCTAATTCTTGAAATTTCAGTTATTTGACTGTTTCTATTATACTCTCTCAAGGTCAAATCCAGGAGGCAGATTTTGGCTTGGGCAAAAGATTTTAGCAGGTGGTGATACTTCCTTTCTGGGGGACTTGGGAAATATCTGTATCTGAGGGCAAGTTTTCGTTCCTTCAGTGATGGAGCATAGGGTATGCTCTTGGGATCTGGAGGGTGAGACAAAGATGTTTAGTGTTCTGTAATGCATGGGGCAGCGCAGCACAATAAAGAACTGCTGTATTGAAATGCCAATAGTGACCCATTGAGAAACATGGTGATTTTATGTAATACAGTCATCTGAAATAGAAAGGATTATCTCAAAAACCAGCACCTCTATGGTCATTTAAGGATTTCCACCTGGACCATCTTTGGCGGAGATACTATGGAGAGGATTAGAAACTCAGGTAGTGAGAACAGAGGCAGGATTGGAGTTGGACGTGACCTCTGTGTTTTCTCACATCCTAAAGATTTTATAATAATCCTTTTGATAATTATGAAAATACCAGCATTTATTTGGGGCCTGTTCTGTACCAGTCTCTGTCTTCAAAGCATACACACATTATCTCATTTCCTGCAATAAAGCAGTGAAGAGGATAATAACTATTATCCACATTTTGCATTTTGCAGATAGGGAAACTGAGACTCAAAGGGGAAAACTGACTTGTCCACATTACCCTGTTAGAAAGTGATAGAGGAGGAACTTGAACCCAAATTATTTAACTCTTAACCTTAGACACTATGCTCTGAGACTTCCCTATTCCAGTTTTTATGTCCCCCCATTTCTGGGTTTTGAATCTTCACCTTTATATCTGTGTTATGCTGTATGATTGTATCCACTGTGTGCCTTTCTTGCTGTGGACGCTGGTGCTTAGGGCCCAGCTTCTCCAGGAAGTCATTCAGGATAGACTCAGGTTGTGCAACCATCACATGGCCTCAAAATGTTAACTTCCTAACTTGTGACCCTGCTGTTTCTCCTGATGCCCTCCAGTTTATTCAGTACCCAATCCGACCATACCTTCTTACTCATGACCAAGAGTTCTCTGCATGGATCAACCGTGAAAGAGGAATTTTCGGAAAGTATCTATCTTGGTTGTGCTTTTATTCCTCATACACATAGAGTAAGTGGAAGTTAGCACACCTAGGATCAAGATAACTTCATTCATTTACACAAATATTGATAAAACACCATCTATGTACCAGACATGTGTAGGTTGAACATAGGTGTTGCCTGTAATTCTCATGGGGTTTAGAGTCTAGATGCTGTGCTACCCAATAGAACTTTCTGCAGTGTCCAGCACAGTTGCCATTAGCCACATGTGGCTTTTGAGCTCTTGGAGTGTGGCTAATGCAATTGAAGGACTGAATTTTAAATTTTATTTAATTTTAATTAATTTAAGTTTAAATACCACACATGATTAGTAGCTACTGTATTAGAAAATATGGGTGTACATGGAAATTAGGAAATTATGATGAAAGATATAAATTTAACATTTACAGTGTCTGCAATGGGCTAATCAAGGGATAGAGGAGTAAGACTTGGCATATTGGAGTTCACAGTCTAGGGAGGATCCAAACACTTCTATAGATATCTGTTATAAGCATGGTTTGAAATAGAGTCTCAAGCAAATGTGATAGGTAGAAAGTGAGGTAGTGACTGGCAGTCTGGAAAATTAGGGATAGTTTTAAGGAAGAGGAGCCATTTCAGTTGGACCTTGAAAAGTGAAGGGATTGCCTAGGCAGAGAGGCAGCATTTCTGGTAGGAAAAGGTTTCTCAATCTGGGCACTATTTCAGGCTAGATAATATGTTAATAATAAATATTCTGGGATGGAATATTTCCTTTGGGGGTCTGTCCTATGCATTGGAGTATGTTTAGCAGCATCTCTGGCTGCTACACACCAGATGCCAGTAGCACTACTGCCTCCATTTGTGAAAACCAAAAATGTCTCCACTCATCGCGAAATAGTCTTTAGAGAACAAAATAGCCTCTGGTTGAGAACCTCTGTTGTAGAGGAAGTGTTGCACGAAAGCTACAGCTGTGACATATGGGACGATGGTGCCAGTGGAGAGGAGGCGGGTGAGTGTAGGTCCAGATATCAAAGAGCTTCAGGCATCTGGTGTGCAAATGATTCTGTAAGCAACAGAAACTGGTGGAGTCATTTACACTAGGACAACCACAGGACTGATGTTGTTTTGCAAGCAAACCTGAAGTAAGGTGTTCTCCAGCATGTTATGCCAGGTGGGAAACAAACCAAGCTGGGAAGCAGTTAGAAGCAGACCATATTGGGGCTGGCTTAACCACAGGCAGTAGCAGCTAAGATGGGGAGGAGGTCAGCATACCTAGCCAGTAGCATTTAAATGAATTAGGTCCTTCCACTGATGTCTTGAGTGTGTTCAAACTGACAAAGACATTCTTAGAATGATAGACTTTGAAGATTTCATATGATTTTTAAAACAAACACTATTCTGGACTTTACTATTTTCTTTTCTTTTTTGGGGGTGTGGGGACGGAGTCTCACTCTGTCACCCAGGTTGGAGTGCAGTGGCACGATATCAAATCACCGCCACCTCCGCCTCCTGGGTTCAAGCGATTCTCCTGCCTTAGCCTCCCAAGTAGCTGGGATTACAGGCACCCGCCACCATGCCTGGCTAATTTTTATATATTTAGTAGAGACAGGGTTTCACCATTTTGGCCAGGCTGGTCTTGAACTCCTGACCTCGTGATCCACCTGCCTTGACCTCCCAAAGTGCTGAGATTACAGGCATAAGCCATCGTGCCCAGCCGACTTCACTATTTTCAGTGGAAATGCAACTCCTCTTTAGAGTGATGTTATGTGTAGATTTGTTGAATTAACAATGTCAGAAAATATTCTTTTCCTACTTCATATTTAATGCTATCTTGGGACAGAGAAGGTAATAATATAATTTTAATCTTCATTTGTTATAGATTATCATGATGAAATTGAATACACCTATGTAACATACCTGTAGAGTAAGAAAAATGTTAGTTATTTCCATGAACAGTTTGAGTATTCAGGAGTAATCATTATAATTACTTGATATAAATACTTTGAATCAGAAAAGACAGCAATGAAATAATAGAAATCCTGTGTTTTTTAGGCCATTGTTTCTTTTAGATAATATTTTGTGGTTGCATTAATTTCACTTATAAGCGATCTGATTAATTTGTTAAAGTACTGTAAATCAGAACAGAAAACAGTAATCTCAGAAGAGTTTATAAGTTGAAGTTATTAATATTCAGAGTTAGGTTGACTTCTAGGGCATATACTATGTCAACACTGAGACAATAGCTGTGAATGAGCAATGGATGGATAAATAATAACACATGTGCATAATACATAAATGCATTTATTATATACACAAGTAAAAATTGCTTGCCTTCTTGCTTATTTTAAGTGTTAAAAAATCCTTTTAGATACCTACAAGGACATTTCTTTTTTACCAAGATTTATAGGTTGACTAAAATGGAGAGCAGCCTTCTCTGACTGAATCTGTATCACTTGCCTACTAGTTCTCGTGGTTTAGCTCTGAATTTTATTCTCTCTTGTGCATTTAAATCCTTGTGAAAGTGAACCAGGTACTGTCTGTAATAGCACACCATAAATTGTGACTAGGATCATCCTTTCCTTTGGTTGGTTTTTCCTTCTTACAATAAGTGAGGAAGCTCCTTGAAGGCAAGGGCCACCTCCAGTGTCTCTGTGAGATTTCTAGAAAAGTAATTGGGATTCACTTGTGTTTTAATTCCTCCAGTGCTCTGACTTGTGGTTAATATGGTTGAAGCTTGGGCCAGCCAGTAAATTGTGTGTTTAAAAATTAAAACAAACCCAAAATGCCAACCTGGCAGTGAATGATGTTTCTTATGATAGAACTATGATCCGTTACTGGAGATAAGTCCATAAATCCCATAAAACACTCCTTCCAAGCTTTCTTAGATAATTTTGCCAAGTTTAGCCCATGAAATATTTCCTGGTCATTTCAAATGTTTTTGTTCCAAAGAGTTTTCATTGTTTTATGATACAAAGCCTTTGGTATATTCTTGTGGGGAACTGTTGCATGTGTATTTATTTGTTTGTTTGCTTATAGTGGAAGAAGTTGTTTCAGAACCTTTGGAATACGACATAACACTCCAAGAAAGACTCTTTATGGAGAGAGGATAGTTTTCTTTTCTGTCTTTTCAGCTTACCTTGGGGTAGGATGGAGGAGGATGATACACTACAAAGATAAATAATTAGAAAAAGAGGCTGCATTTATTACTAGAGATGAAATAGTACCTTATAGTAGTAATAAACTGGCTCTCTGGATACTTAGTAACTGGAATTGCTATATCTGCAACCTTATAAAAAATAAGCCTTGGATGAAATGAATCTGCCTTTGGCACTGAAGTCCCCTGTAGGAGTTCTGAGGGTTCTGCCCTGCCCTTATGATTTCATCTCCCTAACTTGTTTGCAGTCAGGCCACGT
The DNA here is from genome assembly GCF_000001405.40 of Homo sapiens. Lineage (NCBI taxonomy): Eukaryota > Metazoa > Chordata > Mammalia > Primates > Hominidae > Homo > Homo sapiens. Next base: position 155,808,150 of record NC_000005.10, read on the forward strand.
ACCTTGTGGGCCTCATTGTTTCCACTTGGAGTGAGAACAAACAGTTGGCGTCTTGATTTTGTGATTTATCCATTTTTTTGCTTTGCTTTTGGCATTTTAAAAACCTTCATTTGTTTCCAAATCTTATTATTTCTGACCATTGGAAAGCAACACCCACCAGGATGCTATTTTTAAATGTGCTTGTGTAGCATAAGCAGGTGCTGGACAGTAACTCAATCTGGTTGCATTTTGTTCTCATTAAAATTTTGCACCCACCCTTGTTGGCAGACTGGGATAGGAGAAAACACAATGAGAGACAGAGACACCAGCTCTCTCTGCTGTTGTGAAGAATCTGTAGTCTTCTTATGGGATACATAGTAACTTCTCTGTCCCGTATTTTTTCCCTCTTCTGGAAAATCCAGTGAAGATTGGATGGCATTGGGCAAACTATTGCATCTGAGAAATGGACCCAAAAGAATCCAAATAGCAAAAACACAAAACCACAACAGAGCCATCTATGTAAATATGAAATAAACTTTAGGGATTATCTAGCCAATGGATTATTATTCTGGCTTTAGTAGAACTCTTGAACAAGTCAAACCTGTCATAAAATAGTAGTGTTTAAAACAATGATGATGATGATGATAGAAAAATTTATTGAGTGCTTCTCATGTTGTAGTTACATTATTCATGTAAGAAAGTGGATGGTAGAAATGATGTATGTGCCAAGTCACATAGTTACAAAGAGACAGATCTAGGTTTTTAATGACGTGGTAGAACCACCTTCACCAACTCTGAAACCTATACTTCTAGGCTTCTTTATATAGTAGATTATTACATGTTTTCATTGCATTAGCTACTGCCAGTCAACGTCTTACATGAGGTGAACATATTAAGTGCATTGTAAGAGAACTCAGCTATGCAGCTGTGGATACACGAGTCTATAGCTGATAATTAGCCAATTCTCTTCAGAACTGTTTCTGAACTGTCCCTTCTGAACTGTTCCTGAAAGCCAGGATTACCTGGAGAAGACCAGGCACAGTGTCAGGAGTTGAAGGTGCATAGTTTCTGTTGTTCTCAAGAAATCCACCGACTGGCACTGGAAGCGATGTGATGCATTTTTGGGAATTGAGTGGTCACAATGGGAAATAAGAATAACACCTTGAAGCATTTTTATCCATCTCACTGCTAACTAAAAGAGCGAGGACAGAACTGCTCCTCATTGTGTATTTAAAATCATTGAGATGAACCAAGAGATGACCAACGTTGTGGGTTAATAAGGACACTAGTCTGGAGGTATGTCTCGCTAAACTTTGAGTTATGTCGCCAGCTTTTTTAAACCAGGGTCTTATATCACTGATACTTGGGGTAAGTGAATGATCTTACTGACTTTCTCACCTTTCTAATACCTGAATGTGTGATCAAGAGTTCTAGATTGACAAACAGAGAGAAAGAAAGAAAGGGAAACATGAAGAGTGAGTAGGAACAGGGAAGTGAAGACAGGGAAAAAGAGCAAAGAGAAAGAGAAAGAGAGGAGGGAGGTGGATGGAGAAAAGGGCCAAATATATCTAGGAGAGATGAGCATCATGTGGAGAATAAACAAACGTTTAAATAAGTGAATAAAAATATTGGGTCCTGAATGAACATCAAATACGCCTAAACCTTGCAACAGATATTTACAATTACTTCATAAAAGCATCTTTTTTAATACAAAAAGACTAGAAAATGAAGACAGCTCTATAATCATCATCTGATGAAAGATACACTGAACTGGGTGATCCTGGCCAGTCAGTGGCCTCAGTTGTCTCTTGTCCTAAATGAAAAGTACAGTAAATGAACCTCTTTTATTAATGCTAAGATTATCTATCTCCTCATCTGCTCCTTTCCTGTTGGCTTAAAGATTGGTCATTTATTGCTGTAACAATAATTGATGTAGGGTTATTACTTTAATTAGATGTAATGAACAAAGAACACACGTGCTTTGATATTTTTATATTCACTAAAGGTAATGGGGATATTAACTGACAGGTTGTTCAAGCACCAATAAAATGAGCCATTATACTTTTTAATTTTGTTGCTTTAAACTAATTAAATATGTGTTTCTCTACTTTCCTTCATTTTTATTTCTTGTCAGATGGTCTTTCTGACTGAAAAGATTTCTTGTCTTTACTGATGTTCATTTATGTCTATGCAGAAGTCAAGTCACCTTTTAATAATTTGGGATTCTTTCTTGTTCTTTTAAAATAAAACAAAAGCTTTGCAAGATATTTTGCCCTAGAAGGCTGTGTATGTTATTTAATGTTTTTATCCTTCTTCTAAATGTCAAATTATTTTCTAGAGCATTTTAAAGGACTACAGTTACCATATTTATTTATTTATTTATTTCATAATTGGCTAGACAGCTGCTTTTGACTGGTTGCATCATTTATGTTAGTTGTCTTTAATACAGTTACAACTAACTTTCCTAAGTTAAATAAAGATAAAATGAAGAGCTAAATGTTGATAAAATTCATCCAAAATCTTTTATGAGAAAACATTCACCTGATGAAAAGTAGATATCTGAAAACTTTTGCAGTTAAGAGTAAATAAAAATGATTTGGCTCGAAAATATCAATCATGATTTTGTGGAGGAGAGAGGTTTTCTCTGAGTAATCCTTTAGTGTCTGCTTTTTTTTTTTTTTTTTTTTTTTTTTTTTTTTTTTTTTTTGAGACGGAGTCTTGCTCTGTCGCCCAGGCTGGAGTGCAGTGGCGGGATCTCGGCTCACTGCAAGCTCCGCCTCCCAGGTTCACGCCATTCTCCTGCCTCAGCCTCCCAAGTAGCTGGGACTACAGGCGCCCGCCACTATGCCCGGCTAATTTTTTGTATTTTTAGTAGAGACGGGGTTTCACCGTTTTAGCCGGGATGGTCTCGATCTCCTGACCTCGTGATCCGCCCGCCTCGGCCTCCCAAAGTGCTGGGATTACAGGCGTGAGCCACCGCGCCCGGCCTAGTGTCTGCTTTTAACTGATAATTTCCATTCAGCGCTAGATTGCAGGTCCCAAGGAACTACCAATAGATCATTATGTTTTCCCAAAATGTTCTTTCCTGCTTGTCACCCAACTGATACTGGATATCACATGTAAAACTGTGGCACAGGTCATTTATTCCACAGAGCAACAACAACAACAACAACAACAAATTGTGGGCTTTTGAAACTAGCACCCAGTTCCATGCCTGGGAATTGGCATACAGTTAAAAGGTGTTTGTAGAATAAACCTGGATTCTTATGAAGAGACATGTTTCTTAGAGAATAAATTTGGCCAAAAAAGAAGCACTCATTTATGGTCCATTGTTCAGAACAGTGCTCTAAGCCATTGTCAGTCTGATCTTGCTGTGATAATTTTGTATTGAAGTCATTAAGCTGGGGACAAGCATCCTCAGAACACGAAAAACCAAAAATAAGCCACCATACGTTTATGCTAGAAAGTTATTGTCAGTTCTTAGTTATTGCGGGATCTGGCCAGCAGCCCGCAATGCAACGGGGCTCTCTCTTTGTTCCCAGGTGGATCGGCAGGTTGAGAAATAATAGACACACACAAGATAGTGAAAGCTGGGTCCGGGGGGTCACCGCCTTCTGGTTTCGCAGTGTCAATAATGCACTGGATATACCAGCATTTATTATTAAGTTTAGTGAGGGCAGGGGTAGGTTAGTGAGGGATTTAGGGTCATTTGATTATGAGGTGAGATGGTCACATGGGGATGAAGTAATTCTTTAACATAACATTTGTATGTAGAAGTACAGTGCATTTGTATGTAGAAGTACAGTATACAGAGATTAGAATTTACAATATAGTGTGTGTGTCAGTAATTTCTAACAGAGCCTTAAAACGGAAACACAGTCTTTCCATAATCTATGATTAGCAAGATATTAATCAGCAGTAACAATTGCAACAAAAGCTGGTTACAAACAATCCATGGAAACAGGACGTGAAGCTAGACAACCGGTTAGACCAGAAATTCTCGGAAGGGAGTATGCCTTAACCCTAAAGAGGCCTAGAAAAGCAGTGGCAAGATGAGGGTGTTTATAGCCCTATGTTATACATATGGACAGGTGCCCCACCATGTGTCCATTTATAGGCTCTCCACAAGGGTTGCATTCCATTCCCAGAGCTATGAACATCTGCTTTTCTGGGATAGGAATCTTGGTGATGTGAAACCTCCCTGACTGCACGTCCATTCATAGGCTCTCCGCAGAGGGAAGCACATCACGCGCTGTTGGCTCGTTCTGGCGGTCCAACCTGGCATTGTCTTTACACAATCCTGCATGCAATTTTGTATTTACAATAATCAGGAGCATTTCATCTTTTATTCAGTAGCAGTAGTTTCAGGGGGTCTCCCTACACTTAGTTTCTTCAAGAAAAAATTTTGGTCACCAAAAATAGGTAAGCAGCTGAATTCTGCCTTCAGCATGTCAATAGGGAAACATAATTAATCAGAAGAACAGGCTATTTGAAATATTGCAAGTTCACCTCAACACTGGAAATCAGTGTTTCTCAAAGTATCTTCGATGGGACATTTGAATAAGAACCAATGTATGAGTCCAATCGCCAATGCAGATTTCCAGGCCCCAACAGCCTGTTTACACTCATTATTTGGGGGTATTCACAAAAATCTACTTTTTCAACTGGTTCTCCCAGAAGGTCCTCAACTAGATAAAGTTAAGTAACCTTCCCCATGAAGTATCATTACCATAGTTCTAGTTGGGAAACCATTCAGGGAACAAATCAGGCATCACTGCAGTTGTGTTTTGTGCAGAGGAAAGTGATGCTTTAAATGAGACACCTGGAATGTTTGTTTTAGACTTGCATATTTTCTGTGTCTTTGGGCATCTTATTTTTAGTTGTAGAGCTAATTATCTGATGATAGGATTTTTTTAAGAAAAGGAAGAAAGGAAGGAAAAAGGAATACAAGAAGCTAGTTTTCTTTGTCATTGCATCTAGTAAGCAAAAAAAAGGGCTTGATCACAATGACTATGTGGAGGGGATGCGAGAGGAGGTTAGACAAACATATTGGATAGGTGAGAGGTATGGGATGCTATGTAGCAAGCTTAGAATTTTCAATTTTATTCTGTAGGCAATGGTAAGTTAGTGAAGGTGGAGTAGAGGAATCAGATGATCAAAGCTTGTCTTGAAAAAGTAAAGAAAGAAAGGCAAACTATCAAGTGGACTACAGTGGAGAGAGCAGTATGTTTAAAACTGCAAGAGATTTTTGCTTGCATGCATGAAAAGAAAAGGCCTGCGCATGCCTGAATTCAACCAAGAGCAAAGGGTTAGTTGCCAGCTAGAGAATAAAAACAAAATACCTGCTGATCAGAAAAACACCCTGTGAGCAGATTTTAATCAAAGCCCTAAATATGATCACTGAGAAGTGATCATATTCCCAGGTCACTGTTGGAGGACAGCATTTCTCTTCTAGATATTTTTTGTGTTGTTGAGTTTGGCATCCTGCTTGGGATTCTTCTGAAGGTTTATGTAGGTTGACTCTATAACCTCAGAATATTTGCTTAGGATTTGATGGTTTTTCAGGCAGACTGCACAGAGATTCTGCCTTGGCTAGACTTTTCCTTTGATTATAGAGGGGTCCATTTGTCTGGTAGCCTCTTCATGTATTCCTTTGAATGTTAGTTGCAATATAATGTCACCATAAAAGGATAGATAGTAAAATGGTAGTGACTGAAATCTTTCCTCTCCTACCACCATTAAATCAGAGTCCTCAATAACTCAGAATCTCATTATTATTTTGATGGAGAGATGAAGGGCAATTCATTCTTTCAGCCCTCCGGTAAACATTGAATGCCCTCTATGTGTCAGGTACTATCTGAGATATTGGCACTGTGAAACTATGAAACAATAATTTTCAGTCAAGTGTGGGGGAATGGGCACCTACATGGCTAATTAGTGGTTACCATCACTCTTAGGATAAAATCACAAATCCCTCATCTAGTCTTAAGGCCTCAGGTCTTCTAGCCTCTCTGTTGTTTCTAGGCACATTTTGTTTCACTCTTTTCACATTAGGTGTGCCACCCACGTGGCTCTTGTTTCTAACATTACCTTGGTCCTCTCCACTTCAGAGTTTTCTTGTTTGCTCTTTCTGTATCCAGGAATGTTCTCCTATTTCCCATTTGTCTGGCTAGCCTCCATCATTCTTCAGAATTTATTTTAAACTGTCACTTCTCTGAGGACACTTTCTTTATCCTCCAACACTGGTTATTCACCTCTTGCTACGTATTCTCATTGCTCCTTCTGTTTTTCTTTCATAGCACTTATTAATAAGAGAATTGAACATTTTGATAATTTTTGGTTAATTTCTATTTCCTGTTCCAGACTCTAAGCTTCATGGGAGTATGGGGAGTGGCAGAGGCATTCACTGTGGTAACTTCAGCATGCTGACCAGACCATAAATGGCACTTGGTACACATTTTTAAAAATATTTGAATGAATAAATAGAAGATCGTGAGTGCAACAGTTGAATATGCATGGAGACAGAGGATGAGCATATCAAATTCAATTTGGAAGGATCAGGGATATCAATACTTTAAACCCAGTATCTACTAAATACACAAAATAATGCCCTGTATCTCTTCAAGATCCTAACTCATCAACCACAAACTAAACTCTAATGACTATGTTTACTATGATGGTAAAAGTTACTACTATTTTAGGAAAAGTTTCAACAAAAGTCAAAACAGAATGATTTCTAATGTAAATCTTAACTATAAGAAAATAAGCACATTTTCAATTAATGGACATGTTTCTGTAGAATAAAAAATGGCTATTTCTATGTTTGATCAGTTTATATATAATCCTTTCTGAGTAAACATTCCACTATCTGGTTTAATAACTTCAATATACTTCTTAAAGATTAACACGATTATTTGCTTCATTTAGTCTTAGTTTTTATTAGTGTACTTGCTGTAAATTGTTTCTCTCACTTATTTTTTATTTCGGACATATCTGTGTTGTTGTATACCAGGTCAAATAATATTCTAACTGGAATATACATTTAAGGGTTCTGTATTCTCTCACCATCTAAGTTGATAATGACCTTAGTCATTTTTGTCTTTACCAATTTGCCTGTTTGCTATATATTCTTAAGGTAGTTCATTGAGGAAATTATAATCAAAATCTATGAAGTTTGACTAATTATTACTCTCAACATAAAGTTAAAATCCAAAAGATCTCTGTGGAATATTGGTCAGACAATGTATGAAGGCATATACATGATGTATAGTAAAACTAAATCCATTTGAGCTATCCATTATCCTAGGTTATCACATATATGTCAATTATTAACCAAAATTGGCAGTAAAGTGTTATATTAGTCTGTTCTCACATTGCTGTAAAGAACTACCTGAGACTGGATAATTTATAAAGAAAAGAGGTTTAATTTTCTCGTGGTTCCACAGGCTGTACAGGAAGCATGGTTAGGGAGATCATCAGGAAACTTAAAATCATGGTGGAAGCAAAAGGGAAGCAGACACATCCTACATGGCTGGATTAGGAGGAAGAGAGAGCAGGGGAAGGTGCCACACACTTTTAAACAACCAGGTCTCATGAGAACTCACTCACTGTCATGAGAATAGCAAGGGGGAAGACTGCCCCCATGATCCAGTCACCTTCCTCAGACTCCTCTTCCAACACTGGGGATTACAATTCTACATGAGATTTGAGGGGACCCAAATCTAAACCATATCAAATGTAAAGGCTGGAAAGAAAAAAAAAGTCAAATGTACACAGTTTTGCACATTGGAAAACATTTACTGGTGGTCGTATTTACAAGTAACCTGACTAGATATTTTGAAGTTAGAAAATTTAGGGTTCAGTCCATTGAGCAAATATACTGAGCTTTCCCTGCATGAAAACCATTGTACTAGGCTCAACTGAAAATAGTGGTGGTGGGGAGAGAAGATTTGTTCTTTCAAGAATTTGAAATTTGTTCAGAAGGATAAAAGCAAATAGAATCTAACAACTGAATAATGCTTGAAACATGACATATGAGCTAATAAAAATACATCAATTACAGTGGTCTTTAATTACAAGTTAGAGGTGCCAACCCCCTGCACAAATGACCATCCTCATATAACTTTTGACTCCCCCAAAACTTAACTATTAATAGCCTACTGTTGCCTGGAAGTCTTACTGATAATATAGATAACCGATTAACATATTTTGTATAATATGTATTATAATAAAGCAAGCTAGACAAAAGAAAACATTATTAGGAAAATCATAAGGAAAAGAAAATAAAGTTACTATTTATTAAGTGGCAGTGTATCATTATAAAGATCTTCATCCTTGTTGACTTCAAGTTGAGCAGGCTGAGGAGGAGGAGGAAAAGGAGAGTTTCGTCTTGTTGTCTCAGGAGTGGAAGAAGCAGAAGAAACTCTACATATAAGTGGATCCATGAAGTTCAAACCTGCATTGTTCAAGGGTCAACTGTAATTAGTTTTGGGTATAGTGATAGTAAATAAATGATGTGAGAGGCACTGAAGGAGAGCTTCCTAGAGGGGGTGAGTTTTGAGCAAAAAGTTGAACATGTGAGAGCTTATGGATTTGTGGGGACAAGGCAGGGTCATGACTTGGTTTCATTGGAATGAGTAAGTCCTATGCAGGTCCCAATAATAGTATAAAAACAATTAGAAACTATGTCAGTTGGTGACTAAATGGCTGCTAAAAAGTAGTTTGGTTCATAAAAATTATCAATTTTAATGATGTTTTGAGGACATTATACGTTAAAAAGTAAATTCTTTATTAGCCTGATGCCTAAATGCAACTACTGCACAACTGTTTTCATTTTTATATGGTGCTCTACAAGCCTTCACTACATATGTATATTTTACATTGTTGCAATCATAGTATATACAGCATTTTGTATTTTGCATCTCTTATTTAACTGTGCATCATAAACATTTTCTACCTTTCTATATAGTTACAATAACTTTAACAGTATAAATTTTATCATATTGATCTATTGCAATTTACTAAATCATTGCCTTAATATTGCATATTTAGATTGCCTCCTGGTTTTATTTTATTCTTGGTAATGCTGCAATGAATACTGCTGTACATACAATATGTTTTTCTTCTGTCCAATTATGTTAGAGTACAAATTCACAAAAATAGATTCATGGAATGTAAGGGTTAGAACATTTTTATAGTTCTTGCTGTTCTGCCATTCTGATATTAGGGTCCTGCAAGTTTTACTTGGCCACTAGCAAGGTATCTAGGAGCCGCTTTTCTCGTGTGTATGCCAACAATAGGTTTAATTACTAGAAATGTTTTTGTTAATTTTATAAGCTTGAAATGCTATTTTAAGATAGGTTTATTTAGGGTTTCTTACTTTCTTGTGTGGGTGATTATTTTCTTAGTTTGCTTATTTTTTGTATTTCCATTCATATAAATTGTATGTTACTCTCATTTGCCTTTTTAGCTAAAATGAAAACTCTTTTCTTTTCCAAATAATAAGAATTATTTAAAGGGCATGAGATTTATGTAGGACCAATGGAAAATATTCACTCAAGAACAAACCAGGAGAATTTTTTGTCCTTCCCCTGTGAAGTCTGAGCATATCTTAATACATAAAAAAATAAGTAAATGTGCTGCTGCTGTCTCCGGTTGAAACGGCAGGTAGGGGGTCCACTTTCTTAGGCTCTTTACTTTCCTGGCTGCTGAAACAGCTCTGCAGAATGAACATTAACATTGTTTTACAGTAACAGATACATATACTTGACAAAATAGTCTATGGCTGAGTTCAAATTGTAAGTTAAAATAAAGCAAAGTTGTTTTAGAATAATGACACTATAAGGAAAGTTTCACTGCAGATTTTTTAAAGACTCAGGCATGCAGAATATATTTTTTCCTTATTCAGTTTAGTAAACTATAAAACAACATATTGATTGCCGAGAAGAATACTAAAGTGAGCCAGGTTATGATTTAGAAAGCTTTCAACGTAGAAGAGGAGATAAGGTACGTATACAAATAGCAACAAGATGTGGGATTATGAGAACATTCTCTAACTGAAGAGTAAATAGATTTTATTCCATACAGAGGAGAAAGAGAATTACTTTATTGGGGTGGGGGGCCAGCAGGACTCATTTCAAAGTCTTGACAGGAGATTCTAGTAGGCAGCATTCAGGGTTGGAAGGAGGGTATTCCAAAAAGAAAGGCCAGCAAGAGGCAGGTCAGAGCAACAGGTGTGCAGGGAGGAGATCGAAGGAATGGGCAGAGTTCAGATTTGGCTGGACATGCCTCAGGTAAGAGGGGTAAGGCTGAAATCATCGTAGGAGAGGAGAGGGGTGCAGGCCTGAGAGGTGTGACTTAGGGATTTTAGACTTCTTGTTTTGGAAATGGAGATACTTTATTTATGTTTTTGAGATAGAGTCTCACGTTGGCATCCAGGCTGGAGTGCAGTGACAGGATCATGGCTCCCTGCAGCCTCAACCTCCTGGGCCCAAGTGATCCTCCCACCTGAGCCTCCTGAGCAGCTGAGACCACAGGCACATGCCACCATGTCTGGCTAGTTTTTAAATATTTTGTAGAGATGGGGTCTCCCCATGCTGCCCAGACTGGTCTTGAACTTCTGGCCTCAAGAGATCCTCCCACCCTGGCCTCCCAACATAATGGGATTACAAGTGTGAGCCGCCATGCTTGGCTGGGAATGGAGATACTTACGGAGAGTGACAGGATTAAAACTACCTTTACTCCACTTCCAACTTTTTTTTTGACATAAACTTTCAAGTAATGAATTTTTCTTTGGCAATTTCCATCCTTACACATTTTTTTTCAAGAACTTTCTGTAAATTGTTTGTGTCCATGAGAAAGAGTAACATATGAGAAAGAGTAACACATTTCAGAAAGAGAACTAGACTGAGTGTCATGAAACTGGATTATAGTCACAGCATACTGGGTTATTTGGGGTAAGTAAATCTGCCTCTCTGGGACTCAGCTTCCCCATGTGTCAAATGAGAATGAACTGGATATTTCCACTGTTTCTTCCACTTCAAACATTCTGAAATCCCAAATATATTTTGAGTACATTAAAGATTCATTTTCTAAAATCTATATATCTTCTCTATAAACTTGAAATTCCATCTTGAGGGAGTCATTTCTTTGTATTTTAGCTTTTAAATCATCAGTAGTTCTCTTTCCAAATGAGAATAACCCAAAGGTAATATGGCAAATCAGTGGGGTGTTGAGAATTCAACACGACTTAATTATATTAACGATCTCTCACTTGGTGTCTGGGGGAGTAGAAATGTGTCATGTGAAAAGTGACGATTGAAAAGAGGGAATACTTAATAATGGTAATAATAACAAAAACCACTTACATAGCACTTACCATGTACTTTTATGTGGATTAAATCACATAATCCTCCCCACAACCTTGTAAAATTGGTACTACTGTATTATAATCACTTCACAGATGAGAATGCTGAGGTATAGATATATAATTACTTCCTTAAGGGCACACAACTCATTAGTGGCAAAGCCAGAATTTGAACCCAGGAAGTCCGACTGAGCATCCGTGTGTTTAATTACCACACAGCACTTTTTCTGAAGGGTCTCCGGAGAGAAACATCTGTAGAGCTGGATTATGTCTATAGAAACACAAAGATCTCAGTCTCCAGGGGACATGAGTACAAGGTTTTAGGAAGGGAAGATACAAATGTGCCAGTAACACTCTTGTGACCTCAACATTTTGCTCAGGAATGTCATCATCAGAAGTATCATTATAACTAATCAAAACAATATTAGCCTCTCCCTTATCTGAACTGTGTTTTAAAATGTAGAATTATAGTTATACTACTTTGGCATGCATTGATTTCAGTTAGAGGAATTCGGAGGTGGATAGATGAGATTGTTATTTGGAGCTCTTAGTATATTGCAAGACCAGAATGTCCAAGCAGTGTGGCTGTGAGAATAGGGAAAACCAGTTGGGTTTTCTAGTCCTTGGGTCATGTTGAGGGACTAGGACTCCTTTATGCATTTCTCAGCTCAACTCTTTGAAAGGTCAAGCTTTCATCAAAGTCTTAGTATTTTTTGCTGGCTTTCTTTAAGAAATAGTTTTCCTATAGAATCCCTTAGAAAAACTACTTTTTGTTTTTTCTGAGTTTGGCTTCTCAACCCAGCAGACAGGCAGAATTGGAAAGAAAGGTCTTGTCTTCAATCTATAGAGGTGATCAGGTGATCAATTAAAATACTGTATGTACTGTCCGGGTGCAGTGACTCATGTCTGTAATTCCAGCACTTTGGGAGGCCAAGAGGGGTAAATTGCTCGAGCTCTGGAATTCGAGACTAGCCTGGGCAACATGGTGAAACCCTGTGTCTACTAAAAATAAAAAAATAAATAAATGAATAAACAAACAAACAAATAAATAAAACTAGCCCAGTGTGGTGGTGTATGCCTGTAGTTCCAGCTACTTGTGAGGCTGAGGTGGGAGGATAGCTTGAGCCCAGGAGGTCAAGGCGGCAGTGAGCTGTGATTGTGGCTCTGCACTTCAGCCTGAGTGACAGAGTGAAATGTTGTCTCAAGACAAAAATAATAATAAATAAAATACTGTATGTGACTGCGCTTTGTGACTTATTAACTGCCCTACAGATACAAGAGTTGTGGTTATATCCCCTGAACATTTATATTCCAAGTGACCATCACCAGAGAAATTCCTCTGTTGAAAGCAAGTATTTGAACAGTCAAGATCACAGCTTTTGACACCAAGCAGATCAGGGTTTCAATTCTTAAGTCTCTGTACTTCATAGACCACAGAGAGAGCATGGGATTGACATCCACACTGACCCTGTAAGCTTGTTTTGGGGCTTCGATGGGGTAGTACATGTGAATTGCCAAGTCCAGCCCCACAGAGAGTACTCAATAAATCTTAACTTTTATTGGTAGTGTTAGTGATAGTCATAGAAGCACCATTCTAAAGCAAGAGCCAGAAAAAGCAATAGAACAACTCTAATTACCCAGCATATACTTGAAACCTAAACTGAAATTAAAAGGTAAATTTTAAGAAAACAATTGTGTATCCCAAGTCTTCAGAGGCTTATTCTCTTTGACCCAGTTATTTCACATCTAGGATTCTATTCTAAGTAAATAGTCAGGGATTAAGGTAAAGACTTATGTACAAGAACAGTCATTGAAGAGTTTTTTTTTTTCCTTCTTGAGACGGAGTCTCTTTCTCTGTTGCCCAGGCTGGAGTGCAGTGGCCCAATCTCCGCTCACTGCAAACTCTGCCTACCAGGTTCACCCCATTCTCTTGCCTCAGCCTCTCAAGTAGCTGGGACTACAGGTGCCCACCACCACGCCCGGCTAATTTTTTGTACTTTTAGTAGAGATGGGGTTTCACCGTGTTAGCCAGGATGGTCTTGATCTCCTGACCTCGTGATCCACTTGCCTTGGCCTCCCAAAGTGCTGGGATTACAGGTGTGAGCTACTGTGCCTGGCCTGAAGAGTTATTTTTAACAGCGACTGTTAGAACCTACACGTCCATCCATAGGAGAGTGCTTTAATAGAGTGCAATGTTGTTATGAGATATTTATTTTGCAGATTATAAAAAATAATTCAGAAAAATATGTAATGACAAGGAGCAATACTATTTAATCTTTCAGAGAAAAGTCAAGATTATATTATGGTTTTAATGCTATTAATTATACTAATATTTATAAAATATGTGAACTAAATAGATGTCCTTTGCTGAAAGTGGAGATAAAAATAATAACGATAATGCCTATCTTAGAGGATTTTTGTGAAGACTATATGATGGTTACTACATGCCTGACATATAATACATGTTAGCTTTGTCATTGGATGTTGGCTAAATTTAACTTATTTTCTAAATTTTACTTAAACTTCATCATACACTAATGAGAATCTTTTATTTTACAGGAACTGAGCAAGATGCTGGGGATACAGAAATGATTAAGTAGGTACACTGAGCATATGACATTCACAATCCAGTGAGGAGAGAGGCATATAAATAAACAGGAACAGTGGATTTAGAACTATTTAAATTCTAGAGTCAGCTCCTAAGACATGAAACACATATTATCAAAATAATTAGGTGCACAGCCATTATAGGCACCTTTTCGTGAGTTTTAAAAAGGTGGCCCCTCTCTTTAAGAATGAATTATAGAAAGGTACCTCTTGCCCCCAGCTGAATCAGCTGCACGGTAGGGTACAGGCTGGGTTTCAGCCCCTACTGCCCTCTCCTGGTTTATTCCTGCTGGATGCAGGCTGCTCACCTGTTCACAGAGGCCCTGAAAATACCTTTGAAATGTCCTGAAATTGACGTGAAGCACAGTAAATATGATTTGGTGTCTATAACCTTGAACAATAATTATTTTGCACACTGAGGTTTGAGAAATACTGAACTAGATTAAATGATGGAACAAAGGAAAAAATCTATAGGCAGTTGTCCAGATAATCCCTTGTGTTGTATGGGAAATGTGCAGAGAATTCTGAAGTGTTTCTTCTTAACTGCAGAGTTGTCTCCATTATATTTTAATAGTGTCATAAGTTGAATACACATTGATAGTTTTGTTTTCTTGAGCATTGCATAATATAAGGAAAAGCATCGAGCCCAGGGATTCACATATAGCAAATGTTTACTAAATATTAGTTAATCCAAGTATTAACCTTGTTTCATCATATCCACAGGCATAGTGTGCTTTGAAAAGTTATAGAATAGTGCTTGCCTCTCATTTTTTGTTTTCCTCACTGAGGTCCTGCTAAATAACTCTGAGCAGTTGTCACTCCCAAACCCATGGCCATTGGATTAGGCAGAGTTCTTCAGAGACAAAGAACCAATACAGGATATTTACATATCCTTGTCTCTGTCTGTATCTCTCTCTCTCTCCATATATACACATCTCTATTTCTATATCTCTATATCTCTATATCTATCTATCTATCTATCTATCTATCTATCTATCTATCTATCTATCTATCTGGCTAGCTATCTAGCTACCTAGCTAGCTATCTAAAAGGAGATTTATTATGAGGAATATGTTCTTGTGATGACAGAAGCTGAGATATTCCACATTCTGCCTTCTCCAAGCTGGAGACCCAGAAAAGTTATGGTGTAATTCAGTCCTACAGCAGGACAAGATGAGCTGTCCCAGGTCAAACAGTGAAGCAGAAAAAAAAAAAAAAAAAAAGGTCGGGGGGTGGTGGATTTCTTTTTCCTCTACCTTTAGTTCTATTCAGACTCTGAGTGGATTGGATAATGGCCGCCCACATTTGGGAGGAAAATCAACTATACTGACTCTACTGATTCAAATGCTCATTTCATAGGAAAACACCCTTAAGTAAACACACCCCCAGAAGTAACATTTAATCTGGGCACCCCATGACCCAGACAAATGGACACGTAAAATTAACCATCATGGTTATTTGTCTTCTGCAAAGTTGGGAATCCGCCCATGAGCTGAATGGTGCATGATGTGGCTCCGCGGGAACACAATGTGCATTAGCATAGGGTTCTGGACAAAACTGTAAGGTGTCCCCAAGAGAGGCAGAACAGCTTCTGGTGACTAGCTGCACATTCACTCTCTTGCTACAAGTTTAAATAGTAAGCAGTAGCTATAAACTTTGGTTTCAATTTGTTAGACAAAGCATTGCCTGGCTCTTTCTTCTTTACAGAGTTATTATTTCTAGTTTGCTTGTACCTAATGCTTTCCTCCAGGGATTTCAGAACTGTTCAGCTGCAAATTCATATTTGATGTTCTTGTTCTAATCCCAGATTACCGCATGAGGACAGCTGGAACAGACCAAAAGAGAGAAACTCATAGGGGGAAGGAAATCATTAGCCTGTCTTGAGTCACCAGGACCTGATAAAAAGTCAGATTAACAAGGCTTAAGCTGCTATAGAAAGCCAGAGAAATGCCCTCAAATATTAATCTTGAATATTTCCATTCCACTAACATTGCCTGGAAGTATTTTAACATTCACCAGATAGGCATCCCATCTTGAAGAAACGATATGGTTCTGTAAAAAGAATAATGAATTATGTGAGGATTGATTTTCAGTATGGACTTTAGTCCTGCATAGTAATGGAATGTGGACTGGGGAGCAAGGCTGTTTGGATTCACATCCTAACATTTCACTTGATAAGTTGCCTCATTTGTAAAATGGGGACTGTAATAACATCTACCTCCTAGGGCTTTGTGTAGAATATTAACAAAACAGAATCTTGCAAGGGTTAAGCACTCAATAAATGTGAGATACTATTATTATTGTCATTATTGTAACAGATAAAAGTTGGCAGATATTGGTGGATGTATTCATTGTCAAATCTCCCTTTATTAGTCTTTATATTATTAAATAATTGGGAAAATAAATTCATTTTATTTTATATGCACCATAACTTGTTCAAATTTTATTTCTTAATATTGATAATGATTTATCATAAAATTTATAGTTTATGGAGTACCTTCACATGCATTTCTTCCTCCAAGCCCCACAAGGATGATGCAGCTGAGGCTCTGGGAAATTGGTTATTTCATCCAGGGTGCCTGATTGGCGAGTGGTTAAGACTTGAACCCATGTCTTCACACCCCAGATGCATTACTGTAGCTGTTACACTGAGTGGAGGTTGTAAACATACACAGGCTTCGTTGTTGTTAGAATCTTGATTTGATTGTATCGCTACCACTTACTATAGGTCATTTTGTGAGCAACTGCCTAATTTCATGGAATATCAGATTTTATATCAGTAAAAATTAGAGGACAATGACTTCTCTCTACTTGCTATATAAATTAAAAAATATATATATCAGATCACATATAGAGATGGAGCTATCCCAGCTCTGGGTCCATGGTAGTTAACGCAAAGGCAGTCTCTTCCTTCATTTATCGTTGATAATGTACCACACATAGTGCCAAACTATCATTTTTTAAAATCAGATCAATGTTTTCATCAAAGAAAGCTGATGTTAGAGTTTGATTCTAGTGGCACCAAGATCTCCTGTAATCCATGATTGCGTTTGCCAGCCATTCATGGTGATTAACATACTTTTGCGAAAAAGAAGTGACAATGAGGAGAATGAAGGTAATAAGGAGGAAAAAAAGAAAAGCGGACTTCCTCTAGACTTAGAGAACATACAAACTTCATTAGCAGCTAAATAGCAAGGGGAGAGGGTCCCGAACAATGATTTCACTCCTTTGCTGCTGTGAACTAGGTGTTCTAGACATAAAAATAGAGGAAAGACTAGAACATATGTTCAGTGGGTAAATGGCCCTCTGCGTTATATCATCCTGGTGAGGTTTTCTAATTATTCAGAATTATCATTTTGATTGTGAAACAAATGCTTGGTTTAGGGGAATCTTTGGATTAGACTGTGTGCTCCTTGTACTTCGTCTCCATATGGTTCAAGGATTTTAAGGTGAAATGCTACAAAAATGTAGGTGAATGATAAAGTTGCTAGAAGTATGTCAGAGAGGTGTGAGAATTTTGCCTTTTCATACTGTGGGGATTATTTTGTACACTGCTAATTTTATGATTAGTCCTGGATCGAGGAGTGCAAGCAATTGATATATCTTAGATGTTTGACTTTATTATTTGTTTTTTTTTTTTTGTTGTTGTTGTTGTTGTTGTTTTTTGAGACAGGGTCTCACTCTGTCACCCAAGCTGGAGTGAAGTGGCACAATCTCGGCTCACTGCAACCTCCACCTTCTGGATTCAAGCAATTCTTGTGCCTCAGCCTCTCAAGTAGCTGGGATTACAGGCACCTGCCACCACACCCAACTAATTTTTGTATTTTTAGTAGAGATGGGGGTTTCACCATGTTGGCCAGGCTGGTCTCGAACTCCTGACATCAAGTGATCCACCCGCCTTGGTCTCCCAAAGTGCTGGGATCACAGGCGTGAGCCACCATACTCGGCCTAGTTGACTTTAAATAACACAAAAGGAAGTTCCACTGAAAAGGTGAATCCTATTGCTGGTGTAAAGTGCAAACCATTAGTAAGTTAAGCAAGTCTAGCTCTAAAATAACCCAAATCTGCCTATTGCTTTCCAAACTCAGGGCTGCTATCCTATGTCTGTCACATGTGTTTCTCATGTTGATTACAGCATTGGGCTCCCAACTGGTCTCCCTGTTGCCACTCTTTCAGGCTCATAATCTATTTTCTACTCAGTAGCCAGAGTTATCTTTTAAAAACATAAATGAGATGATCTTACTTCCCTGCTTTTGAATCTTCCTGTAGTTTCTAATTTTACTTACTATACTTACAATAAATTCAAATTTACTGTGATGGTCTACAAGACCTGATGGAGTCTGACCCTTCTGTCTATGACTGCATCTCTCACTCTTCCCACTGTGGCTCCATATCATCCACTCTCCCTGGCCATCTTTCTGATGTCAGCCAGACTTTCTTCTGGCTTACATATTTGCATTTGGTGTTCCCTCTGTCTGAATGACTAGAGCCTTCTTGTCGTAAAAGTCTCAGTCCAAATATCACTTCTTCAGGTAGATCTTCCCTTTCTTTCCAGTGTAAGGAACTTTATTTGAAGAACCCTAAATGAAGTTATGTTACTCAATTATTCACTCGTTTAGCTGTCTCTCCCTCAACTGTAGTGCAGTTTCCATGACAGCAAGGATGATGTTCATTTCTTGCTGTTACCATTCCTGGTGTTCAGAAGGCACTCAAGAATCTTTGCTGAATGAATGAGTAATACATCTTAGAATGCTAGTTTCCATGAAAGGGCTACAACCAGTCTGCAGGATCTTCAGGTCAGGAACTGGGCCTTGTGCTGGTTTCCATGATACTGCTCTATACGTGCTCAGGAAATATCTGTTGAATTGGATTCAACCAAAACATTTGAATTTCTGTTCAGTGAGAAGTGTTCCCTATGTAAGAAGAAATTTAAAGCTATGTTTGATAACACTCTTCTGAGAGAAAGCCTGCTTTTTAGTTGACCAGCCATCCCAGTTTGCCTTGGACTGAGGGATCTTCTGGGGACATGAGACTAATGGGTCACCCTACATGCCTTCCACAGCTTTAGAGCCAGAAATACCTAACGGATCAGTTAGGAATTATATTTAGGTGCTAGTAACAAAAGCCAGAAATAACAGTATTTAAACCACAAGAGTTTACTGTTTCATGTAAAATGAGTTCAGGAGTGGGGACATCAGGGATGTATGGCAGCCCTGGTGCATCCACTTCTGAACTCATTTCATGTGAAAGGTCATCAGTGACCCAGGTTTCTTGTATGGTGTCCACTATCCTTAGTGTATGACTCTCATCTCAGAGTAGCCTCATGTTCCAGTGTGGCTGCTGCAGCTCCTTCAGCTATGACATAACATATACATTGCAGCCAGTCACCCAAGGAGTAAAGAGGGACAGAAAAGCACGCTTTTCTGTTTGTTTTCTGTTTGTTTTTCTCTTAAGAAGACTGTTTCATTTAAAATCTGTTTGTATTTCACAAGCTTTCTGTTAAGTAAAGGAGAGATTGGGTAATATGAGATAATCTTTCAGCCGGGCACATAGCCTCTTCTCTAAATAATTCTTTTTTTTTTTTTTTTTTTTTTTGAGATGGAGTTTCACTCTTGTTGCCCAGGCTGGAGTGCAATGGTGTGATCTTGGCTTACCACAACCTCCATCTCCCAGGTTCAAGCAATTCTCCTGCCTCAGCCTCCCAAGTAGCTGGGATTACAGGCATGCACCACCACACCTGGCTAATTTTTTTTTTTTTTTTTGTATTTTTAGTAGAAACGGGGTTTCTCCATGTTGGTCAGGCTGGTCTCGAACTCCCAACCTCAGGTGATCCACCTGCCTCGGCCTCCCAAAGTGCTGAGATTACAAGAGTGAGCCACTATGCCCAGCCTGAATAATTCTTATTAAGAATTTCTGTTACTAAGAAAGAGAGATGGGGTGATGAGTAATACACACTTACTTAGCATCTTCTGCCACATCTAGTTTCACTACTTATTGACTTAGTGACCTTACAAGGGTTGTTTCATTTCTCTGTGCCTATTTTAAAATATGCATTATGGTGATGCAAACAACCATAATAGTAATAGCTACCTATCTACGGGGTTATGCTCTTTGTCAGGCATTTTATGTACATGATGGTCACCCTCACAATAATGCCACAAAGGGTAGGTAATTATCCTTGTTTAGATCAGAGGAGTGAGACTTAGCTATTTGTGGTAAAGCCAGAATTTAAACCCAGAGCAGTTTGGCTCAATACCCATTCTTTCCATTACACTTTGCTTTCTACCTTATTGGCTGTCAAGATTCAATGAGGAAATGAACATAAACTGCTTGACCTGTAAATTTTTGAAATAAACCAACGCAATGATTCTGTTAAGAAAATATCTTGGTTTTCTCTAACAACAACAACAGCAACAAAATATCTATGGTAGATGTGTGTAGGAAGTGATTTGAGGTCACCTTGAAGCCAGCTGACTCTGAAGAACAACCCTTCTTCTTCCCAACTTCTGATGTTGAAAAACTCTCTTTTTCAGAAAATTATATTACTGGTCTGACTCAAATCACTTCTTTACTTTTTATTTTTTTTTTTATATTTTATTTTTTTGAGACAGAGTCTTGCTCTGTTGCCTAGGCTGGAGTGCAATAGCCCGATCTTGGCTCATTGTAACCTCCGCCTACTGGGTTCAAGTGATTCCCCTGCCTCAGCCTCCCAAGTAGCTGGGATGACAGGCATGTGCCACCATGCCCAGCTAATTTTTATATTTTTAGTAGAGACGAGGTTTCACCATGTTGGTCAGGCTAGTCTGAAACTCCTAACCTCAGGTGATCTGCCCACCTCGGCCTCCCAAAGTGCTGGGATTACAGGCTTCAAATCACTTCTACTATTATTATTATTATTATATTATTCTATTTTGTCTTTGCATGGTTCGGTCCTAATGGAGAGCTAGATGACCTGGCTGTGATTTTTTATATGCCACGAGAAGGCAGTTATTAAGTCATTTCTCACTCTTCTCTCTAAAAGTAATCAAGAGGTGAAAAAAAGTCTCCCATGAGTTGTTCTAAGGAGACAAAAATTTCCTAGTCCTGGGGGCAGGATGAACTATACACCTTTCTTGACATTTGGCAATAAATATTCTATATAGTGCAGCTCTTTGCTTTGGCATTCATGTCTTCATGAGCCCAGAGCCCAGGAAACAGTTCCCACATTGCTCCATGTTGAAGTGAGTTGAGTTGTTTTGAAAACTCGTGAAGTTTTAAGATACCTTCTTTTGTGAAATTTGCTACAGCCATCAGCCTCACTAATAATGCCTTGAAAATAGCTGATTCCTGTAAGATGCACTATGCTCTTCTCTCATCTCAAAGCCTTCACAAGAAAATTTCCCCCAGACACAATGAACTCCTGTGCAGAGAGTGATGGCTGTATTTATTTCCAGGGAAGAATAAATCAGAAGAAAGCAGGGAGAATATTCACATCTTCAGGCCTCGAAGGAGGCTGCTGGGAAACAAATGCAAGACAACTGGTTTTTGTAAGATAACTCATAGCCTGTTTGAAAATCCACTTTGCAGGAAATAGAATAGAATCAAGAAGCCAAAGTAGCAATTTCTTTACGTTTCCATTGATCATTGTGTTCCCTGTTTTAAACATTCTTGGTTTGGAAAAAGTGTAGATTACATGTAACCTTTGTGGGTATAGTTTCATACAAAAGTATTAGAGGATTGAGTGAGAAAACCAGGAAATGGAAAGTCTCAGGTTGTATTACCAACCAAGCATCATACAATCATAATTAAAGTGAATGCTTATCAAGGGCTTACTATATGTCTGACATTGTGCTAAGATCTTTAATTAGTGATCCCTCATTTAATTATACAAATAACCAAAGTAACAATATGTAGTAGAAAATGACATCATTTCTATGTCACAGATGAGGGGATGGAGGCCCAAAGTCTCTCAGTAACTTGCCCCAAGTCACTTCATTGTAGGTGGTTAAGATGTGATTTGGACCCATTTCTGTTTTCCAGGGAATTACAGTGTATTAGACTTCTAAAGCTGCCATGACAAAATAACACAGATTGGGTGGCCAATACAATAGAAATTTATTTTCTTACTGTGTTGGAGTCTGGGATTTCAAGATAAAAGTGCCAGCAGGGTGGGCTTCTCCTGAGGCCCCTCTCCTTGTCTTGCAGAATACTACTTTTTTGCAGTGTCCACACAAGGTCTTTCTCCGTGTGTATACACTCGTGGTGTCTCCTCTTCTTATAAAGACTCCAGTTCTGTTGGATTAGGGACACATGCTTATGACCTCATGTAACCTTAATTACCTCCCTAAAGCCTCTATCTCCAAATGCAGTCATTTTATGGGGTAGGGATTTAACATACGAATTTTAGGGGGAGAGTGTTCAATCCATAACAACAGCCAATAAATTGAACCAGCGTATTCAGCTCTTGCTCTGACAGCAGGACTTTGGTTAAAATTATAACTTCTCTGGCCTTGTATCTCTCATGGATCTAAAACAAAGATAATTTGATCATTTAGTTTTTAAAGACTTCTGTTAAAGACTCTTAAAAACCTTATGATTATGAAAGTAATACTTTATAGTTTATTAATAAATTGTCACTATTTGTATAAAATTAAAATGAAGTCATTCTCATACGACCTGTTGTGAAGGTGGGAAGGCATAGAGATTTCTTCTGGGGGCCACATAAGTTCTTCCCCCTGATATTACCATTTTCCACTGGTATTATTGGCCCTCTTTGTTTTTTAAACACAGATGAATGCACTTTTTCTTTTTGCTTCTTTACTACTTTTTCCAGCAAACAATTATTGTTTATTTGATATGCACCAGGCATTCTTCTTTTCAAGCTTAAATTCATTAAATGCTTGTTACGTGTTAGATGCTCTCTGAACCCCATACATTCATTGAGTCAGATTTAGCCTTTCAATAAGCCTATAAGGTTGTGCAGATAGGGAAATTGAACCTTTCTCTGGTTAGATAATTTACTCAAAGTCAATCAGCTAGAAGAGGTGGAGCTTGTATATGACTTCAACTCTCTCTGATTCCGCAACCTGCATCCTTAGTCCTTAAGCTACTGAGATGAACTGTTACTTGTGCTCTTGCAGACTCTGTGATATATTCCTCCACCTGCTCTTGCGGTTTTGATTTTTGCTCCTGTTGACTGCCTCTCCTTGATATCAGGGTCTCTCCCTTTCTCCGTGCCTCCGTCTCCTAGTTCATTTCATCTTGTACAATGCACACAATATGAAAGGGGGAGATTTACCATTGTTTTAAGTTTAATTGCATTGCCTCTTTTAACCTCTTGCTGATTAAATAGTGGGAAACGTAGAAATAATTGTCAGATTTTTAGGAGAAAACAGGTTGAGAAGTGCACTTGCTTATTGAAGGATGCTTTCCCTTTTCACTGAAATTACCTGGACTTTTGTATGCAATTGCTTTGTGCCTTCCATTATTTTTAATTTCGGCTTACAATTAGAGCTTGCAAATTGAATTGCTTTCTCTGAGGAGCTGTGATTTCTCTATTTGGCAAGTGCCAGGCATCCCCCGTCACAAATCCCCACTTGCTCAGCTGAAATTAACATGGTTGATTTTGTTCTCTTGTACTGCAATCGGGTCTGATCAGTAGAATCATGATCTCACTTAGTAATTGCTTCCACAGAGTCTGTAGGGAGAGCGGATATGAGTGGTGCTCTGCCTGATGAGGAGAATGGAGGTTCTCCAGGGGAGTACAAGGGAGCTTTAGGCAATGATCTTGGGGATTATAGAGAGCTGTCCCTCTTTACTTGCACTCAGAAGTCTTGTGGTATTTACCAAAGCCATTAAGGGCCCTGATGTTGGAAGTGTCCTCTTTGGAATCAGGATAAATTCAAAGATGTGGTTAGCTGTTATCACTCACAGATGCTGCAAAGGAAAGCGTATTAACTGTGGGTATTCTAGCTCAATGCCAGCTTAGTTCTGGTTATTTTTATTAGGGAAAAATCTTAAGATATAGTCAATTCTTCAGTTCTTCAGTTTCATGTTTCATCTCAAAAAAGTTGATTTGAGTTCCGCAAATGAAAGAGAGATTAGTTTTGCAGGGTGCAAAATGAGATCCATTGTAGCTTTATGAGTGGCGAGTGGCAGGTCACTGGAGGTATTCAGGAATCTAGACTGGATGACCTCTAATGCCCTTTCTAATGCTGAGATGAATGATCCACTCCCTCACCTCTTTCTGTTCTCCATATGGTAGCAGCCTATAACTCTAACATTTATGATCTAACATTTATGAACTTTGTGGTCTCTTAATACCTCAGTATCTTTTGTGTCTCTATGTCTTTGTACTTCCTTTTCCCTAAATCTGGGAAACTTCTCTCTGGTCTTCTGCATGGTTGGCTCCAGTCTATTTTTCAGGATACAACGCAAGCATTGCTGCCTCTCTGTATACCAAGCCCCATCTTTAGGACTGAGTTAGGGATTCTAGTCTGCTCCTTATGCTTACTTGTCACCCTGTGTTATAACTGCTGGCAGCCTTGTCCTTCCTCCTGATGTGAGCTCAATGATAATGCTACATTGATTGATTAAATCACACATTGAAGATATAATAGACATGCAAAAAAAATTGTTGAGTGAGTGAGTGAAACCAAATAGTGTTTGATTACTTTTGTGTAGAGAATTATAGATTTTAAAAATAATATTTTGAATAGCATTTTAAATTTTAATTAATAAGTAAGTTTCATGGTACTTAGTTTTCTCTTATATGTACCTTTTCAGCCATACTCTTTCTAGGAATCTTGCGTACTTGTCAGTGAGCATGTATCTCAGTTTTTAAGAAAGTCAGGGCTGGGCACGGTGGCTCATGCCTATAATCCCAGCACTTTGGGAGGCTGAGGCGGATCACGAGGTCAGAAGTTCAAGACCAGCCCGGTCAACATCGTGAAACCCCGTCTCTACTAAAAATACGAAAAAAAAAAAAAAAAAGAAAAAAAATTAGCCAGGCATGGTGGGACGCACCTGTAGTCACAGCTGCTTGGGAGGCTGAGGCAGGAGAATCACTTGAACCTGGGAGATGGAGATTGCAGTGAGCTGAGATCGCACCAGTACACTCCAGCCTGGGTGACACAGAGAGAATCTCAAAAAAAAAAAGTCAGAAGGTACTGAGATCTTCTAAAGTTCAGTATAAAGAAGTAATCACTGTGCAGTGCTTATTTCTATAGACAAAACATTTTATATTTGTTACATTAAATATAATGGATAGGAAAATCTCTTTACCATTTGGTGAGTGGTTATGAATCACATGGAAGCAAGTATCCCTTTTATTTGCAAATTGGAAAGGTTTTTCTGGTAGTGATGGGCCTTCAAGAGACCTCCTTTCCAATAGAGGGTGCTGCTACTCCACAAGCTATGAGGGACCCCAACAGATGAAGACATCAAAAGAATTGTTCTAAGTGCATCACAGCTGGCTACTTGGAATTATGATTTATGTTCAGCTGTAGCCCAGTTTGAAGAATTTGAAACCAAGGGGGGAAAAGTCTATCTGTTCATTTTGCGAGCTCCAGTCTTGTTACATGCAGTGTTTCAGCACTTCTCAGGTGAGCAGCGGAAAGTGTAGTTCATCTAGCAGAGCTGTGCTTTTAGAGACCCCCCTCATGTTGCCCCTGCATGATGTATGAGTACCTGTGCTTCTCAAGGAACCCACATTTGCTGAGTGCATTTCTATTTCACTGTCTCTTTCTAATAATTTTAGATCAGGTCAACCTATTTGGCCTCTGGCTACATGAGAACAGTGAATACAGAATGCAAAATGATTAACAGATACAGTGAAAGGCCTAGATAACTTGTTTTCTTAGAGACCCTACACTGAGTTGTGGAAGGACATCAGTCTTCCTTTCACACCTGCTTAGTTTTGCTCATGGTGTGGCTATGGCCCTTGCTGTTTCTCTGCCTTTTAAATCCTTACCATCCTTTAAAGGCCGGCCCAAATGCCCATGCAGAGTTAAATACTCATTCCCACATACTATCCTGCTCTGGTTATTATTAATGTCACTTGCTTTATTTTGTCTTGTGTAATTATTAGTTGCTTACCTATGTGCCCCTCCTTTAAGACTAAATACTCCAAGGCAGGAACTGTGTCCTGATCCTCCTTGCACCCCTCAGTACCAAGAGCCTGCACATAAAAAGTGCCCAATAAACCTTGATTGATTTGAAATGAGTATTTCTGAGAACGGTACTGCATGTAAATATTGAACTCAGAATAACTAAAGCACAGCTTTATGAGTTCTTTAGAAGTGCAGTTGGCTATATATGTTCATAACAATTGAAAGGATAAAAAGTAAATGGTAGGTGAAATATGACTCATTTTGTGGTGGGCATAGGGGTGGTGCTCCAATTCAGGAGATGGTGTTTTGTAACCTTATCGTGTGATTCTACTCAAAGGTTTTACTTATAATTAATAATATGTTTTCCATTTTTGAGAAAAATTAGTGTTTGGGTGAGTTTTACACAAGTGGTGCTTGCCACGTTTCACACACTATATTATGGCTTGTGTCATGTACGTTTGACAATTCTTTCGTGCTTTTCACAGTTTAATGTTTTCTTCTTCGTGACAAGAAAAAGTCACCCAGCCTTTCCCTGCATTTCTCTCCTACACCAACTTTGTGGTGAAGACATGGTGCCTTGTGGTAAGTGCACTGTAGCAAAGAGTCCCACCCTACCAGTTGTCTGTGAAACCATTGAATGTAATCTTTTTTTTTTTTTTTTCGTGAGACGGACTCTCACTTTGTTGCCCAGGCTGCAGTGCAGTGGTGCAGTCTGGGCTCAGTGCAACCTCTGCTTCCCAGACTCAAACAATTCTCCTGCCTCGGCCTCCTGAGTAGCTGGGATTAAAGGCATGTGCCACCATGCCCAGCTAATTTTTTTTTTTTTTTTTTTTTTTGAGACAGAGTCTTTCTCTGTCACCCAGGCTAGAGAGCAGTGACGTGATCTCGGCTCAACGCAATCTCCGCCTCCCAGGTTCAAGCAATTCTCCCTGCCTCAGCCTTCTGAGTAGCTGGGATTACAGGCGCCCACCACCATGCCTGCTAATTTTTGTATTTTTAGTAGAGACAGGGTTTTGCCATGTTGGCCAGGCTGGTCTCAAACTCCTGGCCTCAGGTCATCCACCCGCCTCAGCCTCCCTAAGTGCTGGGATTACAGGTGTGAGCCACTGCGCCCGGCCTTGTAATCATTGTTTTTGAAACAAAAACCTTTATCACAAAAGTAACATGACCCAATGTGAAAAATGCAAACAATCTACAGAAATACAAATGGTGTGGAAAGTGAGCTTCTCCTTCACACATTCTCTAAATCCTACTGTGTTCCCCCAGAGAATGGCTGTCTCTATTCATTTAACAATATGTGTGTGTAACACACACATGACTTTTCTTCTCTTTCAGTTTTAAAAACTGTATATATTTAGGTATACAGTATGATTTCTGATGTACATATACATAGTGAGATGGTTATTGTATTCAAACATATTAACATATCCATTATCTCACATAGTTACATGTGTGTGTCTAGTCTTTTAGCAAAAGTATTTGCCAATTTTTGCCATTTTTTTCTTGATAATCATTATTTCAATTGCCCATCTCGCCTAATGACAGAAAACACTTTACTAGCAGTTCTACTTTTCATGGTTTCAGTTACCCACTGTCCAAAAGTATTAAAATGGAACATTCCAGGAGTAAACAATTTGTAAGTTTTACCTTGCATGCCATTCAGAGTAGTGTGATGAAATCCTGTGCCGTTCCCTTCCATCTTGCTCAGGAGGTGAATCATTCCTTTGCCCAGGGTATCCACTCTTATAGCCTACCCACCCTTTACTGTCTAGGAAAACATATGGTATATATAGCGTTTAGTACTATCTGTGGTTTCAGGCATCCACTGGGGGTCTTGAAAAGTATCCCCTGTGGATAACAGGGATCTACTGTATAGTCAATCCTAGCAAAATTATTTCAAGTTTCAGTCCTGACTACTTCAGTTTCCCTTGCTCATCCTTCTCTGGGACTTATTTAAATACTGGGAATTTAAGGAGTGTCATGGTTTCTGGACTGAGGAGATAGCTGGACCTCCATGGGGTCTGTCCACCATTGAATTTGCTAGGATGTACATCATTCCACCCTGTTCCAGATGTGGAGCCCTCCCTGGGCATCCAGTGAGATATTGGCAGTCCCACTTGGTTCTTGGCCATACTGATTATGCCACCATCTGCTGGTCTATCGAAGAGCATTTCAGATATGTAGACTTTCTTCCTTTTTTATTCTGCAAATGAAAAACGATTCTTCAAGGATATAGGAAAGTTATGGGGCCACCTTGGAACTTCTCTACCTCTGATACCCACCCCCGCCCCGCACTCAATCCAGCCATCTCTTTTCAAGTTTTATCATACCTTGATAGAGTGAAAAGCTCCTTCAGAAGAGTTTGCTGTCAGGGTTCAGAGGGAAAGCAGACATGGGCAGCTCTGCTCTCAAGCCCTGTACTGATCTGAGAGTTCTATTTCTCCCATCCACTTGACATTAACCTTCTTGGAGAGCTCAGAGTATGTGGTCTCTTTTCAGATATATGACTAGTTTATACTACTTGTTTTATTTTTCCTTGTTCTCCTGCCCAGGGAGAGGTATTTTTCTCCTCCTTCTAGCATAGAAAAACAAAATGTTTGCAAGTGTTTTACAAGTGGATCTCAGCTTTGGAAAACAGAAGTATCCAGAATTGGATGCCTTTTTGTAGCTCCGGTTCTAGTGTGACATCTTTATCTTAAGGGCAGTGGAGTAGCCAAGTTGGTGTTACAGGGTAAAAAGGAGTTTGGGTGAAAACATACTCACTTACTACTCTCAGAATCATCCATGTCCACAAATGCACATGTGCAAACTTATGTTGTATTTGTATTGTTTTGTTTCTGTTTGTTTGCTCTTTGCATAAATGGGATCATACTTCACATATTGTTTGTGACATGTTATTTTTTCCTTAGCAATGTGTAGTGAACATATGTTAATGGCTACTAGGATTTTTAATTTTTAAATTTTTATTATTTATTTATTTATTTTTGAGACAGAGACTCACTGGGTTGCCCAAGCTGGAGTGCAGTGGCATGATCTCAGCTCACTGTAACTTCCGCCTCCAGGGTTCAAGTGATTCTGTTGCCTCAGCCTCCTGAGTAGCTGGGACTGCAGGTGCCCACCACCACGCCTGGCTAATTTTTGTATTTTTAGTAGAGATGGGGTTTCACCATGTTGGCTAGGCTGGTCTTGAACTTCTGACCTCAGGTGATACACCTGCCTCAACCTCCTGAAGTGCTGGGATTACTGGCATGAGTCACTGCGCCCAGCCTTAAAAAATTATTTATGATACTTTTCACCATATAGAATTTTTGAAGATACATACTATTGCTTGCCAGGGGCACCATAAAGCATTTCTGTAAACCTGTGTTTCTCCAGATTTACACAAAGAGGGACATAAGTCATGGCATCCAGTAGCCCTCCTTCCTTCCCTGTTCTGTTCACATGCACAAGCCCCTTCAGGTCCCAACTCCTGTATTGTAGCAGAGCAGAAATGTCTAGAAAGCCTATTGTCATAAAAACAATCAGAACACAAGCTGTAACATAATTCAGTCTGCTTTCCTTACGTAGAAATCAGCAAAATCACTTTTTACTCAGCTACCTGAATAGTCATTCCAAGTTGAAAAGCAAGGTCTATCCTGTGGGGGTGTTGAAACTGCCTTTTAACGAGCTTTCATTCCGATTGCATTTGGGGACCTCAAAAAGGCATTTGGCCTGCTGAGCGCCAAGTTTCAGTGGACACATCTGGATACTTCTGTCTCTTTTTAAACTCTTTTTTTTATTATGAAGAAATGGAAACATACACACAATTTGAGGAAACAGCGTAATGAACTTTGTGAACCCGTCACACAGTCTCAACTCCTACCGATGCTCCCTCCTCCTTTCTGACAGACTGTTTTGAAGCACATCCTGGGTATCATATTGTTTTATCTGTAACTATTTCAGCAGGTATCTCTAAAAGATAAGCACTTTTAGTAAATGTGACCATAATGTCGTTCTCCTACTTAAAAGATTTTAACGATTATTTAATATTAACATATATTAATATTAATCAGTGGTTAAATTCCACCAATTGTCTCATAAATTCCTTTTTAAACAAATTAATTTGTTCAAATTAGGATTCAAAAAAGGTCCTCACATTGCACTTGGTAGATAAGCCTGTTAAGTTCCTTTTAGTCTATAATTTTCTCCCTGCTCTGTTTTCTCATAATTTATTTGTTGAAGAAATGAGAACATTATTCCATAGGGTTTCTTACATTCTATATTTTGCTGATGATATATTTTGCCCCCGTGTCATTTAATATGTTCCTCTGTGTATCTTGTAAATTGGAAGTTAGGTTAGAGTAGCAATTCTCAAAGTGTGTTCTGGGGATGCATGGGGGTTTCTGAGACACTTTCAGAGAATCCACGAGATCAAGACTAGTTTCACAATGATAGTAAAATATAGTTTTCTTTTTAAAAATCTCACTCTGTCATAGGTGTACAGTAGTTTTCCAGAATCTATTTGACATGTAGTATCACAAGTTGAATGCAGTGCAGATATAAAAATCAAACTCTTTTCCATTAAGCCATATATTAAAGAGATTTGCAAAAAAAAAAAAAAAAACAATTCAATCTACTTATTTTTTTGGGGGGGAATATAGCTATTTTTCATAAAAATGTGCTATTTATGTTAACATTGATAACCAAAATGAGTGACTGAGGCAGGCATCTCAATCAATCAGAGTTTTTAAGCCAGCTTTAGGGCACAGCCAGGAAAATGTAAATCACAGAGGCATCTGTTGCTGTTTTTCTGAATAGGTTTTCAGAAGGTTTATATTTATACATTTTCCTAAAGGGAGAAAGACATGTAGGGAAAGAGGTGGGTAGGAGCAAATGGTTACATTCTTGTGAGACTTTAGTTAATGCCCAGCAAATCTACATTTCACATAAAATTAAGGTGAATGTTTGAAGATAAAAGAAAAAAGAGTAAAGGAAGAATCAATTATGCATACATTTCTGGCTGGTGGAGGAATGATTGATCTTGTCTCTGTTCTGCACCTGGCGAGAAAAGGTTGTAATGATATCATCAGTGTGGAATCAAACAGATTTTAGTTTTAGGAGCTAGACTTAGATTGTAGACCTAAAGTTACATATGGCATGTCCTTGTTTATGGGAGGCCAGCAAAAAAATTTGCCTATAAATGATTTGTGGGGCAGTCATTCAGAGATGCCTGAGGCCTTTTACCTTTTCTGAGGGGTCTGGCTAATGTATAATGCTAGTAACAGCTACTCATTTGGAGGAGGGTGTGTGTGACTCAGCCTCCAGGCTTAACTTTCGCTTTGGCATAAGGAGTTTTGGGGTGCTGAGATTTTTATTTTCCTTTACAACATATAATGGATTCATTTTTGTCATTTTAAAATGAATTAGTAAATAAATATTTAACATATCTCCTTCTCCCCCATTGAATTTATTCAATTATTTATTTATATCTGTATTTACTCATTTATTTATTTCATACTCTGAAAGGAAATGAAGTGACTAAGGCTAAAGCTTTCTAATTAGAGCGGAGTTGGGAGACTGTGAGAGGATTTCACTCACACCTGCTCAGGGTCAAACCACAGACTATTCCAATAGACTTGAATAAACAGCTGAAGTCAGTATCTGCCAGCCTTCAACATCTCTCAGGTGGGAGGACCCTGGTTAGCTAACCAATCAGAATGGGTTTACGATTCAGGATTTCCGCCCAGCAACGATCTGCCTTTGAAAACACTTTTTTTTTTTTTAAATCCCTGGTTAAAAAACCTCTTCTGCTCTTTCTGTATAGGACACAACTCAGGGCTGCCCTGATTGAATGTGCCTGAATTGCAATTATTGGTTTACCAAAGAAATGATATTTCCTTTGACTTTTGTGTCAGTCTTTTTTTTTTTTACTTAACAATACTTAGGTTTATAATCCAATACCGTATTATGTATTTTGTTGTTGAAATTTTTCCAACTTTGGCTATTGAGAGTTCTTTCAGTTGGCTCCTGTGTCCCTTGACACATCCTCCCTCAAGGTGGGTTTTTTGTTTTGCCTTTTTTTTTTTTTCTTTTGAGCCGGAGTCTTGCTCTGTCTCCCAGGCTGGAGTGCAGTGGCGTGATCTCGGCTCACTGCAAGCTCCACCTCCTAGGTTCAAGCCATTCTCCTGCCTCAGCCTCCCGAGTAGCTGGGACTACAGGTGCCTGCCACCACGCCCAGCTAAATTTTTTTTTTTTTTTGTATTTTTAGTATTTTTGTATTTTTTTGTATTTTTTGTATTTTTAGTAGAGACGGGGTTTCACCGTGTTAGCCAGGATGGTCTTGATGTCCTGACCTCGTGATCTGCCTGCCTCGGCCTCCCAAAGTGCTGGGATTACAGGCGTGAGCCACTGCACCCGGCTTGTGTGTGTGTGTGTGTGTGTGCACTTCTTACTACAGGATTATCCAGGTGCATGTATTTTCTGCCTCAGTTCTAGAATCTAGAATTTTCCAAAGATCTCTGGCTTCTTTTATTGAAGAATGGTATTAAAAATCAAGACACAGGCCGGGAGTGGTGGCTCGTGCCTGTAATCCCAAAATTTAGGGAGGCCGAGGCAGGCAGATCACCTGAGGTCAGGAGTTCAAGACCAGCCTGATCAACATGGAGAAACCCTGTCTCTACTGAAAATACAAAATTAGCTGGGCATGGTGGCACATGCCTGTAATCTCAGCTATTCAGGAGGCTGAGGCAGGAGAATTGCTTAAACCTGGGAGGCAGAGGTTGTAGTGAGTCAAGATCGCACCACTATACTCCAGTCTGCGTGACAGAGCGAGACTCCATCTCAAAAAAAAAAAAAAAAAAAAAAGACTGGGGCACTGGGGCACTGGGTGTGCTTATTGCTACTTGGGCATTGTTTCTTTTAGGGCTTCTCAGTTAACAGATGTACAGGCCGAGGGAAAACTTCCCCTTTGCCCTCTGAAGGGTCACTGAAAATCAATGGGCACAATGCTGATTAATGGGAGAAAAGATGTACAAATGTATTTGATTATATGACAAGGGAGCCTTCAGAATGAAGACCCAAAGGTACAGGGGAAACCATTTTTATGGTTGGATTCAATGAAATATTCAATGAAATATTGCTTACTTGTGAACTCTCACTTCAACAGTGGGAATGTGTATATGCATATATTAATCAGTGGCTATTTCCCTGCTACTTTGCTAACAACCTTCTCAAACTTTTGGATTTTTCCCAATTTGGTAGGTGAGAAATAATACCTCATTGTAGTTGTAATTTATATTTCTCTTATTATGAGCAATGTTCACATCTTTTCAAATGTTTAAAGTCCATTTGCATTTTATTTTTTGTGAATACTCTGTTTAAAACTCTGCCATTTTGGGGGGGTTGGTGGTCTTTTTCTTCTCTACTTTATAAACTCTTTATATATTAGTGATGCCAACCATTTGTCAGGTGTATTACAAATATGTGTTTTTCTAGTATGCCATTTCTGAAAGTTTATCTTGAAGCTTATAGCAAATATGATTTTCCCCCATTTTATAGGTTTTGTAGGGAAACTATCCTTTTATCACTTTATAATAATGGTTTAGGAGGATGTGACTACCGTTTCCTCCCCAAAGATTGACGGGGGAGAAAAAAAGCCCAGATGTGTTTATGTTATTTCTGTCCCATTCCCTCTCCCAGTCCTGGCCAATCATATGGGACATTTTTCTAAACACAATGATTCTTCTGGTGGTGGGGTGGGTCATGGCCCAACTAGATCAATAGAAATCCTTTTGGGCTAAGTGAAATAAGTGAAATAGATGCCTAGAGAAAGGCCACCTTAACTTTGTCACTAGGAGCTTGGGCTGTGGGGAGAAATGTCAGCTGCTGCTTTGAAAGACTCAGCTTGAAAATGAAGCTAATATCTAGAAAAGAAGAGAGGAAAGATAGGGGAAGAAAGCGAGAAAGATGCCTGAAGGCAATATTTGAACCTCTGGATCTAGCTATGCCTCTCTCTGGACTACTTGATCATATGAGCCAGAACAATTCTTTGCTGCTTTTTCTTAAACTCATTTGAGGTGTTTTTTTTTTTTTTTTTTCTAATAGCCAAAAAAAAGATAACTGACTGGCTGGGCACAGTGGCTCACACCTGTAATCCCAGCCCTTTGGGAGACTGAGGTGGGTGGATCACAAAGTCAGGAGATAGAGACCATCCTGAACAACATGGTGAAACCCTGTCTCTACTAAAAATACAAAAATTATCTGGGCATGGTGGTGCACACCTGTAATCCCAGCTACTCAGGAGGCTGAGGCAGGAGAGTTGCTTGAACCAGAGAGTCAGAGGTTGCAGTGAGCTGAGATCGTGCCACTGCACTCCAGCCTCACGACAGAGTGAGACTCCATCTCAACGGAAAAAAAAAAAGTGACTAAAATAAAGTTACTTTGAGCTCAAAAGTTCAAAAGATGCTTGTTGGTGTCTAGTGGTGGGGGCATATATCAGTTCTGATGAGCAGCTGTATTATGAAAACTAACAAAATAGAATTTTAATAAATTAGCACAGCATCACAAAAAGTTCTCCATGTAATTAATGGATTAAAGTGTTTTAATATTTTTGTCATTAATTCAGTTTTGAGATAACTGAAAATTTTAAAAAAAGAAATCTTCAAAATATTTGACTGTTCTTAAAAATACTTAGTTTTTAATATCAGGGCATCATCTCTATTCTACTTCTGTTAAGACATTGGTAATTGTGTCTGATCAGTTGTTTTTCGATTCTTTTCTGCAGCCTGATTATAAGACTATCAACTCCATCTAAGAGTTTTCAGTTTATATGAAGCCATATTCTTCAAAGACACCTTGGAAACTGCATCTTTATTCCATGCTCCATTTCTCAAATAATCACCTTCCACCCTCAAGAGCGGGTGCTGGTCAAAGAGAAATGATTGTACAAAGCAATGGTATCTTACGTGAGGATTATGTTAGAAAGTCTAGGTATAAGGTAAAAAACATATCTACTGAAAATTGACCTTTAAAAACACATAGGAACTTTCCTTTTGTGTGTGTGTAAAATGAATAATTGTTCATTAATGGGTTGAGGATAGCCAATTTTTTCCTCAGTTTTAAATCAGGTGGCCTATTTCCTTGATTGAGCACTAGATAAAACACTTCACTTGGGTCTAAGGAATATGGTGTAGGAAAAATACACAGCTTTAATTACTAGGATGACTCTCACTTATGCTCACACACACACACACACACTGATACTCACGCTGAGGTAAAGGGAGGTAACAGCAGATTTATATCTTCCAAATTATGCATGCACCAGGTCACATACTTACTGAGTAGGTCAGCAGGCTGAATTGTCCTCACTTTAAAGATTATGTATCTCTTTCTGCCATGTATATACAGTCGAAGGCTCAACATTTACATGCACAGGTGATATGAGTTAATTGAACCATATGATCTTCTCATTCTGCCTGTGGCAAGAACAATATAGAAGAGGAGAGGTAACTTCTGGCTCAAGGCAAGATAATCTGATTGTTTCCTGTAAATGTAGAGCTGGGAATAAAAAGCTGAACATGGAGTAGGGGGGCTACAGCTAGGACATGATGAAGCCTCAAGGCTGGGCCTGCACCTTGAACCCCCAGTGGCTGCCTAGTTCTTGGTCCCAGGATTTTACAAAGCAGAGAAACACTTCTTCCCTTGACTTGGTTTCACTGGACACCTGTATATTTTTCTAATAAATCTTTCACTCTTTCCCCAGAGTATTGCTCAAGCTAACTTGGAATGGGTTTCTGTTATATCCAAAAGATCTGGATTAATACAGTGCTATACTCTGAACAAACTCTACCAGTTACTCTTATAATGGTATGAGTATCTTCCAGTAAAACTGATACTTTGAACATTTATTTACTTCAAAATTTAGAAAAAATGTCAGTATTCAAAAGGGGAAAAAAAAACAATCAGCTTGTGAAGGCCTCACACTTATCTGAAGTTTGTATTGTTTCTTCTGACCTAGCATGTCTTCTCTGCACAGAGACACACCTCTTCGATTGGCTGGGGCAGCTTCCTGCTTTTCTGGCTTTCTCTAGTCCTAAAATTTTGAATTTTTTAAAAATAAAACTTATATTGTGTTATATTTCCCTCTTCATTGTAAATTTTCCATTTTCCTTAATAAAGTTCTCCTTACACTTAAAGAGTAAAAACTAATCCAGAGGAAGTTTGTTAATTGCCGCCAGAGGGTGTTGCTAAGGCTTTGTGTGTGTGTGTGTGTGTGTGTGTGTGTGTGTGTTATAAACAAGGCAGTTTATCACGTTACAAGAAAGTGGTGACTCAGGGATATTAGAAAGAAGTATAATTTATTAATAGAAGCATTCTTACAATGATGGAAAGAAAGGAAAGATTAGATCGTAAATAAAAGAGAAAGAACTGACCTTTACATCAAGTGTTTTCCAGTCACTTCTTAATTGCTTTCCACTAAAACTTAATTGAGGAAGCTTGGTGCTGTCCTGCTCATATTATAAATGCTGGCCATAGAATGGAATACCGTATATGGAGATGAAAGACAGTGAGTGACTCACCTAAGGTCACATGCTTAGTTAAAAACAGTAGTATATGAAGCGGTATAGCACAGTGGCCAATTCTGAATCATCCAATGCATGCCATATAATGACTGGATGATATTAATTATTTTACTTCTCTGTGCTTCCATCATCTTTTTTTATTATTGTACTTTAAGTTCTGGGGTACATGTGCAGAACGTGCAGTTTTGTTACATAGGTATACACATGCCATGGTGGTTTGCTGCACCCATCAACCCGTCATCTACATCAGGTATTTCTCCTAATGCTATTCCTCCCCTAGTCCCCCATCCATGACAGGCCCCGGTGTGTGATATTCCCCTCCCTGTGTCCATGTGTTCCCATTGTTCAACTCCTACTTATGAGTGAGAACATGCAGTGTTTGGTTTTCTGTTCTTATGTTAGTTTGCTGAGAATGTCCATCATCTTATTTTTAAAATGGGTTTGCCTACCTTTCATGAGCTAATATGCATGAAGCACTTGGCATAGTCATTTTTCCATTTATAGTAATTACTACCAAATTTTAACCTAGAAATTCCAGGTACCTGCTGCCTTCCATGTCACCTCTGTGGCTTGGTCATTTGATGATGACAGTAGGAAGGAGTGAGATAATGTGCCTTCTTCTCAGTGGATTTGGCAGAAAAATGAAGGAGCCAAATTATAAGGCCCACAACTGGTTTTACAAATTACTGTCTACGGCCATACCACCCTGAACGCGCCTGATCTCGTCTGATCTCGGAAGCTAAGCAGGGTCGGGCCTGCTTAGTACTTGGATGGGAGACAAATTACCTTTCCTGTCATTTTCTTCTTGTCCAAATGAAGTTATTACAATGAATAATTTTAATACAACTCTCTTTCTCCAAAAATGTTCAGCGTTCTCATCCTGCTTAACCATCAGCTGGAAATAAAGCTTGGAGATATTTCACGGTTGTAACCACAGTGGTGAAAAGGTGGGAGACTTTTAGGAAGACATCAAATGCCTTTTTATATTTCACACAACCTCCTGGGAGGTGGAGGCTAGGAGTCTCTGGCAAAACTAATTCATTATCTGTAAACCTGTTTTTTATGCCAACCTAGACCTCACAGAGGACCAGGACAGAATGCTATCTGAATTATGCTGTCTCTCTGGGGCACTGCTGTCTCTTCATCTTTGATGTTCTGTGCCACATGCTCATTTTTCTGGGCCATTTGCCCATGTACTTTGTTCTGGATAGGTTTGCTTTTTTAAATTTCACATGTAAACTTGAGAAGAAAGGAACTTGGGAGTTTTTCATGATTGGCAAAGCAATGAGCTCTGCAGCTATCCATGGAAGATTATGGCGATGGATGAAACCAGCATTCTGGAGGTCATCTCCAGCAACAAAAAATGACTAGAACTTTCTTATCTCTGTTAAGAATTTTATTGATGATAACTTTTAGTAACTTGAGGAAACCTTAGCGTATTCGTCTTTACTATGGCATTTTTCACAAACGTAGAAAGCTGCTAATGTTAATTTTAATGTAATTTTTAAGTTAGCATACAAATTACATCCCTCTTGACTTACTGCCCATATAGCTGGAGTCATTCAAAAAGTCAGAAATATCAGCCTCTTTGCAGTGGTTTCCTTTAGCTTTTCAGGAATATAGATGTCGAACAATTAGTAAAATTCTCAAATGACAGACAC
Source organism: Homo sapiens (assembly GCF_000001405.40). NCBI lineage: Eukaryota > Metazoa > Chordata > Mammalia > Primates > Hominidae > Homo > Homo sapiens. The sequence goes on from NC_000005.10 coordinate 155,846,410, forward strand.
TTTTTTTCCTCACTCTGAGTTATATGTGTTTGCTGATGTGAACAGATGGACTCGGTGATTGGGTGAGACTTCTTTAGCTCTGCCTTCTGGGTGTCACTCATTGTCATCACTCGTGGTTAGGGAAGGACTTCCCTTCACATTCTGTTATACTCTGATTCCCTGTAAAACCTAAAGATTATTTCTAAAAGTCATTGGTTCAACTCACCAGATTTCTCATTGGTTCTCAGAGGGTGTATTCACTTAGCCTATAAACCCACCACTGCCATCTAATCATGCAATTTCTTCATCTCTAAATGTATTTGCTCACAATTCTCTGTATAACACAAAGTAAAGAAATAATGGAAAATAATATTCTGCTTCTAATGCTGCTGCCTGCTTAGATGTATTTCATTTCTTCTAAGACCCTATCATATTGGCTAGTAATTATTTCCTGACTCTTATTTTCTGCTTTATTTTCTATTCAACCTCTCAACCTCTCCTTCATGAGCTGCTGGTAACTGAGTTTGATTCATTGCTCAACAAGAATTTTCATTGTTCCCAATCATCTTTGTAGATGTGGTTACTTCAAAAGCGTGTGCTTAAAAATATGAAGTATATGATTATCGAGATGTGGAAAAATTCATAATACCTTATTTGTACCATTCTTAGTGAGAACTGCAGCTAATATTCCTTGACTCCTTACCATGTCCCAATGCCCGGGCCATGTGTGTGCTCTGTTTGTGTATGCACATGAATGGGTACATGTGCATGTGTGTCTTCAAGTGCATGTGCATGAATGAGATCTCATGTAATTCTTAAAACAGCTCTATGAATTTTGGGTATACTCACTATCTTCCTTTTACAGATGAGGATACAAAAATTCAGAGTGATTAAGTAATTTCCCCAACATCACATACCTGGTAAGCAGCAGAACTCAAAATCACATTGGGTAGCTACCCAAGTCTTGCTTTTGATGCCAGCATTGCTCCCTTACTGTACTTTTCTTTTTGACTTATGGCATAGTTATTTGAGGATGGGTTTTGCTCACTGCAGCAGATTAAAGATGCTGTAAGTTCTTTGACATCTTCCCATCAAGAGTTGAGTTCTATTTCCCCTTTTCTATACTCTGGACTTGCCTGAGACTACTTTGATAATAGAGTGTAATATAAATAATGGCGGGGCATTCTGAGCCTTGCCCTAAAAAGGACTGGCAGCTTCCACTTTGATCTCTAGGAACTCTGAGCCAGTGTGTAAGAAGTCCACATACCCTGGGGCTATTCTACAGAGAGGAAGCTTAAACCAGCCACTTGGAAAGGCGAAAGAGAGATAGAGAAGACGGTCCAGCCAGTCCCACCTGTTCCAGCCCTCAGTCGTTCTAACTCTCCAACTGTACAAGCCATTTTAGCTCAGGCCACAAACTTCATTGAGCAGAAGCTAGCTTATTCTTACTATGGATTGTCCTAATTCTTGACTAGTGGAATCATGAAATACAATGATAATAAATTGTTGTGTCAAGCCATTAAGCTTTTTAGTTGCTTGTTACTGAGGAGGAGATAACCAAAACATCCACGTTTGTGAATGATATATTCTTTGAAAACAGAGATGATGTCTCATTCATCTTTATATTTCTAGCATTTGTGTCACTGGAGGTCAATTAATTTTAGATGATTGAATGAATAAATGGATGAGTGGAATTAAGCTATTGGGAAGACAAGCACACAAATCTCATGGAGCTTCTGTTCCAGAGGGAGGGAGGGGGAGACAGGTAATAAAGACATAAATAAACATTCTCAGGAGGTGGTGAGTACTATGATTGGAAAATAAGGCAGTGTAAGAGGACATTTTTGCAGAGACTGGATGAGGGAATTGAGTGAGCCTTTTAGTACCTACAGGCCACATGGACTTTGACTTTCATGCTTAAAAACAAAGAATCTGGCTTCTATGTTCTCTATGTCCATATACCCCTGAGTTTTGTGATGGCTGCATCACATCTCAGGGTCTGAAAAGAGGTTGGTGCCAGGGCAGAAAGCGTGGGCAGAAAAAGCATTGGTTATGATATCACTCAACAAAAACCACCCCTGGAATATGCTGCATTCTCTCTTCCAAATCCTTGCAAGTATAGTCCCCTCTGTGTGAAATGTTCTTTACAACTGCAAGCCCTTTCATCGTTTTCTTGTCAAGTTAAAATGTTCCATTCTCAGACAGATAAATTTCTTCCTCTACTGTGTTACAGATCTTTGTATTAATAGTACTTTTTTCAAATGCTTGCTCATCCTCTCTAATATAAAAGCTATTGTTATATAGCTTTCCCCCAGCTATTTGTGAAATAAATGAGAGTAAAGTATCTGTGTCTTCCCATCATCTCCACTATAGCTCTTAGTACAGTGTATTGCAGTAGAAGATGCTTGTTACATTCAAAACAAGAAACAGAGGGAAGAGATAAGGAAGGAAAGGGCCATGCCTCCTTAACTTTACTCATGTAAGAAACACCTGGCACATAAAATATATTCGGTAAATAATGAATGAATGAATACATGAATGAATTAATTCGTGGGTAACTTGGTACTATTTTCAGTATTTTTGGTCATAGGTTCATTTTCTCTCCTATTAAATTCCTAAAGGCAAATATATTTTTTTCCAGTAGTTGAGTAGTCCTCATTGATGATCTGGGCATCACACTTTTTGTAATGTACATAAGGAACCAAATTACCTGGTATTGTAAAAATTGGTCACCAGAGCATGTCCTCAAGTTCTGCACATTTAATTAAACTAATGTCGTAATGGTAACCAGATTCTCACAGTGTGAAAGCTCCTTCTGGGAAGTAACTTAGGAATTTTTAGACGCTAATGTTCGTTCTCTCTCTTTCTCTCTATCAGAACATAACCTATAACTATTTAAGTTCACCAACTGAAATATTAATGAGCTAAAAATGCTAATTTTTAATACTGAAATTGCCCAATTTATATCTAGAAAACAATTTATGCAGTAAGATGCCTTAATGTGATACAGGCACACACACCCACCACCCCCCTCCACACACACACACATGTGCGCGCGCACACACACACACACACATTTTAACTATTTTGCTATAATCCAAATGAATAATTTGCAAAAATACATTTCCCCCATACATACCTGTGGACTCTTTAATGGTAGCTGAACTTAAAACTTTCTTTCTCGTGTAAGTTTTTGGAAGGATATTGATTAATTAGGATGTAATGACATTAACTATGCCACTCTTGTTTCAGTAGCAATTTCAATTAATAGTGTGAGATGTAGAATATGTAAAAAAGGAGTCAGATATATTGTCTTTGCATTAAAATGACAATGGATTCTGTTTATATCATTCCATTATGTCAGACAGTACTGAATGGTTTAGATGTATTAATAGACACCCCAAATGTTACCTCTCCCTTTTAAATATCATAACTGGCAGAAGTACAAATGTTAGTGAAGGTACAAAACTATTTCCTGATTGAATGGGAGAAAATGACCTTGAATGAGTCGACACAGTTAAGGAAATTAATTATTCTAATTCACTACATTTGAAGAATTAAGTCAGAGACTTTAAACTGGGACATTAGAATGAATGACCATATCATTTGCTATATAAATATCAGGAATAGAAAGCTTGTTTGTTATTTGCTGTTTGTTTAATTGGTTGGTTCCTGGCTGTAAAGGGAACATTGGGCTCATCCTAATTGATTAAGTACCTTGTTTCTCCATATTCTTTAATTTTGGATTCAAGGCTTGTATGTAATCTGTTTGATGGTTTTATTTGCTTTTTTCTGTAATGCAACTTTGCTGACTAGGAATTGGTTTACTCTTTCATGTCTGACGGCTCTAATAAATTGAGGAGCTTAGGCAGACAGCTCTTTTATCCAAGGGCCCTTACTGGGCTGGTGATACTGCTGAAACCTGCCTAGCCTCAAAAAATGCTCAGAGAGGGATAAGAGTCCTGTAGGGAGGAAGAAACAGGGGAATTTTTTTGCAGTGACCTCAAAATAGAGACAGAGAGACAGAGACAGAGAGAGAGAGAGAGAGGACAAATCACTCACATGGAAGTCTGTCAAAATGAGAATGAGAGTAGGCTGGTTCTGCTTTGGCTGATGAAAGGATGGTGAATTGAAAAAATGATCAAAAGTGACATTGTGGGCCAACTAAGAAATATCAAAGGAGACCGTACTGCCGATCAGTCATGGAATTCACCATCTGCTAGGGAGCAGCTGCACAAACATTTGCTGAGTGATTATATAGAAACTGTAGTGGTTGGTGGGATAGATGCAGCCATAATGAACGCTCACTGGGTTCTGTCTGTCTCTTGCTTTGCTCCTTGTCTTTCCTTTTGCCTTTTCCCTTGCCCTTGACCTTCTCTTTCTTTTCACAAAGACAGAGCTATGTCAGGGACATTCTGGGAGATACAAAGATGCATGAGACATAATTCCTGCCTTCAGGGAAGTCTCAATCTGATGGAAGCGACAGAAGTAGAATGGGCAATGTTTACCTGTATTTTTTGTTTTGCTTGAAAACAGATTCTGATAAAATTGCAGGAAATCAATGGGGTTGGGGGAAGTCTAGTTACATTAATTAATGAGATGTGCATTTTATTACTGTCAAAGGGCATCCATTTTATCTGATTTCCTCTATTTTGGGAGTGCCAGTTGATTAAAAGCTTTACTAATTATGTTCCAAGTGGATGGTATCTTTCTCTTTCTGAGAAATTTAATCTACATTCCTGTCTTTGCCTGTCTTAGTCACACATATCAACTTAGGATTCTGACTTACAAATCTGACATGAATATGGCGACATGCAGTGTGTTCTTCGGGATTCATCTTTAATATTTTCAAGATCCACATCAGTTGAAGGATCTGAGCTGATGAAAAGATGACTTTCAGCTTTCTGGAGGAACTCAAGAGGGACTGGGGAGTTTATTTTGTCCTTGGATGAAAGAGAAAGGGTTTTGTTGTGGGGATAAAGCGAAGGCACTTTCCATGGTGAGCTGACATCTTGGTGTTTTTTTTGTTTTTGCTTTATTTTCTGGCTGCCTCGAGCAACTCATCGTCAGAGGAGCCATCAGTGCCTTTGGTCTTTTATGTACAAAAACACACCAACCAGTGGAGGAATATGGTGTTTGTGATCAGTGCTTATGGGTAGTGGTGACTTTTGATAGTTTTGGGTTTTTAGTGCTAGCAAGCTACCTGAGTGTCAGTGAAGAGTGGCCCCAGTGATACTGTGGCACAGACACAGTTCATAATAAATGCTCTCTCTATGCCTGGAAGGCCCTTCTCCACTTTTTCCAAATACATACATCATCCTGGCCTCATGGACTTTCACCTGCCTAGAATCCATTCCTCCTCTTCCTGTACCACCATCTTGATATTTTGGAGAGCCTCTTTTCCCTCAAGCTGAATCTGTGGGAAACGGTGTAGTATAGTGTTGAACTGGATGGTGTCTAGAGCCAGAGTTCCTGGGTTTGAACCCAGTACACACACTCATCATCAGTATTGGATATACTCTGTTCTTTGTATTGATCTTTCTGTATCTGTCCTCAATTGACTGAGCTCCTTGGGAGCTCCTCTAGTTGTCATTTCCATATGGACAACTTCAGCTGCTAGCGCAGAGCCTGGAACATGATAGGAGCTCATAGGATTAAATGAAGGAACCCCTGTCGTGGATAATGACAGGACTTGCTGTGGAACACTGGCATGGCATTTTGCCTATTCCACCTGTATGTCCATCAACATTGATATAAAAAAAGTTTTCTTCTGAAGTTAGAGAACAATGTCTCCTTCCACCTAAAAAATAACCCTATCACTTTCCAAGGTGCCTTTTTCTTGTAATTTTTTTCAAATGTGCTATGCATGGTGTCCAGATCATTGAATGAGTGGAGTGTTTAAAGTAGTTCAATCCTTTGGAAATTGTCAATAGACTTGAAACTTTGGTGATATTGCCTTATTATCACTAATTTAATGGTTTTTTGGTGTGTGCAGATAAGGTCTTTTTGACAAATTGAAAACATGTGAACCCATATACTTCATGTATTTTGGCAGATGCATTTGTGATGAGGACTTCTTGAAGATAATAGCCTAACTTTTATAATTATTTCTCTATGGTAAATAATATTATTTTAAAGAAGAATTGTTTTCTTCCCCTATTAAGTGCTACATGTCAAAGAAGTAGGAGGATGGAACAAATTTGAATATGAATTTCTCCTGCAGTAGAAAAGTTAACATGTAGCTCACTGAAAACTGTCTTGGTCAAATAAATGAATATTGACTTTGGGGAAAAAAGAAAAGTGAAGGAGAAAGAAATGTAGAAAAAAGTATAATTCATTCTTTTAACGTGGCGGGTTATATGCTTTAGCGTGCATCTTTTTGTTGTTGTTTGTAGGCCTTGATGTATTGATGTCTTACATCATAGATGCTAAATCACCTCTCAGTGCATTTTTAAGTGCTTAAGGCAGAGTTGTTCAAGTAATAGAGAAAAAGTGCTAGCTCATGTGGTCTGAATCTTGATTTCCGGGTGACAATTTTCTTCTTACTCCTCCCATTTACATTTTTGTACGAATTGGGACATGCTCCTAATAATTCCTTCTTCTCTGACTTCAGTCACTATTTCCTTTTGCATTTCCATAGGCTAAATATCCAAGCTCTAAGACTGGAAGAGTTTTAGTTATAATATAATGGATAGAAACATCCATTATTATAATATAATGGATAAAAACATCCATTATTATAATATAATGGAGAGAAACATCCATTATATTATAACTGAGATAAAATATTATTACTGTTATTTAACAGTTGATTGTTAGCATGCATTGATCGATATTTAATAAATTAAAAATTCAGAGCCCACCCTTCTCATTTAGCTTCTTACAGAGGAAAATCATTTCAGGCTCTTTAGTCTTGGTACAACTGTGCTATAAGAAAGCAATTTCAGTAGAAAAAATGGATTTGGATCACAGTTTCTTGATGGGTTTTGTAGAATTTGTCAGTTAGAAAAAAAAAATGGCCTTACTGAAAATGTGTTTGCTTCTCTGCTTACACCTTCTAACTCAGTTCTGATGCTATTTGAACAATTGTTGACATGCCTCTTTACCTTTCAATAGTTAGGAGTAAAAACATTTATTCTCAATTTTGTTTTGCTCTTGCGCCTTTAAAAGTTGATTAAAAGTCGCCAGGTTGCTCAGAGTTCTAAGTGAATAGACATTGTCATTAGCTCTTTGATAATGTTCTCTGTGTTCTATAAACCAAGTAATCAGGTTTCGCGTGTACTTGTGTCAACGTTCCCAGAGGGATTGCTAATGAAAACAAAAAGGCAATATATGTCATTATAGTAAACCATCATTTTGCTTAAAATAATTTCAAAATGAGTATTTTAGCCCATGTACTACATTTCTGACCTTAGTTTCCCCAGGTTCTTCTCTGTCATTATTTCAGCTATTACAAGTCAGGGTGAATTAACCAAGGTTATGACTACACCAACATTTTAATTATCTGGCTTTGTTGATGGCTTGTTGAAATTGCTTTCATGTGGCAGATTGAAACACAGCAAATTTATAGTAGGGATGGTTACCCAGCATTCAAAGCCTTCTTCATGTACACTTCTTTTCATAGGAAGAGTATTTTTTTAACATTTAGAAAATATACTCTATTTAACCTTATTTTTTAAAAAATCTTGCACAACAGAAACATTATTGTTTAGAGACCCTAGAGGTTTATGGCATTATAACATAGACTGTAAATTAGGATTCGTTAATCAAGGCACAACTTCAGTTGTCAGGGGCTGTTCTGTGCTTTTTAGGGTGGGTAGCAGCATCTCTGGTTTTTACTCACTAGATGCCAGAAGCACCTTTTTTTCCACCAGTTGTGACAACTAGAAATGTCTCCAGACTTTGCCAAATGTCCCCCAGGGGAAATTATTACTGGGGGTTGAGAACCACAGCTCTTAATTGTTATTTCATATAGGTTTTATTATTTTGCCCCATTTATGTTACCCTTTGGCATGTTTCTATGACATAGGTAGTCAAATTTTAGCTAATTTTCCCCTAAGAAGCTTTTTTTCGTGGATGTAAAAATAAATTTTAATTTCTATGGAAAATTTGCCTCGTATCACAGCTTCCTATATCTGATTTAAATTCTCTTGATTACAGGTAGATTATGCTGATTCAACTTGTTGGACCAAATGTTTCTGCTATTAAGAACAAAACAATAAATTATTTCTAGAAGGTAAAAATGTTTGTATTGGACATTTAATAATATTTGAATTGAGACCCAGAATAAAACTCTTGTAGTGTGGAACTTCCAATATTGATGTACCCTTATCTCTTAATAGAAGTATTACATGTCATACAAATCTCACCGTTTTAAATATAGTAATAATAGAAATTATTATAACAGTGGCAGATATTCACCAAGCATTGATTGTACCTGGTAATGTACCAAAGCTTCACTTAAGTCGAGACACTTAGTGCTTACAAGGGCCTCAAAGCAGGTACTACTGTCATTTTATAGAGAGAGAATAAAGAAGCTTTAAAAAAGTCCAACGGCCTACCCAAGTCAACTATTACTCAAGGTGGGTGCCATGACTTGAACCAAGGGTTTCTGATTCTTAAAGATGCCGCTTTCAACTCCTGTGGGATTCTTCCCACCACTTTCGGTTCTTCTCTGTTGCATCTCCTCAGGCTCACCTCTGTAGTGCACTCTGGACCGACCTTTAACTGCCAACATCTGAATCTCTGCCTGAGGGAATTTTTGGTGTTAGGGACTGCCCTGCCCACATTCAGAGCAGGTCAGAAGTTCCAGAAAATCAGCACCCCCCTCGGCAACTCTACTGACTGGTGGGAGTTTTTTAAATACCCCAACTCCTTCAACCCTAAGCTGAGATAACTCTGAAGCTGTTCTACACTGGATTGCAAGATTCTACACCAGCATTGAGCTCCTTTTGCCCATGATGATAGAGAATTTGTTTGATAATATGCCCTTTGTTAACTGCCTTCCGTTTCCTGTTTCATTTACCTACCCCCTTCCAGTGTTTCCTGAATCGCTTCCCAAATAATCTACTTGTAGTGGAATCCTTACCTCAAAGTCAGCTTCTGGAGGAATCCAAACTAAGCTGGTTATTTTTCCAAAATGTGCTTTGATGAAGAACTTGCTTGATATATCATTGATGTTGAACCCATACTAGAGTTCCACATTGATCGGCTAAAAACTTAAAATTTTATATTTTTATAGAGTGGTAGACCAACAGTTCACATATTTTCAGCTAATGTATTACAGTGTATTTCTCATGTTATAAAAATTTACCAGTTTACTACTTGGAGTGAATTTCCGGGTTGAGATTCAGAGAGGACAAAAACAGGTGGAATCAACAGTCTTCTTGAGTTGAGGGGATGGAACTGGGAGTTCAGGGAGGTCAAGTCAGGAGAATTTGCAAAGTACAGGGCAGGAGAGAGCTGCACAGAGAGAGGATAATCCAGAGATTTTTAGCAGGTAAGTACATTAACACACTTGTAACTGTATTCCATATGTTAAGGAAACGATAGGAAAAATTGATTATACTAAGAAATGGAAAAGATCTTATATATATTTTCCCAAACTTGTACAGATGGATATTAAAATGTTGGAAATGAAAAATATAATGAATGAGATTAATGACAGATTAAATGTTGCAGAAGAAACTTTTAATGAACTTGAAAAGGTAGCAATACAAACTATTCAAAATGAAACACAGACAATAGACTGAAGGAATTGAAATAACACACACATACATACATATACATATATACGTACTCTGTATATACACGCACTATACATTCTAAAGCAACCACTAAAATAACACTACCATGAGTTATAGTTAATAAGCCAACACAAGAGATAAAATACAGTAATAAAAACATTGACCCAAAAAATGCAGAAAAAGAGAAAAAGAATAACAAAGAACAGACAGCACAAATGGCAAACAAATAGTAAGATGGCAGATTTAAACTCAGCCATGTTAGTAATCACATTAAATGTAAACTGCCTAAAAACTCTAAAGACATAGACTGTCAGTTTGGATTATTAAAAGTAACCTCTAAGTACATGCTGCCTATTGAAAACCATTTTAAATATACAGACACCGAAAGGACAACTGTTTTGAAAGACACTGTTAAGAAAGTGTGAAAGCAAGCCTCAGAGTGGGAAAAAAATTTTAAATCACAGATCCGATAAAGGATCTGTTTATAGAATATATAAAAATTTCTTAAATTTTAATAAGAAAACAAAACACTTGGAATTTAAAAAATGGGCAAAAGATTTGGACAAACACTTCACCAAAAATATATATGGAAAGCAAATAAGGACGTAAAAGCATGATTAATTTAGTTCTTAGAGAAATGCAAAGGAAAACTACAATGAGATACCATTACACATCTATTAGAGGGGCTAAAGTTAAAAAGAAGAACCATAACAATTATCGGAAAGGATGTGGAGCAACATGACTCTCATACATTGTTGGTGAGAAGATAGTGCAACCACTTCGAAAACAGCTTGGCCATTGTAAAAGAAGTTAAACAGGCCAGGTGCAGTGGCTCACGCCTGTAATCCCAGTACTTTGGGAGACAGAGGCGGGTGGATTACTTGGGGTCCGGAGTTTGAGACAATCCTGGCCAGCATGGTGAAACCCCATCTCTACGAAAAATACAAAAAAAATTAGCCAGGCATCATGGGGCATGCCTGTAATCCCAGCTACTTGGAAGGCTGAGGCAGGAGAATTGCTTGATCCCGGGAAGCAGAGATTGCAGTGAGCCCAGATGGTGCCACTGCACTATGGCCTGGGCGACAGCGCAAGACTCCATCTCATAAATAAATAAATAAATGAAGTTAAACATATATCTGCCATGTAACTCAGTCATTCAACTCCTGTTTACCAAAAGGAGATCAAAATATTTGTCAATATAAAGAGTTCTGTAGCAGCTTACTTTGCTATGGACAAAATTGGAAGCAACTCAAATTCCCATTAGCAGATGAATGGATAAACAGTGTGATCTATCCATGAAATGAAATACTAAGCAGCAATGAAAGGAGTATACTACTGATGTACAGAACAACAAAGATGAATCTCTAAACAATTGTGCTGAATGAAAGGAGCCAGACAAAATAAAAAGTATATATTTGATGATTTCATTTATTAAAAAATAATTCTAGAAACTGCAATTAATAGTACCTGAACACAAGCCACTAGGTCACTGGGAAGTGGGGGTGGGGATGGGTGTAAGGGTAAGAAGGCAGGAAGGATAGATTATAAAGGGGCACAATTAGGGGCACAAAATAGATTATAAAGGGACTTCTTAAAGTCTAATTTATCTTTCTCTTTCTTTTTTTGGTTGTCCTTTTAGTGTCTATATATTTAAATTTGTTTTCAATGGGCAGCATGTACTTAGATGTTACTTTTAATAATCCAAATGGACAGTCTGTATCTTTAGAGTTTTTAGACAGCTTACATTTAATGTGACTACTAACATGGCTGAGTTTAAATCTACCATCTTACTATTTGTTTGCCATTTGTGCTGTCTGTTCTTTGTTATTCTTTTTCTCTTTTTCTGCATTTTTTTGGTTGAATGCTTTTTATTCTATTTTATCTCTTGTGTAGGCTTATTAACTATAACTCGTGGTAGTGATGTTTTAGTGGTTGCTTTAGAATGTATAGCGCGTGTATATACAGTGTAAGTATATATGTATATGTAAGCTATTTCAATTACTTCAGTCTATTGTCTGTGTTTCATTTTGAATAGTTTGTGTTGCTACCTTTTCAAGTTCATTAATAGTTTATTCTACAACATTTAATCTTACATTAATCTCATGCATTATATTTTTTATTTTCAACATTTTGATATCCATCTCTACAAGCTTGTTTGGGTATGGTGGATAGATTCATGATGTTAATGGTGGTGATGGTTTCATGTATACATACATATATCAAGACCTATCAAATTGTACTGATTAAGCATCTGAAGTTATGTCAATTATCACTCAGAAAACTTGTTTTAAATAACATAATTTTGAAGGAATCTGTGCAGAAGCCCTCTAAATTTATATCATCTTTTGTAGTTGTCATATTCACATCAAATTCAAGGATATTGGCTTTATAAACTCATCTTTATTGAGTCTTTACAAAATATCCAACTTAGTTTTCAGCAAATCAACTTTTTTTCACTGTCAAAATACATTGTTTAATGTAATATAATTAAGTTATCTAATTAAGAAAGCAAATGAAAGTGGTGTATGGTGTTTTTGGAACAAACACAATCAATGTGTGATAAAAATCCCAGCTTCTCATTGGAGGAGAAGTTCTGGGTCGATTAGAACCTGATTCAAGGTGTCATCTGCAGGCCAGCAGCATCAGTATCACCTGGGAGCTTCTTAGAATCTCTGACCCTGCTACGGATTAACTGAATCAGGTTCCCTAGGTGAGTCCTATGCACATTAAAGTTTGAGAAATGTTTTCTTTGGGAATAGCCTACTAGCTTTGAGAATTGAATGTGTTATGGTTCTTAGGCAATGCAGGTTTTTTTTTTTCTCTCTCATGGAAATAGAGTTATTCAGTTTCAAGCATCAGTTAAATAGGGCATTGTTTACATATTTTCTACTGTTATAATTTTTATTTTTTCATATCAGGTTTTCTTTTCTTTTCTTTTCCTTTTTGAAACTGGGTCTTGTTTTGCTGCCCAGGCTGGAGTGCAGTGGCATGATCATGGCTCACTGCAGCCGTAACCCCCAGACTCAGGCAATCCTTCCACCTTAGCCTCCTGAGGACTACAGGCATGTGCCACCATGCCTGGCTAATTTTTATTATTATTATTATTGTTATTTGTAGAGATGAGGTCTCACTATGGTGTCTAGGCTGGTCTCAAACTCCTGGGCTCAAGTGATTCTCCCACCTTGGCCTCCCAAAGTGCTGGGATTACAGGCATGAGCCACTGTGCTTGGCTCATATCAGGCTTTCTTGAGGTATGATTTACACACATTAAAATTGACCAATTTTATGTGTACAAGACAATGAGTTTTGATAAATATATAGAATCCTGTAACTATGACTTTTACAGCCAGGATACAAAATATTTCTGTTTCTTCAAAATATTCCCTTTGGCCCCTTTGCAGTCAATCTTTTCCTCTAATCCTTGGCCCTTGCTAGAATTTCATATAAATGGAATTACCTAGTATTTCATCACTTTTTTGTTGTTGTTTTTGTTTTTTCACTTAGCACTTGCTTTTGAGATTCATCCATGCTGTCATCAACAGTTTATGTCTTTTATGGATGCATAGCATTCCATTGTATAGATGTACCTTATAGTTGGTGGTGGAAGGCAGGCCTGAGACTAGTGTTCAGGGAGCCTAGAAATACTCAAATGACCTTATGTGGTACAGAGGCTGCCATGGCTGTGGCCTTAAAAATTGGTGAAGAAGTTGGAAACATGGATTCTAGTGGTTGAATCCTTACCCTCCAAATCCAGGTGATAGTCACACTTCAGAAAAGGGTGCTGACCAGCCCATCCACCCTATCACAGACATTTCCTGACAATCCAGACATTTCCCCGAAAATTTGCAAATCTTCTTGTCCTTTCTATCAGGACATCTCTAGAGGCACAGCCCCTCTCCTGCTGTAAATACAGTGCTCTTTGGAGAGGAAAATGTGGAGGCAGAGAGAGAACAATTTACTTGAATTGCTGAATATTTGCCCAGTGGTCTTCAAATGTTATTGCCTATGGGCAAAACCGTTGTTTTTCTTCTCCCTTCTACCTGTAGGTAGAGATACCTGAGGAAGATCAGGCCAATGACTCAGAACATCACACAAGATAAATTTTGGCATGATTTGTTTCTAATAGAATTTATTTTGGAAGGTTACCTGAAAACTCCAAATGGTCATTTCCTGCTTTTAACTGACAATCCTGACATTTAAACTTTTTTAACCTATTGGTATATTTTATCATTTTAGAAAGGTTGCATCTTGTTTTTATCATTAATTTTAGTTGGGAAACTGAGTCAAACCTCAAGTCAGATTTGACTAAAGTTTTACTTATAGTTACTTTTCCTAAATATTCTCCAGTAGTGATTAGAATTAGCCACTGGACAACCATATCAGAACTAGGAGCTTGATACTAAAACAAGAAGGATGAAAATAATCAAAGAGGATTTGCAAATGATTAAGGTACTGAATTTCAGGTGTGCCTCTGGAAAATTAATTCCCTCTTTTTGCAAGCTGTTGCATCTCATTTTACCAGGTACCTTGCAAAGTATTCTTGATGAGATGCGTGCTTCGTGGGAATCACTCTTTCCCCTGTGTTTGGGTATGCTTACTTGCAGGCTCTCAAGAGATTCACTTAAGATTTTCAACATTTCTGCATTAGATATTTTTAAAGAGAAAAATAAAATCCAGGGAATATAGCTTTTGAAGTGGAAAATCTGAAACAAAAACAATTTGATAACTGTCACAGACAAAGCTGCTAGAGCTCTAAAGTATAATGCAAGGTTTTTATAAACTCCAAGTTGTAGGTTACTCTTTGGCATATAATAAATGAGTTCTGAGCCTAGAAGTGGTTTAATCTGAAAACTTCATTTGAGGAAAAAGCAGAGAATTGGAAGGTATTGAATAGCGTGCGTGCACACACACACATATTTTTCATTGTATATCCACACATGCATATATAGCTCATTTATCACTTGTTCAACAAATATTCACCGAATTCCTACAACGTGCCAAGCCTAGTGTCTGCCCTTTATTGCCTGCCCCACGGTTTAGTGGGGGAAAACTTAAGTAATTAAAACAAGTATTATGATTAGGCTAGTGGCTGGTAGCACAGAAGCATGTATCAGGAGGAAATAGTTTCATTTTGGGGCCAAAGACCCCTCTGAAGAAATGATGTTTCACTATATTATTATTGCACAATGTCTTCATCTTATTTAACTTCCAGCACCTTGCAGAGCTATGCAGAGAGCAGTTCAGGGTGCTGTTTTTTGTTCTTGTGGCATAGAAGTTGCCCATCCTGACTGGACACGGTGGCTCACTCCTGTAATCCCAGTACTTTGGGAGGCCGAGGCGGGCGGATCACAAGGT
Organism: Homo sapiens; assembly: GCF_000001405.40. Taxonomy (NCBI): domain Eukaryota; kingdom Metazoa; phylum Chordata; class Mammalia; order Primates; family Hominidae; genus Homo; species Homo sapiens. Next base: position 155,861,490 of record NC_000005.10, read on the forward strand.
CACGGTACTAAAAAAAGAAAGAGATCGAGACCATCTTGGCTAACATGGTGAAACCCCGTCTCAACTAAAAATACAAAAATTAGCTGGGTATGGTGGCATGCGCCTGTAGTCCCAGCTACTCAGGAGGTTGAGGCAGGAGAATCTCTTGAACCCAGAAGGTGGAGGTTGCAGTGAGCCAAGATTGTGCCACTGCACTCCAGCCTGGGCGACAGAGCAAAACTCTGTTAAAAAAATAAATAAATAAAAAAGAAAGAAAAAGAAGTTGCCCATCCTCTCTATCTGTGTCTTGGCCTTTCTGGCTTATTTGAAATTCCGTGGGGAAAAGATCTGAGAACTAGAAGATTTTACCGGGAGTGAGGAGGGATCATAATATTGAAGCCATATACGGAACATTCACTTTCTGCCAGCCATCTTGTTTTGTGCTTTACAGAAGAGTCCCATCCTATTACATTTTATGTACTAGCTGCTCTCCCCCATCCTCTCTTAGGAGAAGGAGATAGAGAGAAAGAAGAATGTAAGCAGCGTGGGTGATGCTGCTAGCTGTTCTTCTCAGTGAACCTTGGTCCCAGAGAGATATATCTCAGGAGACTTGACACATGTCTCGTGGCACTTTCACAGTTTGAGCATCTTGCTGAGAACAACTGTGTATGATTTCTAGGATGCAAATGGTGTTTTCACCCTATGTAAGCCTTCACTTTATTTTTTATTTTTGAGACAATATTTATAGTTACTTTTTCTAAATATTTTCCTAAATATTTAATATTTATAGATACTTTTCCTAAATATTATCCTGTAGTAATTATAATTAGCCACTGGATAGCCATATCAGAATTAGGATTTCGGTACTAAAAAAGGAAGATGAAAATAATCAAAGGGTTACCTAGGCTAGAGTGCAGTGGCATGATCATAGCTCACTGCAGCCTTGAACTAAGGCTCAAGAAATCCTCCTGCCTCAGCCTCCTAAGTAGCTCAGACTACAGACATGCACCGCTACACCTGGCTAGTTTTTTATTTTATTTTATTTTTTTGTAGAGACAGAATCTCACTATGTTGTCTAGCTTGCTCTTGAACTGTTGGCCTCAAGTGATCCTCCCACCTCAGCTCCCAAATTGCTAGGTGAGGTAAGCCACTGTGCCCAGCCAGCTTTCACTTTATTAACTAACTTTTGAATGCAGCCTTGCTGTTCATCCTTCATGTACTTGCCTTATCTCAGTTAACGTCCAGCAGTTCTATGAGAATAAGACATGTGTGATTTCCATCTTAAGGGACAGTGGAATGAAACAGAGGTTAAATAACTTGTCCACATACCTTTAAATGACATAGTGAAGATTTACATGCCATGAAGATTTATGTGCCATGTGCTCTATGTGACACTATCTTTCTGGTTTCAGCCATTTATTAAGGAGCCCTGAAGGTTTTGTTTGGAACCCTGACAAAGACTGCTTTAAACACTGTTGGAGAGAGAAAATCCAGAGGGAAGATGTCCATTGATACCATTTTAGGAAATGTTATCAGAGAAGCAGTGCATTCTATCTCTGTTTCAAGAGAAGCTTTGAAAGAAACAGAAAGATAGATATCCATGTATCTTGGAGTGGATGCTTGGGATACTGTGGCTTCACTGAAGGCAGGGCAGCTGAAGCCAGAAGCCAGATAAATTATAACAATCCTGAGCCTGAGTCACTCTCCCAGGGCATGGACGCTCCATCCAGATACAGAGCTGTTGAATAATGGCCGCCCCTGCAGCCTGGCTTCCCACCTGGCTGCAGTTTGAGGCAGCAGGTTCTCATTATGCTTTATTCTTTTTTCAAGAATGTGTTCTTGAAATTGAATTAGATTTGCTTCCTTCATAGCATGTGTTGACTTTTAAATGACTTCCTGGTGGGTTTTCCTCAAGATCTTCAACCACGATGCAGAGGTTCTCAGGGTAAAATGAAGTATCCAACCCAATGAGAAAACAATGTATTATTTCCTTACCTTCAGGTTTAACTGGAAGATGCTGCATTTTGAGCAGTCATGATCTTTATTTCCCCAAATGCTTTTGCTTTCCCTGCTGGGATGGCCTAAGTCAATTACCGTCCTCTGCCTGAAGTATTATTAGTCTTCATTCCCAGAACAAAGAAAATTCATACCATCATCCAGGAAAATTGCCAATCTTCTTGAAACGGTTGCATTTTCCATGGGTACTGAAATGTACTCTCCATGGGAGATTTGGAGATGAAGGTCAGGATTCCCTATAGATGTATCCCAGGGATGTTGCTCAGAAAGATATCTCTTTCCTTTAAGTACTTGAGAAGGAATCTGAATTGGTAATGTTTCTATTGTTTTTCATTTGTTTATTCATTCATTAATACATTCAACAGATATATATTGACCATCTGCTGTGTGCCACGCACATAATAGAAAAAACAGACAAGGACCCTACTGTCATGGAAACTGCATTTCAGTAGGGGGGACAGACAAATAAACAATCAAATAGGAAGTACATTAGATAGTGGTAACTGCTAAGGAGAGGAGGAATGGGAGTGGGAGGCTGGTTGTTTGTGTGTGTAGGGCCATGTGGGCTGCCCAAGGGATAATGACAATTTAGATGGGTTTCCTGGGAAAGACTTTCTCCTAATAGTTGAAAGAACTGAGGGATTTCTGGGGGAAGGTTTTCCAGCAATGAAAATAAGTACAAAAGGTCTGGTGTGTCAGGAGAATAGCATGGAAAATCAGGTGGCCAAAGCAAAGTGACCAGACCAGGAGGGAGCGCAGTAGGCGGTTAGTTCAGAGAGGTGATGGAGTGATGTATGATGGTTAAGTAAGGATATTGGCTGTACTCAGAGCTAGCCACAAAGATAGGGGAATTTTGAGCAGAGAAGAGGCATAATTTCATTGTGTTTATCAGGAAGGCTGTGGCTACTGAACTGAAAATGAGCCAAAGGGTGACATCGGTGGAGGCGGGGAGGTTGTTTAGGATATAGGTGAAATAATCCAGGCAAGAGATGGTATTGGCCTGGATTAATTAAATTAAAAAAAAAGGAGGGCTAGGTTATTGAAATGATTTAAAGTTGTTTTAATGTTAACTGAAAATGATTCTATATTTGAGATTTACTGTTGCAATCTTGACAGCTGAAGTTTTCACAAATAGAATTTGTATACAGATTTTACTACATGAAGTATTAATTAAGCACCTACTAAATACCCAGCTAAATGGTGGTATTCCAGAAAGACTGTGGAACAAGTCACTGTAATCTCACTGGATAAACTACAAAAACAACATTTGCATGTGTGCGTACACATTCTAGTTTAGAAAATATATGAGCTGATCAGATATTTTCGGTACAGATTATGCTTAAATGCTTATCTTAGGAAAAATAGGAACCCATCTTTTAGTACAGATTATGCTTAAATGCTTGTAAGAAACTAATATTTATTGAACACCCACTAGCTACCAGGATCTATGCTGGGCATTTTACATAAGGAAGCACATTTAACCTTCAAAACAACTCTGTAACAACAATTATCGAAATTCTTGGTTTCAGGAACCCTTTAGACTTTTAAAACCTATTGAGGACCCCAAAGAACTTTTATTTATGTGGGTTATACATAGCCATAGATAGATAGATAGATAGATAGATAGATAGATAGATAGATAGATAGATATTTACTGTTTTAAGAATTAAAACTAAAACATTTAAAAATTGATGGATTCATTTAAAATAACAATAATTAACCCATAACCCATAACATAAAATATATGTTAACAAAGTATATTTTATAAAAATACTATAATTTATACATTTTTTTAAATGTGGAAAGAGCAGCATTGTTTTAATATTTTTTACAAATCTCTAACATCTGACTTAGAAAATATCTAGATTCTTGTATCTACTTCAACTTTCAATTTATTGTGATATGTTGTTTTGGTTGAAGTATATGAAGAAAATCTGGTCTCATATAGGTATGTAGTGGAAAGGGAATGGGCATTTTAATATCCTTTGCAGATAATTGTGAATGTTGTCTTTTGATATTAAGTTAAAACCAAAAATGTAGAAGTTTCTGAAAAGTTAGTTGCATTGTGGAATCTGAGATATATTCATTTTTTACTCTATTAACTTGAAATCCATTGATTGTCTTGCATGTTGCCTATGCTTAAGGTTGTAACATTACACATTGGTCATTTGGAAAATGCTGGCTCACTGAATTATGTAGCTCTCCAAATGCTGACACATTTCATTATATAATATATGTTTTAAAAGTCACATGTGTTACTATCAACACTAATCTCATCAGAAAAGCCTTTACATATTAGGAAGCTGTCAAGTTGCTCACATTGGCAGATGTAAGTTTTTCAAAATTCCAATTTTCACTTAATATATCAAATTTTATCCTTGGCAACAAATGCTGTCAGTTGCTATCATTGAAATGACAGTTTCTCTTCTTTCATTTTCAAGAAAATGTTTACCAAATACCCAGGTCCCAATAATCATAGTTTATCTCAGTCATTATTTCAGGTAAAATTGGTACCTTTTGAAAAAGGTCAATAGTTCAGCTCACAACTCAAACAGTTGCACAAACAGTTTTTCTTGAGGCGGCTGTTATACTTCAGTGAGCAGCAGAAGTACTTTATGTATACCACCCATTTTATCACAGAGAGTATTAAAAAGATTAGCACTGAAGGGTCAGGATTTAATATGATTAATCATTTTTACTCCTTCATTCAGCACAAATGAATATTCCCCCTCCCTCCATCTCTTTTCTCTACCTCTCTCTCTTTCTCTCTCACTACAAGCACTAAGTGGTGAAGAATACAATGATCCCTAGTATAGTTGGGTGCCACTGCCTGGATTCAGGCTGAGGTGTCAGCAGTTTTATCCGCCATTGTTTTTGCACCATCAATGCAAATGCCAAGACAGTGACAAAGCCAAACAATACCTTAGTGTTATTATAAAAATGGTTTTGTTGTTCCAGACTCCCTGATAAAATCTGAAGATATTCCTCCCCATTCCTGCTCCATAGACCTGTAGACCACACTTTGAGAACTGCTGCTGTATGTAATATGTGTTTTACAAATGAAGAAACTGAATCTTAGCAATTATCATTATTCCTATTACTATGGCTCTGTAATGACTACAGCTACAACTGCTGCTGCTGCTAGTACTACGAAGGGGCACCTTCTGCCTCTTAAATCATTGCTCTTTCTCCTACACTGGTTCTTCTTCATTCCATCCTAACAGCAGGGATCTTCCACTGAATCTAAGCAACTTGTGTAAGGTCACATGGCTTGTCAGGAAAAAGACAGGACTCTAACTCAGGCCTGTCTGACCCAAAGTTTGTCTGGAAACTTGGTCTCCCCTCCTCCCCTCCCTTTCCTTACACACACGCATGCGTACACAATGGTAGACTTTATGGAGAACTTTGGAGAAAGTGTAAACTTGATTATTCAAAAGGACATAAGGATCTGGGTGAGAAGAATAAAATAAGCTCAACTGTGAGGACTTAAATGAACATGATTTATGGGGCAAATAAATAAAGAAAAGACTCAGAATGAAGTGGAGTCTCCATTTGGCCGTTTCTAGAGAAAATGATGGAGAGGAAAGGTGGGTGAGTTGATGTCAAAGTGAAGAGTCTGGCCTTGATTCAAAAGCAAATAGTTTTAGGCTTTTAAACAGATCACAAGATGATGAAATTTACATTAAACTGACATTGGTAGTGAATGCATCACCAAAGTAAAGAGAACAGGGCCCGAGAAAATCTTGATCATTCAGCAAGCAGTAATGGCTTAAGCCAGAGTGAAAGGAGAGAAGAATCAGAAAAATACGGCAAAGATAAAGCACTGAAAGTGTGGTAATTGGTGATGGGGAAATGCAAAAGAAAATGATACTGAAGGACTCCCAGCTTTCATGTGTGAGGCTCCAAGGGAGATATGGTATCTCACAGAGACTGATGATATCTGGAGGAGACTATGCTGTTGACAATGGTGAACTGGTGGTGATGTCAACCTAGCCAAATGAAATGGAGGTGTTCTAAAAACAATTCACATGTGGCATTGAACGGCAGTTATAGTAGATGCAAAGATGCATTCCCTGAGAGTGGGTGGCTGAGGGCTTATCATGGAAGATCCCTGCTGTTAGGATGGAATGAAGAAGAACCAGTGTAGGAGAAAGAGGAATGATTTAAGAGCCAGAAGATGCCCCTTCATAATACTAGCAGCAGCAGCAGTTGTAGCTGTAGTCATTACAGAGCCATAGTAATAAGAATAATGATAATGGCTAACACTTAGTGAGATGTTATTCTCTAGGCTTGACATACAATAGATTTTGAATTCTCAGAACAATTTTATGAGTGAGAACAGGTTTCTGTTTTTGAGATGAAGAAAAGATGACTTAGAAACATTAAGTAATTGGTCTAAGGTCATACAGTTAGGAAGTGGCTGAGTCAGTCCTGGATCCCCAGTCTCTCTGACTCCAGCACCACTCCTCCATCTTAATGCAGCCTTAGGGAAACCAAGGAGTGGAAAATGTTCAAAAAGGGCTGTGTAAAATTCACAAGTTAAGTTGCAGAGTATGAGAACTGAAGATGATCTTTTTTTTTTTTCGAGATGGAGTCTTGCTCTGTCGCCCAGGCTGTAGTGCAGTGGTGCGATCATGACTCACTACAACCTCTGCCTCCCAGGCTCAAGCAATTCTTAGGCCTCAGCCTCCCAAGTAGCTGGGATTACAGGCATGTACCATCATGCCTGGCTAATTTTTGTATTTTTACTAGAGACAGGGTCTTGCCATGTTGCCCAGGTTGGTCTCAAGCTCCTGGCCTCAAGTGATCCACCCACTTCAGCCTCCAAAAGTGCTGGGATTACAGGCATGAGCTACTGTATCCAGCCCTTTTTTTCTTTTTTTTTTTTTTTTTTTTTTAGATGAGATCTCACTATGTTGACCAGGGTGCCAGACTGGTCTAGAACTCCTGGCCTCAAGCAATCCTCTTGCCTCAGACTCTGAAACTGTGAGGCTTACAGGTTTGAACCACTGTGCCTGACTAGGAAGACCATTTTAGTAGGGCCAAATAAACTGGTGCCTCATGTGAGGTCTCAGTAAGTAGATGATAGAAGCAGTTGGCAAGAAATGATGACCGTGCCTAAGGAAATGAAGGGATCTAGCAAAACCAGTCTGTATATGGGAGAGATTTGTGAGTAAAAGAAAAAAACAAAAATGGCTTAAAGTAGATATGGGTTAATAACTGGAGTGATTTAAATTTTAGTTGAAAAGAGGCTTAAGTTAGCTGAAATGGATAAGAATGATGTCAGGTGACAAAAAATGAATTTTCATGTTGGTTTGATGAGTGGTGAATATGGGAGAAGCAGGTCAGGGAAAATAGGATTCAGAGTGCAGATAGAGGAAGCAACTTCAGCTTTAAGTAGTGGCCCTTCCCTGAAATAGCAAGAAATGTGAACAGTAATTATTATAGAGACTATTATTTAGAATTTGCTAAAATCAATAGAAAAGTGGCTGGGAATTCTAGGCTAGTGGTCTCAGTGAATTAAAGAAAGATTAGGATTATCTCTTGTCATGAGGCTAAAAACTCAGCTTGAAAATCTCAGGGTTGGAGGAGGCTTCAGATGTCAATAATTAGGTTATGTGACTATATTATGATGGATTATTCCATCATATACTTTCAAGGGATCAGCCATTTAATAGACATGAATTTCATCTCCCTTTCTTGTCTTTTCTTTATTTACTAGAAGCAACCCTACTTGAAGGCAGGAGCCCTGCTTGTTGTTTCTGGGCACTATTCGGTGCCCACAACCTAGCCAATTGCCTGATATTTAGCAAAGGTTCAAAGATATTGTTGTATGAATTAATGAATATACTTCAACTCAGTCATTTGATGTTAACTTTCTTTTTATGCTAACTCTACTCTCTCCTCACAATTGTATAAATGATTTTTTTTCTTTGCAACTTGTAAAATGATTTTCATCTTTTTCAGTCATTATAATGACCCTGTGAGTTAGGAACATTGTTATTATACCCATTTTATAGATGTGGATACTGACTCCCTCACCCAAGGTTATAGCACAGTGTAGTTGTTTAGAGCCTGGGCGTTGCCATCAGATAAACCATTCTGAACCCCAGGTCTGTCACGTACATGGCACATTATTAAGCTGTCTTCCTTTGGCAGATTTTTTTTTTTTTTTAAATTTCACCTAGCCTCGGTGTTCTCATCTGTACAAAAGAGATATGAAACTGTCCTGCGGGCCGGGCATGGTGGCTCATGCCTGTAATCCCAGAACTTTGAGAGGCCAAGGTGGGCGGATCACGAGGTCAAGAGATCGAGACCAGCCTGACCAACATGGTGAAACCCTGTCTCTACTAAAAATACAAAAATTAGCTGGATGTGGCGGTGCATGCCTGTAGTCCCAGTGACTCAGGAGGCTGAGGCAGGAGAATCGCTTGAACCCGGGAGGCAGAGGTTCAAGCTGAGATCAAGATCGCACTACTGCACTCCTGGGCAAGGCAGAGCGAGACTCCGTCTCAACAACAACAACAACAACAACAACAACAAAAAGGGAACCGTCTTGCATGATGAGTGAAAAGATTAAGTAACATAGTGGCTATAAACTACATAACACAAAGCTGAGCATGAAATATGAACTCAGGCAGTGTGATATACTGGTGAGAGCACAGACTCTGGAGCCAGAGGGCCTGGATTTGAACCCCTAATTGCTGCAGTGTGATCTTGGACAAGTCACTAATTTTTCTGTGTCTCAATTTCCTCAACTGTAAAATATGAGTAATAATGAAGATTAAATGAGTTAATACTTGTAAAATGCTTAGAACATGCCTGGTACATATTAAGTACTATGTGTGTTTGTTCATAGGTGATATCTATTGAAGCTGGGAGGGTCACAGTATCAGTGAGTGGTCCCCCAATTTCTTCTTGAGCATCGATGAATTAGCAGGTAACTCTCCAAATTTTACTTACATTATTTACTGTTGCCTTATCTTTTATCATATGCTTTTAAGGGATCTGCTAGTTAATAAACATGGCTTGCGTTTCCTTTTATTTCTTTTTTTTCTTTGTTTGCCAGAAGGAGCCTCAAAGTGTCTAGTGATTGGCAGAAAAATAGAAGAATCAAAGATTTTAATATTCTGATGATTGTATTCTCTGCCTCATTCTTAAAAATGAACTATTTTTCCTGAATACCAACTCTTTAGACTCCTCTTCTACCTGCCCCCACAATTCTCAATATTTAGAAACCTGCTCCCATGTCAAAAACCAAAACCAAAAGTGATTTCTGTGTAGACATGTGAAAACATCCTACTGAAATGCTCTCAGGTTAACGTCTTTTTGCAGGTGACCCTTGCTCCGTCTCTGTGGGTTTGACTTACGGGTCACAACACGCGATCGTTATTTCAGCTTATCACTCTCAACAGAATGAATAGAGTCCATTTTCACAATTGTTACTTTCAAAGCAAATTACTCAAGATGAAAATCTTTGCAGGGTCGGAAAGTACATAAATATTCTTAGCAGGGAATAAAGGTGGGGGTGATGAGTGTATCATATGATTGATTTCGGTTTTTTTTTGCAACTTTTCTGTAGAGAGACTTGGATTGCAAGAGGAAGGTTTGGAGTCAGAGAGAGGACCCAACAGAGGCATTTGTTGTGAAAATCTCACTATATAGTATTAGAGGCTGTTCATGCTAATCAAGGTGATATAACCTCCTTGATATTTGGGGCCTCAGTTTACAGAATAATAACATTTTTGGATCAAAAGGATTTTAATGTAATGGGTCATCCTGTGTTGAAGAGACGGTACATTGTTAAAGACCACTACCAAAACTGCAGGTTTCCACAGGCACTCCCAGAATGTGGCCCAATAAATTGAGGGTCTGCAAATCTTCAAGATTTGCGACCTCTCTGCCGAAGTCCTTATTTAATTCAGAGAAACTTTATTAGAGATTTGTGACATACCAGACCTTATGCCAGGTAGTAAGATGAATGGAAAGATGGTAAGAAAAGCCTGGATAGGGATTTCTGTCTGCCTAGGGAGCCAGGTAAGTGAACACTTGTCATTGTTCACTGGACTGTAGGCCAGTGCTAGGGAGCAAAATGTCCTGGGACTGCAACAGGGAAGGTAAAAAGAGGAGGAATTGCTACTTTTTGAGCATCAGTGGTGTAGCAGGCACTGTGTTATGGAGGGGAGACTGAAAGGAGGACAGAAATGTGAGGGAATTGAGCATTGGGTAGGTAAATAAGTTATGATGGAAAATTCCCATCTGGAAGTGAACACGTTTAAGGAATGGCTGGTGACAGGAGGTTTGCCAGTGAAGGCTGGAGGTGAAGCTGACAAGAGTTAGGTCATTATTCTGCCAACAGGTGGCAACCATCCAAGGCTTAAACACAGAAGAAATACATCGTTAGATTTGTGACATAAAAAGATAGAGAAGCATGGAGGATGAGTTGGAGAGGAGAAGCTCAAGAGGTAGAAAGTCCAGTTAGAATGGGACTGTTTGCCAAGGCAAGAAATAATGTGAGCCAGGCAGTTGTGTTCAAGGGCAGCAAACATTTGATTGAAGCAACAGGACTTGTTAATGGATTCATGGCAGCTACTGAGAAAGGTGGAGGGCTGTCTGCCTTTCCCAGCACCAACAGCTTTGTGCACCTGATGGTGCAGTTTCTTAAGAGAGAAGAAGAGGAAATTAATGAGTTACCCTTTCCTAGGTGAGTAATGCCTGCGACAGCTTTAGTTTCCATCCATACAAAGAGAATAAGAATATCTACAGTCAGAGAGGTTGTGAGGATTAAATAAAATAATATGTGAAATCAATGTGAAACAATGCTCAGGACACAATGCCTTGCAATTCAAGTGTTGTCTTCTCTTCAGCACACACACACACACACACACACACACACACACACTCTCATGGAAAACTCTATAGCCTATTGAAATTTTTGAAATCGTGCCCCGACATTAAATAATATTTTAATGTGAGAAACTTACTTTTAAAAATCCAATAACATTGCTGTTAAAGAGACAGCCAACAGCCAAGTGACTTTGAATAGAATTCTTTCCCAGAATTGTAGGTGAAAGTTAAAGGATGCTATGCTTTTGTAAGGAAATGGTAATGTACACTGTGTACATTTCTTTTGCCATCTATTGAATAGCTTGGCTATCCTCCTGTTTGCCCTAAATTTTTTATTAAGTACTTCACTGAGAACCATAGAATGTCAGATGCTGTACCAAGGGAATTAACTGACATAGCTGTGAAATACTTTTCCTGGTCTGTTAGTAGACTGCCATTAAAATTGAAAACATGACTGGTCTGGTGTGAGCAAGATTTACGTGTATAACATAGTCATAGTCTGGGAAAATGTCGGGATCCAGCATTCGTTGTTAGTTGAAGTGTTTTTATAATCAGAAAACAAACCTATAGCAAAACTTCGTGTGTTAAAAAAATGTTGTGTAAAGGGCTAGGGCATCTTTCTCAAAACAAACTGGATATCCTCTTCACAGAAGCTAGTCTGGGCAGATCTCCAAGAACTTGCAGCTTCATCAGAGCCTTGTCATTACCCTGGACAAAGGCACAATGTAGTTATTGCCCCTTCAGGTACCTGATCAAGGCTACAGTGCCCCAAGGGCATCTTCTGTAGTTTCAAGCATTCTAGGGTGATCCCTCCCTCCCCAGTAGAATCCTGAGCCTCATTTGGTAGGTGTCCAAGCCAGTTACCACCATTCCAGCATGACTTTAGTTAGCCACAACACACACATAATTTTTATATTTCAGTAAGAATATCCTTCTTTTAAAGTATACATTTTTTAAAAAAAAGTTAAAAAACTAACATGCAGCCACTTGAATGGAACTATCTTAAGTGGAATAACTCAGGAACAGAAAACCTAAATACTGCATTGTCTTAAGTGAAATAACTCATTATCTTAAGTGAAGTAACTCAGAAACAGAAAGTCCAAATACTGCATGTTCTCACTTATAAATGTCAGATAAATAATGTGTACACATGGACACAGAAAGTGGAATAATAGACATGTAGACTTGGAAGGGTGCCAGGGTGGTGCCGGAGGGACGAGAAATTATAATACTTAATGGATACAATGCACACTATTCAGGTGATGGCTGCACTCAAAGCCTAGACTTCCCAACTTCACAGTGTATCCACGTAACCAAACTGCCCTTGTGCTTCCTAAATCTATTACTTTTTAAAAAGAAAAAGTCATTACCAAAAGAACACATACATAATTTTTATATTTCAGTAAGAGGATATCTCTCAAAAAGTTAAAAAAGCATACCACTTTGCAGTTATAATTTTATGACTCACCAGGGGGAAAAGTACTTCTAAAAGGAAGGCAGAAAACAACTTATCCAAAATTTTAAATTATTTAGTCTTCAGTTTTAAATACCATCTCAGAAGATTTAATATGACATCTATTTTTAATCTTTAAAATCTTCCTTCTTTTCAGCCAGGATCAATTTTTATATAGCCCTGACACACTACAGGGAAACAGTTCACTATCCCATAGACTTCTTTGAACATTTACACCATTGCTCATATCAACAGGGGGCTTCTTAGAATTCAGCAGCAATTTTTATGACCATACATGTTTTATACAATGTTGCACTTTTTCCCCCTTCTTTTTCTGTGTAAATTTTTCAAAAGAAGGGGATAGGAGAATTCCTCATCCTATTAAAAAAATGAAGATCACCTTCTGGCCTAACTCTATTACAGAGAACAAGTTTTCAGGTGATATGAAAGAAAGGAAAGAGCTTTTTTTACAACTTACCATGGTATGAGTACAGACATGTATTAAAAATAACAGCAGCAACAACAGAAACAAATGGATTTCTAGAAACTGTTTGAAGAAAAAAATAGGAGAAATATCTTAGTAATTTTGACTTTGTCAAAGACTTTAAAATATGACAAAAAGAACACAAAAGTATAAAGGAAGAAGTCATTTTTGCTCTTCTAAAAGCCTCGGTTAAAAAAATGAAGTCAGTGCACAGAAGAGGAGAAAACATTTGCAAAGCATATATAAACAAATAACTTGTATCCAGGCTATATTAAAAAAGAGAACAATTTTTGTAACTCAAAAAGAGAAGCAACCCAATGAAAATGGGGCAAAGATTTTTACAGACATTTCACCTAGGAACATGAACGTGAATGGAAAATGAGAAAAGATGCTCAATGTCATTAGTCACCGGGGGAGATGCACGTTTAAACCACAAGGAGATACCAACACATACCCCTAGAAAGGCCAAAATTAAATAAAGAAACTGAAAATACCAGGTATTGGTGAGTATGTGGAGCAAATGGAAGTCTCACTCACTACTAGTGACAATACAAAATGCTACCACTGCTTTGGAAAACAGTTTAACAGTTTTCGAAGAAGTTAAACTTAAAATCACTTATTATCCAACCATTGTCCTCCTAGGTATTTAGCCAAGAGTAAAGAAAGCGTATGTCCACATAAAAGAACTGTAGATGAATATTCACTGCAGCTTTATTTGTAATAGCCAAAACTGGGAAAAAAAATGGCCGGCAACAGATGAATGGATAAACAAATTGTGATATAGTCACACAATGGAAAACTGCTTGGCACTAAAGCAAACTATTGATGCAAGCAATAGCATGGAGGAATTTCAAAATGATGCTGAGTGAAAGAAACCAGACAAAAAGTAAATACGTATTGTATAAGCCCATTTATATAGAATCTCAGAAAATGCAAGCTAACCCATAGTAACATGTCATGTCAGTGGTTGCCTAGGTTGGAAGGAGGTACAAGTAAACTCTTAGGTCTGATGGATATGTTCATCATCCTCCTTGTAGAATTAATTAAGTAATTCCATAGGTAGAATTAATTCCATAGGTCAAAACTTCTAAAACTATACTTGTTAAATATATGCAGTTTCACATATGTCAGTTATAGCTCAACAAATATTTTAATAATAGCATAAATGAAGATGATAGACATGAATACTTTGCAGAGCATTTTATTTGGGGAACTTACATCAAACTCAGCAACCTGGCACATCTGCTGTTAAGGACTCATGTAAAACTTGTGATGTTTCTCTAGGTCTTCATCGGCCTTGCACGAAGCTGTGACAATTTAAAGGCATTTCAATTTATTATTTTTAGATAGAATTCACATTTTCAAGATGGCTCCACTTTTTTTTTTTTTTTAGTTGTTATGGTATTTTTACCCCCTCTTTATAGCCTTAATAGTAACTGCCTGGGTCAGAGGCAAAAGCATCTGACATTCCTGTGACAGTTCTGCCATGTTCTTTTGAGGAGCGAGTGAAATCTCCTGATACCCACTGCTGTGAGCAATACTTCTGTTGTACAGGTATAATGATGACACCTTTTGGAGGACCTGCTAGAGTTGTAGAATTGTAGCTTTGTAACAGTGCATATCATTGTGATATTTCGAGGACTGATGAGCAAATAAAAATTGAAGACATACCTAACACCCTGTGCAAATTGGGTCTGTTCATCTCCACTGTACCCTTAGCCTTCAGCTTAATTTTCAAAGTTGTTTTTTTTTTTCTTGGTCCTCTTGTTTTATTTTTTTATTTATTTTTTTTTATTATACTTTAAGTTTTAGGGTACATGTGCACATTGTGCAGGTTAGTTACATATGTATACATGTGCCATGCTGGTGCGCTGCACCCACTAACTCATCATCTAGCATTAGGTATATCTCCCAATGCTATCCCTCCCCCCTCCCCCCACCCCACCACAGTCCCCAGAGTGTGATATTCCCCTTCCTGTGTCCATGTGATCTCATTGTTCAAAGTTGTTTTGAAGCTTACGTAGATAAGAGCCTTCTTTATCTCCACCTATATTTGAAATAACATCAATACAAGAATATCTGTATATCTTTCCATTTTGGAACAGTAAGACACTTTTTAAAAATAAAAAATAAATGCAAAACACATTGCAAAGCACCACATGAATGGAAGTGGTTGTGTTATATTTATAAGAAATTTACCTTCCTTCTAAAGTGCCTCAAATCAACACTTTGTGGGAAGGAGAATGTTGGAATTTAATGTGAAAAATAATGCACTTCGTAGGCCAAACCTTTTGACCTTAGAAGCAAATACTGTATTTGTAAGGGTTATAGTGTCTTCATCTAAAGCTTAGCTGCGTTTCTTCCTTGATATTCTCTATTTGTGATCATCTAAGTCCATGCCCAAATGCCCCTCTCTATCATAGTGTTTGTCTATGTAGGTTTACTTAGGGCATTAAAATGGCATTTCGTTACTTGATTGTTAGCCAAGTGACAAATAAGAAACTATGAAAAATATTTTAAAGCATTCTAGGTACAAGGATATTCTGCCTTTATTTTATGACCTTCACTGTGCTTCAATGAGAAGATGTATTTCTACATGACAATCATGTGAAAATATTAGGTTTAAAATATACTAATTAGAAAGGCTGATAAGAACATGGCACAGTAGAAACCAACTGATAAATACTCATTTTTATGCCCACTATATCCTCAGCATTTTGGAATACATTCCCTATCTTCAAGGAACTTATGGTTGTACTGACATGCTGAGAAACCTTTTAAACATCAGCTATCTTTTATATGTGAAAGATCTACTGAAGTCTTATGGGCCTTAAAAAAATTAAAGCCCAGAGGATTTCTAAAAATGCAAATGCTACAAGAAGAGGGTGGTAGCTGTTTGTGCTAGGATTAAATTCAGTCCAACTGTGTCTTTAATTAGAAATGTTTCCAAATCATACCGAAATGGCCACATCCGTAAGCCCAGGTTTTAAGATGACGGTTTAGACTGAATTCCCAGGCATGGTCGTCTGATAGGGTTTGCCAAGTTACTCATGGCCAACTTAAATGAGTGTGAAGAATACTTGTCTAGCAATAGGATTTGGATGTTAGTTTGAAGTTTAAGATAAAGTTCTTCCTTCTTGCAAATATGGACAATGTGAGCAGTTTATATCTGGAGTAATAGGGCCTTTCTCCCTGTGCCTCATTTTCCTCACATATTGAATGAGGTTCCTAACAGTATCTGTACTTGGTAAGTTAAAGAGGTTATGACAGTGCCCAGTTCAGAGTAAGCACTCAACAGTTGGTAGCTGTTCTCATTTTAAAACATTTTTCTACAAACAGTCAAGCTTAAATGGTGAAGTTTCTTCACTACATTTTGTCCCAATGTACTTAAGTAAAAATTCTTATAGTAAATTAATGCTTCTCAAAATGTGTTTTGAGGGGCATTTATTCTGCTTGATCAAAGTTTTATGTGAATAAAAAGGAGTTCTTTGTCTAAATATGTTTGGGAAACAAACCCTGATAAGTGCAATAAAGTTAAATCTTATTGCTGCAAGACTTATCAGAGCCTTCAATATGATAATATGCATTATGACTATAGGAAAGGGTCAGTATGCAGAAATTACATGTTAAGGTCAAACTCTGTCTCATACCATTTGTCTTTCCTGAAAACTTAATAAAGTCAGCCCCACTTTTTGTTTAGCAGTTAAAGTAAAATTGCTGAAAGAACTGTATCTCCTATGACCCAGTTTCTTCCCCAATGATATAACACAGAGGGAAGGAGCCATTAGTGTGGGTGACTGCATTATTTTTCAGTAGTGGGCTTATGGCAGAACTGGAATTTTAAATTTGAGGGTGGAAGTATATAACAGGATGTGTTTGACTGCAAATTACAGAAAAACAACAACAACAAAAAAGTGATATAACCTGCAGGAATATCTATTATCTCATCCTATAATAAGTTTAGAGTTAGGTTCCAAAGTTAGTTAATCCAACAGTTCAGTGGCTTGAATCATAGACTTAGCTCTTAGGCTTAACTCTCTTTCCATTTTTCCTCTCTACCCTTCTTAGCATGTTGGCTTGTCCTCTTACGTGAGCTACCAAAGTTGAAAACAGTTCAAAGCAGCAGCCCAGACAGTGGTGACCAATTAGAAAATGGGGACATCCAGTTTTTTTTTTCCTTTATTTAGAATGGGAAGACATTTCTAGAAGTCCCCAAACAGACTGTACTTTATATCATATTGGCAAAAATTGGGTCACGAGTCTAAGCCTAAAGCAGTTAATTTGCCTAGGATAATAAAACTACCTTGATAAGAATACTCAAGACTTTTTGGAATAACCCAGCCTCCCTGAAGGATGTGGTCACCCAAAGGAGGTTGGACAAATTGGGATTCTCTTAGCAAGGAAGAAAGGGAGAAATGACTGTTAGATTGCCAGCCAATGGTGTCTGTCACACGGTTGCCCAGAACTCAGATTTTGTTAACCCATATAACATCGTTGGCACTATTTTCATATCCAATAGAATAAACTATTCATGTGAGTATATATAAAATTGGACTGTCACATTTGGGGAGGCAAGAAACAAATTCAATATTGAGCTTTATTTCGTTATTTAAACCAAACTTGTTAATCTTTGCTACTTCTAGCTAGTTTCACTTGGCTTTGTTTGTTAGCGTCTGCTAACAAATAAAACTGAGTCTGAATTTTTATGAGTAAGTTTAACATTGTGAAGATTTACATTTCATACCACAGAGTGAAATTCAGTCAGTACTCAAGAGGAAATAGCTGTGATCAGGCACCACATCTGCACACTTAAAAAAAAAAAGTATTTGGACTGGAGGCTAGACAGACTGAATTTAGTAATTGCCCGCTTGCCATGCCATAGAAAGATTACCTGGCTCTTAGCCAAAACCTATGAACTTTTCATTCTAAGCATCAAATGTCCTATTCCTTGTAAATTTCAAAGTTAAAACTCATGAATGTGGCCTGTATTTAATTACATATATAAAACAGCAAAATATATTTATAAAACTGTAATGCATTTTGTACGCTAGAGTGATTTCACTTTTCGTGCAGCCAGATCTTCATGCTTCCCATCTGTGTCACTGCTTCGTGGATGAGGCATTGCTGGTCCTACCACCCTCAGAGCCAAAATGATGCTGACTGAAAACGTTCTTGACAACTTCCCTGGATAGCGTTGTCTCCTCCAAATTTACCCCTCAAAGATAGGTGGTTGGAATGATTGAGTAACCACACAATTTCCTTTGGATGCAAGTATTCTTTCTTGTAACAAGTAATTTTTCAGGCTTCTAAAAAGCCTAATTGTATAAGATGCAGTTTGAAGGAAGATAACTTAAAAATAAAATATATGGAGAAAAGGCATTGTTTTTCCTCTCAAACTACTACATGATATCTTATTATGTTTAAATGATAATGAAAGTAATTAACATAATTATAACATCATAAAGGTTTTCAAAACTTTCCAAAGATTTTCATATTAAAAACGTTATTCTCACCACACCTCTCTAAGGCAGTTTTAACCACTTGATAGATGAGAAAATCGAGGCATGAAAATGGAACTTGGCTTGCCTCCATTGTTGTAGGCATGGTGTAGTTTGATTTAATTTAGATCTTAGTATCTTATGTTGTCCTTTATAGTAAGAAAGACAAAAAGATTTTATTGTTATTTTTTGTTTCTGTGTTCCAGCTGAAGAAGCTGGATTGGGGGAGTTTTGCAGTAAATCATCCATATTTGTCTAGTGACTAAATAGCAGGCCTGCAAGAACTTCAAGAGCGCAGCCACTATGCAGAATTTAAGAGCTCTGAAGTTAGCCACACCTTGGCTCAAAAGCCAGTCCTGAAGCTGAGTACATGTGTGACTTGGGGCAAATCCCCTCCTGATTTCAGTTTTGTACCTTTAAAGTGAGAATAAGTTTACATCAGCCATCTAAATGGATGATGGTCATGCATGTTTGCTTAGATAGTGCTTGGCACACTGCATGGCCCATGGGAATCTCCATAAATGCTAGGTATCTCAAGTTTCTGATGATACCACTGCTTTAAAAAATGTTTAAAAATATTATTCTCAAAATTAGAATTGTTTTAGTAGTAGCTGGTATTCTGACTTAACTATTGAGTGAATGTTGCTTCCCACAGATGTGGAGATGGTGCATAAATCTTGAATTTTCCTACTGAATAGTCTGTTTGAAAATTCACTTGGATACTTTAACATACATCTCCCCTGGTGTCTGTCACAGAGCACTGCCAAAATCTGTCAGTCAGAGTTACTGAGGTATGCTTTAAATACACATATGTACAAACAAACATAATATTACCATGTATTGGGAAAGGAGACAGTGGGATAAAGAAATGCTATTATTTACATCGTCATTATGCTTGAGTTAGTGCCCGTGAAGTTTTCAGTAGCTTTAACCTTGGTGACTCTGCACAGCTGAACTTGAGCCAGAAAACCTGGATTTGCATTTGCATTCTCAACAGGAAGTTTTAGATATATTATTTCTGTTTCTGCTTGTAAAAATCCAGCTCATACATTTCCCTTGTGGGTAAGGACATAGATTGGTTAATATCGTCTGAACCAGATCTATCTTTCTGGTGTTTTTATTTCAAAATTTTACTTCCATTTGACTCCTAGGTGAGCAGAAAAATGCTTCTTTTTCTTAGAATGAAAACAATCACCTATGTTATTTCTTATAGAAGTTCATATTGTGAGATTTAAAAAATGTGGATTCAGGGACTCCAATAGCTAAAACAGGCTTTGGAGGTCACTTAATAAAATGTTTTTATTTTAGAAATCAGGTCACTGAGGCTCAGGGAAGGGAAGGAAATTTCTCAGGTGGTAAACCCAGGGGTGCTGATTTTCAATCTATCACAATTTCCATAAATAACAGGCTTGCACCTGTAATCAATTGAGCTTTTAAAGATATAAGAAATAAAAGGATTAATCAGAAAACCACTTACAGGCATAGCTTGGAGAGATTGCTGGCTGATTCCAGATCACCACCTCACCACAAAATAAATAAATAAATAAATAAATAAATAAAGAATATAGCAATAAAACAAGTCATATGAATGTTTTGGTTTCCCAGTGCATATAAAGTTTTGTTTACACTATACTGTAGTCTATTTGGGTG
Organism: Homo sapiens; assembly: GCF_000001405.40. NCBI lineage: Eukaryota > Metazoa > Chordata > Mammalia > Primates > Hominidae > Homo > Homo sapiens. The sequence continues at coordinate 155,881,417 of NC_000005.10, forward strand.
CAATGGCATTATGTCTAAAACAATGTAAATACCTTAATTAAAAAATACTATATTGCTAAAAGATGCTACCAATCATCGCTGAGCCTTCAGTGAGTAGTAATCTTTATGCTGGCAGAGGGCCTTGCCTTGATGTTGATAGCTGCTGACTGATCAGAATGTGTTTGGTGAAGCTTGGGCTGGCTGCAGCAATTTTGTAAGACAACAATGAAGTTTGCCTCCTTGATGGATTCTTCCTTTCACGAAAGATTTCTCCATAGCATGCCATGCTGTTTGATAGGGTTTTACCCACAGTAAATCTTCTTTCAAAATTGGAGTTGATCCTCTCGAATCCTGCTGCTGCCTTATCAACAAAGTTTATAGAATTTTCTAAACCCTTTGTTGTCATTTCAACAAATTTTCACAGCATCTTCGCCAGGAGTAGATTCCAGGTCAAGAAACCACTTTCTTTATTTAACCATAAGAAGCAACTGCTCATTCATTGAAGTTTTATCATGAGACTGCAGCAAGTCAGGCACATCTTGAGGCTCCACTTATTCTAATTCTCTTGCTGTTGCTACCATATCTGCAGTTACTTCTTCCTCTGAAGTCTTGAACCCCTCAAAGTTATTCATGAGGGTTAAAATCAACTTCTTCCAAACTTCTGTTAATGTTGCTATTTTTACTTCCTCCCATGAATCATACTATTATTATTATTATTTTTCTTTTTTTTGAGACAGAGTCTTGCTCTGTTTCCCCTGGCTGGAGTGCACTGTCATGCTTATGGCTTACTGCAGCCTCAACTGGGCCCAAGTGATCCTTGCAAGTAGCTGGGTCTACACCTGACTTTTTTTTAAAAAACTTTTTATAGAGATGGAGTCTCCCTATATTGCCCAGGCTGGTCTCAAACTTCTGGGCTCAAGGGATCCACCTGCCTTGGCCTCCCGAAGATCTGAGATTACAGACATGAGCCACTGTTCCTGGCCACAAATGTTCCTAATGACATCTAGCATGGTGAATTATTTCCAGAAGGTTTTTAATTTACTTTGCCAAGGTCCATCAGAAGAATCACTATCCATGGCAGCTATAGCCTTACCAAATATATTTCTTATGAAACTTGAAAGTCAAAATTACTTATTGATCCATGGGCTGCTGAATGGTGGCTGTGTCAGCAGGCAGGAAAACAACATTCATCTCCTTGTACATCCCCATCAGAGTTCTGAGGTAACATTGTCAATGAGGAGTAATATTTCAAAGGATTTTTTTTTCTGGGCAGTAGGTCTCAAGAGTGGACTTAAAATACTCACCAAACCATGCTGAAAACAGATATGCTATCATTTAAGCTTTCTTGTTTCATTTCTAGATGAAGGGCAGTAGGATTTTGGAAATGGTCAGTGACCATTGGCTTCAACTTGAAGTTACCAGTGGCATTAGCTCCTAACAAGGGAGTCAGCCTGCCCTTTGAAGCTTTAAAGCCGGGCATTGACTTTTGCTCTCTAGCTATCAAATCCCTGTATGGCTTCTTCCAACAGAAAGCTGATTTGTATACACTGAAAATCCATACACTGTTTAGTGACTTCCTTAATGATCTCAGCTAGATCCTTTGAATATCTTGCTGTAACTTCTGCTTACGTTTTTATGCTATAGAGATGGCTTTTTTCCCCTTAAACCTCATGAACCAACCTCTGCTAATTTCCCACTTTTCTTTTGCAGCTCCCTCACCTCTCTCAGCTCGCAAAGAATTGAAGAGAGTTAGGGCCTTGCTCTGGGTTAAGCTTTGGCTCAAGAGCATGTTATGGCTGGTTTAATCACTCAAACTTTCTCCATATCAACAGTAAGACTTTTGTTTTCTTACCATTCATGTGTTCACTGGAGGAGCAATTTTAATTTTCTTTGAAAACTTTTCTTTTGCATTTACAACTTGGCTGTTTGGTGCAAGAGGCCCAGTTTTTGGCCCATTTTGGCTTTCTACATGCCTTCCTCACTAGGCTTAATCATTTCTGGCTTTTGATTTAATGTAAGAGACATGCAACTCTTTCTTTCAAACTTGAACACTTAAAGCCCATTGTAGAGTTATTAATTGGCCTAATTTCAGTAGTATTATGTCTCAGGGAATAGGGAGTCCCCAAGAGAGAGATGGAAGAATGGCTGGTTGGTGGAACAGTTCACAACATTTATGGATACAGTTTGCCATCTGATATGGGCCCCAATATAATTATAATAGTAACATCAAAGATCCCGGTCACAAGTCACTATAACAAATATAATAATAATGAAAAAGCTTGAAGTATTTTGAGCATTATCAATATGTGACACAGATAAATGAAGTGTGTACATACTATTGGAAAAATTGTGCCGATAGACTTGCTGGATGCAGGGTTACCACAAACCTTCAATTTGCAAAAAAAAAAAAAAAAAAAAAGAAAAGCACTATTTTGGAATGAAAATAATATGAAATGCAATAAATGAGGTATGCCATTTTTTGAAAGATGGGGAAATGAATGCTCAGAGCATTTCAGCAAAATCCTACAGGGTAGTTATTGGCAGAACTGGGACTAAATTTCAGGTTTCTAGACTCCAGATTCAGAGCTCTCTCCAATCCATATCATTCAAGGAAACATGCCCATGAAGAGACTTCACTCCCACTAATAGTTTTTCAATGTTATTAGCACCTCTATTCTTCTTGGCTTCTGCCTTTTGTATCTTTGCTGTGAGCCATTCTGTATACAACTTAACACCTCTGCTGTGACCCGGGTGACACCTAACGATGATGAATCCTTTACCGAGGTGATTCACAGCTCTCTTGTGCGAGATGAGGGAGCTTACAGGCCTCTGCTTTTGTATACTTTCAAGCCACTTGTTTGTCTTTCTGTGTCTGGAAGAGTCAACAGTGATTACTCTGCTGATGTATAATCTGATTAGTGGTGCTGGGGCTGCTGCTCTCCTCAGGGAACAATAAATCCCAGCAAGTCCTGCCCCGTTCTCTGCCACGATGCCTGGGAGCCTTCCCATTTAACTTTCAGCAGTAAGTTTGGCTCATCATCAAGCTTTCCAATATTATAGAAACAGTATTGTATTTTCACTTAACGACTTTGCTGAAAAACTACATAGAGCTGCTGTAATTGTACCATATATGCCTTATGTCTGGGTAAAGATGCTCAGGTTGAAATCCTCTGAGACCTATCAAGAATTTCTTGATCTTGTCTCATTGCTTTCTCCCTTGACTTACCTCTTAGTATATTTAGTGTTGGTATAGCTTTCTGGCATCTGGATAGGTATGAACTCTAGACATGAGCAGATTTGAGTTTGAAACTTCATTCTTCCACTTGTTGGTTACGTGACTTTGAGCACATTACTTAAAACTCTGTGAACCTCAGTTCTTAATCTATAAAAATGGGAATAGTAATAGCATGTAACCTATAAGAACTTGTGATAATTAAATGAAAAGCATGTAACAAACAACGCAGTACCTGACAAATAATACATGATCAATAAGTAGGCTAATGATGAAGACGATAATGACAACGACGATAACTGCCATGACATGTTTTGTGTAAGTATTTTCTCTGTAACCTTTGTCAAAGTAAGAATAATGTCTGATACTTTGTTTCTATTCTTCTCTTCATAGCATTTAGCATAAATGTATTTCATGAGTGAAAGAACATGTACTTATTTAATAAACAAGAATTGATATCCAGAAAGTCTAAGGTGATCCACTCTTCGTGCTAGAGATCATCTATGGTCTATTTGGGTAGATGGTATATGTTCACTTTTTGGTCATTCAGTAAACAGCCAATAATTCCTTAGGTACTAGATGTTGTAGGAGGTGCTGAGAAAGAATACAGAGACAAAGGACAGAGTTCCTGCTTTTAATAAGTTCACAGCTTAGTATGGCCAAACAGATATTGATGTAACATATGCATTGAGACAGAAGCAGGCAAGCATAAAAATATCAAGTGTTACCAAAGCCCAGAGCAGTAGGGAGGGGAAGTTGGTGGGTAGAGAGAAACCACTTGAAAACAGCTTATTGAGTTAGGAGGTGCAGCATTACGTCTATGTATCATCAAAGTAAAAAAAAAATAGTAAAAATACAATACATACAGTCTTGTGCTTTTGCAAATGTATTATGAACAGAATGCTTATTTTTCACACTCTGAATTTTGTGTAGCCAATAATCTTGCATATTAAAGGATAGCTCTGTTCTCTGACAACATTGACAACTACTCTCCAAAGGAGAACTTGAATATGTGTTATTCTCACAGTAAGCAGATTCAGAGGAATTCAGCTTTCTATGTTACTTTCAAAAAAGAAAACATCAAATGATGATTAGCTTTTCAAAATCAATGTTCCTTCCATCTCAATTATCCATCACAAATAACACCATAAATCTTCAAACCATGTATTCCAAACATGAATACACAGAAGATCTACGTTGATGAAAGAAGAGAGGCCTCACTTGGGAAGGATCACAGTGCTTTTCTATGTTTCAGTTTCATCATCTACAGACAGGATCTTTAATGCAGTCCTAACTTTCCTGACTGAATAACGTAAACTAGTAGGCACACTTCAAAACATAAAAGGTATAAACAATTCAGTTTATCATCATCATTGTTATTTTGGCTGAACATTTATTTAGTGAGAAAATGCTTACTTCTGCCTTATCTTGGGCTTTTAGAGAGTGACATTCCCAGCAATATTTGCATTTGTGCAAAATTATTTACTGCATGTCTTAGTGATGGCTCTTTAGGTTACAAGTAATAGATACTGATTCGAACTAATTTAATTCAAAAAGAGGTAACGTTGAAAAAATACAGGGGTATAGGATAGAATGTAAAAGCAGTACGTGCAGTTAGGTCTTATAAGGGACTGGAATGAGGATGTGGAGCTCCCTGGCCATCTGCTTTCTGTATCTATCTATCTATTTACGCCAAAAGGAACTCCTCAAAATGGTGTGATCAGCTCACACCATTCAGAGAATTCAAATGTCCAGATGAGAGAATCTGATTGATGGATCTTGGGTCATATGTACATCCATGGTCCAGTCAGAACTGGAGAATGGGTTTATTTGGTACAAACTTTGCAGAGGAATGTGTGTGTGTGTGCGCGCACGCGCGCGTGCGTGTGTGTGTGCGTGGGCGCGTGTGTGTGTGTGCATGCATGTGCAGCCTCAGAAAGGGTAAGTAAGTCGTGGACTGGGCAGATAATCCAGATGATATCCACCCTACAGGAAAACAGTTCAGATACCAGAGGTAGTTGCAAAAGGATATTCCTGTAGAAGACTGAAGCAAAATGCTTGGGGGTTAAAGAATAAAGACAAGTTCAGGATGGGCAGGAATTTATCAGTCAAGCTTCTGGGACTAGCAGCTGAGATGCTCAACTTCCCTGCAGCTTTCAGTGAGTGCTCTGTGAAGGAGAATGCCCAGGGGCAAAAATCACTCAGCAGGAAGGCTCACTGAATCTGGATGTTCCCTCAGAAGGGGCTGCCAAGTGAGCGCTGTGGTTCAGAACCACATTGGGCATGCCAGCTGCAGATTTCCCAAAAGCTCATGATAAAGCCCTTGGTAGGGAAGCCACATGCTCCCTTTCTCTGCCATCTGAAACCTCCTGATGACATCCCCAGAAGGAAAATTCCTGGTGTCCCTTTTATTTCATGGAAATAGTGATACTTAAGGAAGCACACTAGGACTCTGACCGTGTATCTCATGGTTTACATTGGGGGCGAAAATATCAGTAGAATGGAGTAATACAGAGACTTTCCTGCTTCACACAGGGATTGCTTCCTAAGAAGTTGCATGGAAATCAAACTTATATCATTCTAGTCATATTTTCTCTCTGGAGTACTTTTTGAGACACTTCTGCATTTCTGATCAGTCTTCTATTAGATGATCAATCTTTATGATTTGCTGTCTTGGGTTTTCTGTTCCTTGGTCTTCCATTTGAGAAGAAAAATGACTTAAGAACATGCCTACATTTCCAACTTTATTACTACACTACTCCATTTAAGTGTTTCTGACCACATTAAACTCAAACTAACTACGCAAACTTCTCTCCTCTTACCTTCCCTTTAGCGCATCCTGGAACTTCTCTTGCCTTCTTCTGTGTAGAGTGGAGGTGACGCAGGCTCTGGAAGTGCCTGTGTTTCTTTATTTCTTAGCTGTGTGACCCAAGCTGCTTAAGCTTTCTATGCTTCAGTTTTGCCTCTGTAAACTGTGGATAATAATAACATCTGGGATTCTCTGAGGAGTAAAGGACATTTTGTACGTGAACCTCTTAGAATCCTGCCTGGTATGTGGTAAACTCTCAGTAGATGCTAGCTATTATAGTTATTGCCTATCTCTGTTAATGGTATCATCATTTACCAGACTTCTAAGCTAGAGAGTTATTTCCTATTCCCTTCTCTCCATCAATTATTCATTATAATACCAATAATAACAACGATAGTAAAAATACTAGCTAACATTTGTTGAGCATTCACTTTATGTTGATCCTTAATTTATACTAAGTACTTCACACCATTAGCTTATTTAATCCTCTCTTGATAACACTATTTCCATTTTAAAGATGAGAAATACGAAACTCAGAGAGATGAGGTAACATCTGCAGTGTTACACACTTAGTGAATGGCAGAGCTGTAATTTACATTCAGGTTCATCCAACTCCAAAGCTCTGTTCACCACTATGAGATTCTGCAACCAAATTCAGTCTTTTTGCCTCTGAAATATCCCTGAAATCAATTCCCTTCTCCCTATCCCAGCTTCTACAAATCTCTCTTCTGATCTTAAGGCAGTTTCCTGTATGGTCACTTTGTCCCCAGGTTCTCCTTTCTCAAACCATCCTCTAATCCCTTCTCAAAGTTATTTCTTGAAAGTAGTCAGTGGGTCACAAACTTTCAATGGTTCTTCATTTCCGAAATGTATTGGTCCTTCATGGCCGTCTTACCAACTTCTATCCTGCTGTCCAGTATTCTCATGTTCCTGTATAGGAGGAGAAATATCTTTTATTCACCCATCACTAGGCTCCTGTTATAACAAAAGACAGGGTAACAAAAGAAAAGCACACACATTTATCCAATATAGATTTGATGTAACATGAGAGTCTTCATAAGGGAATAGGGACGCAAAGAAGCAGATAACTCTGTGTATTTTTTAATGCTTAGGTTTTTGATAAAGAAGTGGATAGTCGTAGAGAAGTATGATTGGTAAAAAAGTATATGATCGAATGGTAATAAACTGGGGGAGGGGGAGGACTTAGCAAGACCTATTTCTTTAGATTCTTCTCTGTGTCTCTATCTTCAGATGAAAGAAAGAGATGTTTCTTTCTTAGAAGTAAAGAAAAGGCATCTCTTGAATGAGCTCCTTAGAGGAGAAGGGTGGGAGAAGGTCAGAGTGACCTTCCTGTTTTTCTTTTTTCCCGAATTTCTTCAGCGTAAAATATTTTGTAGCAACAGTTTCTGAACTCATCCTTCCCCTTGATTATTCTAATGTCCACATCCTTCACTTCTATGGCTTTGCTCTGACAATTGGATCTACCTTAATTGGCCTCCACTCTCCTCATCTTATTACCTTGCTGATCTTCTCAGATGTAGTTCAAATGGCTTTCACGAAGTGACTTTTTCCTTCTCTCTACGCTCATAACACTGTATTTATATATTTGTACATCAATTCAAATGGTGTATTATTGTTTGCTCTTTTACTATATGTATCTTCACCCCTAGACTGTGAGTTCTTGGAGAGCAAAGAGCATATCTCAAACATCTTGTGTTCCTAGCCAAGTGCCTCTCCATAGCAAGCCTTCAAATATATTGATTCCAGGAAGAAACAAGTAAATGAACTTACCCACGTAGAGGAAATTTAAGTAACCTCATATGATAGATTTAAAAAAAATTCAAAAAAATGATTTTTTTTCTCATTTATAATCTTTGTAGGCTTGGGCTTTTTTGGTTATATGTTTTTTTAAAAAGGAGACCTACTCTTGTACTCTAAGAGCTAATGTTTCTATAAAGAAGTTTGGGGCTCCACACAAAAGCCTTATCATTCTTCAAAGAGGCAGAGTTTTTTGAGTTTTGCTGCATAGAAGATTCAGGAGGTGGTAATTAAAGTGATTAATAAGAGAATACCAGTGGTTAGTAATCAGCTTACCGATTATTTATTAGAAGTCTGTACCTCCTAGATAGGAGAATTGTTCATTTAAACAAATTTTATTAGCTCTTGGATCTTATTTTTAAAGAGTGAATCAAGTTGTAGAGATCTTCTGAACAGAGGGTGGTAGGAGAAAGAATGATTGGAAAGGTAGTCAGGGACCTGCTCTCTTATTCACAGATCTTGTGGCATCAAATGCATTGCCTGCCACCTAGCCTCTTGTGAGTAAGATCATATCACAGACCGTATTTGGGGCAACTTGATGTGGTCCATGTGACTGTGCCGCATCTCATGGCCATTTGGACCTCTTGTGGGCACCCGCCCTATTCCTTGGGCTGGTTGGGCTGGAATGGTGAAGAAGGCTTGGGCCAGCCAACCTCCTCTTGCAGGAATATGAACTGGGAAATAGGGAGACAAGAAGGCAGTCAGCAGAGTGGGAACAAATGCTGAGTGCATGATATAAAGCAGCATATTTTAGGTATCACCTGCACTTATCAAAGTGCAGATTCTAAGACTCCAGGTCCAGATTTCTGACTCATGGTTGACACATGCTCCCTGTTACCTACACTAAGGTTTAATACTCATGGCTATATTTGAGGCTTGGAAAGCCATGATGAACCATGGACAAGCTAAAAGTACCAGAGAACAACCACCATGAAGAAACAGAAACTCTGTGCAGGCAGACAAACATCTAACACAAGTTATTGGTGTAGATTGTTTGGATATAGGAAACTCATTATGGCCAAGCCTTAAGGGAAAAGAAATTCATTAGAAAGATATAAAACAGTCTGCAAAATAAAAGGGAAGGGTTGGCTGGGTGTGATGGCTCATGGCTGTAATCCCAGCACTTTGGGAGACTGAGGTGGGCAGGATCACTTAATTTCAGGAGTTCGAGACCAGCCTGGGCACCATGGTGGAACCTTACCTCTACAAAAAATACAAAATTTTGCCAGAAATAGTCCCAGCTACTTGGGAGGCTGAAGGGGAGGATTGCATGAGCCCGGGAGGTTGAGGCTGCAGTGATCTGTGATCATGCCACTGCACTTCAGCCTGGGTGACAGTGATACCCTGTTTCTAAATAGATAGGTAGGTAAGTAGATAGACAGATGATAGATAGATAGATAGATAGATAGATAGATAGATAGATAGACAGATAGATAGGAGAACCAGGCTCAGAAAAGGAAAGGACACAGGGCAGGTGTGGAGTAGCTATGGAGTAACAAGAACTATGGTCGTACCAGGACTGCTTCACTATGTTGATATGAATGAACCCCCACCTACGTTTTCCCGTCTTTGCATCATTCTACTCAAGACTCATTGTCTGGGGTGGTGGTGGTGGGAGAATAAGAGTTCAGTCGGCCTAGCTTAGGTCATATGCCCATACTGCTCTCAAGAGACAGCAGAAGAAACTGATTATCAGCCTCATTGTGTCTCCCTACCATGTGGGAAAGAAATTCACAAAAAAAGACTGGGTTGTCCCTAAAGCATAAAAAGAGGATGCTAGGTATTCACCCAACAACGAATATCCTAGGGAGGAACATGACATGTGTTGGAAGAGAAAGAGAAAGGACAGTATGTGGAGCATCAGATGAATGAGCAAAAGTCTTCAAACCCCTATTGCTGATGTATCTGGAGGAACTTCATGTACAGATCCACTTTCTGGGCCCTACTGCACTGGAGGCCAAGTGTTTCAGCTCTTCCTTATTTCTCATATATGTGCCTTGTTCTGGTCAGCACTTACTCAACCCAAGTGTGTCTCAAGTTCCTTGTGGCTAAAAATGAAATAGAACTTCTGAGCTCTGTCTTAAAAAGCTGAGTGGTCTTGAGCAGTAAATGTCTATCTCCTTGGGCCTCAGTTTTGCCATTCGTAAATTAAAGAAGTTGGGCTTATTAAGCTCCCTAGGTCCCCAATGTCTGCAGTAATAGTACTCATCTAATTAACTCCTGCTTTTTTCTTTTGTCTCACTGTTGATGATGACTATAAATGCAGCAAACAAATTGCCAAATTCCAGAGAAAAATAAATACTCTTTTTTTTTTTTTTTTTTTGGTGACATTACTTGGTCAAACTCTCAATTTGTCTTAGAAAATAGAAATGAAAACAATATTACAGTGTTCCCGACTAAGGCTTGGGTGCTCTGGCCTGCATGCACCATGTCTGGCAGAAAAATGACATTGAAGTTGGTGTCTGATGCCCCACAGAGTTGCCATAATGGAGAAGCCCTAGGGACTATAGCACCCAATAGTTACCATGGCGGTTAAGGCCCTACCTGTGTTTTTCTATTTAACAAGAGAAAAATCATTAAACATGGTTTCCTTAGCTTCTACTGGCTGTGAAAATGTGGCAGCAGCATTAGGACATACATCTTCTTCTCGAATTTCTCTTGAGAATTATAGAAGTAATCTGTGAAAACGGAGAATACAAAGGAAATGGATTTCATTATTCCTCCTGCAGAAGGTACATTTACTAGGGGACTAAAAGGTTAGTCGGCTCATTTTTGTTTTTAAATGTGGTCATTGCTGATTTTGAATTGTATTTTGAGTTATTTGGATGAATAAATTAGACACGTAGTCTGTTCTTTGTCTTGGGGAGGTATTATAAACTTTGAAGCTTATAAGGATCAAGCAGGACATGAAAGAATGAAGCGGCCAGGCACAGTGGCTCACGCCTGTAGTCCCAGCACTTTGGGAGGCTGAGGTGGGTGGATCACGAGGTCAGGAAATCAAGACCATCCTGGCCAACATGGTGAAACCCCGTCTCTACTAAAAATACAAAAATTAGCTGGGCATGGTGGCATGTGCCTGTAGTCCCATTATTTTGGAGGTTGAGGCAGTAGAATCGCTTGAACACAGGAGGTGAAGGTTGCAGTGAGCCAAGATCGCGCCACTGCACTCCAGTCTGGCAACAGAGTGAGACTCCATCTGAAAAAGAAAAAAAAAAAAAAAAAAAAAAAAAGGACCAATTGATGCTATAGGGAGTAGCAAGGAGGACACCTGCCCTATGTAAAAGAATGTCTGAGAATCAGCTCCAGCCATTTGTTGCACTTTGGGAATGCAGATCTTATAGTACTTCATCATCTGATTTTTCAAGATCACCTAGAATTTGGAATTTTTGTGTAAATTCTTCTGATTTTTAAATGTTGGCAACTAGTTTGCTGAAAAACAAAATAGAATGTTCTGCAGATTCATACCTGTCTTGCAAATTTGCAAACAGGATTTCATTCTTTTTATGGCTGAATAGTATTACATTGTGTATATATACCACATTTTCTTTAGCCATTCATCCACTGATGGACAGTAAGGTTGATTAAGTAAAGTACGCCAGACACTGAAAGACAAATACGCATGATCTCACTCATATGTGGAATCTAAAAGAGTTAATCTTATAGAAATAGAGAGCAGAGTAGTGGTTACCAGCAGCCAAGAATAATGGCGGTGGTTTGGGAGGAAGAGGGTGAGGAGAGGTTGGCCACCAGGTACAAAGTTGCAATTGGGTAGGAGGAATAACTTCCCATATTCCATTGCACAGTAGAGTTACTATAATTAATAACAATGTTTTGTGGATTTCTGAAGAGTTAGAAGAGCAGATTCTAAATGTTCTCAATACAAAGACACCGTAAATGTTTGAGATCCTGGATATGCCTATAACACTGATTTGGTCATTATACTATATATATATACATTTTAAAACATTGCATTGTACTCCATCAATATGTACAATTATGTGTCAATTAAAAATAAAAAATAAAACGTTAGAAAAAAGCTTGCTTTTGCAACCTGAAAATAAAGCTCTGGAGCTGAAATAATACACATCTATTGTCTGAATGCCACCTATTGTAAACTCTGTTCTAAGTGAACACTAACATATAGAATAGATTAAAGAAAAAACATTCAACCTTCCAAATGTTGAGAAATGTGATGTCAAAATCAGAGCTCTTTTAAATTATCTGAATACTTAGCCTTATATAGTTGAATTATATAAATGGTTGAGTAATATCTTTGCTTTTGTTTGTTGAGATTAGTTATCCTAGAGAGGCATAATGAAGATGGAAAACGCCTGAATTTAAGTCCCAGCTGACCATCAGTTAGCTGGACAAACAAGGGCACTTACCTGACATCTTTAGTTTTCTTTATTAATAAAATAGGACAATAGTTCAGACATCATAGACATAGATAAATATTAAATAAGATGGCACAGTCATGTGCCACTTAACAACAGGAATACTCTACGAGAAATGTGCTCTTAGATAATTTCGTTGTTGTGCTAACATAATAGAGTGTACTTACACAAACCTAGATGGTATAGCCTATAGCCTATTACATGCGTAGGCAATATGGTAAAGCCTGTTACTCTTAGGCTACAAACATGTGCAGCATGTTACTGTACTGAATACTTCAGGCAATTGTAACACAATGGTATTTGTATATCTAAAAATAGAAAAGGTACAATAAAAATATGGTATAAAAGATGTCTTAAAAAGTACACCTGTATAAGGCACTTATCATGAATGGAGCTTACAAGCCTGGAAGTTGTTCTGGGTGAGTTGGTGAGCGAGTGGTGAGTGAATGTGAAGACCTAGGACATACTGTACACTACTGTAGACTTTATAAACACTGGCCACTTAGGCCACACTAAGTTTATTAAAAACATTTATTTCTTCAGTAAGAAATTAACCTTACTTATTGTAACTTTTTAAAAAGTTGTAATTTTAAAAAACACACAAGTAATGCATCATGCTATAGCCTTATTATGGTTTCATCAGTAGGCAATAGAAATTTTTCGGCTCCATTATAATCTTATGGGACCAGTGCCATATATGTGGGCCATCCTTGACCGAAACATCATTATGAGGTGCGTGACTTTATATGTGGAATTTGTATGTCACACGAGCCTTTGAGATCAAGGGACTTCTGTCTTGACTCCTATTAATGGTACAAAACAGAAGTCCCCAACTCCCAGTAATGGTCTGTGGCCTATTATAAACTGGGCCGCATAGCAGATGAGCAGTGGACCAGTGAGCGTGAAGCTTCATCTGTATTTACAGCCACTCCCCATCACTCTCTTGCATTACCGCCTGAGCTCTGCCTCCTGTCAGATCAGATCAGTGGTGGCATTAGATTCTCAAAGGAACATGAACTCTATTGTGAACTGCATATGTGAGGGATCTAGGTTGGGTGCTCCTTACGAGACTCTAACGCCTGATGATTCTTCACTGCCTCTCATCATCCCTGCCATGGGACCATCAAGTTGCAGGAAAACAAGCTCAGGGCACCCACTGATTCTACATTATGGTGAGTTGTATAATTATTTCATTATATATTACAATGTAATAAATCATAGAAATAAAGTACACGATAAACGTAATGTGCTTGACTCATCCTGCAAACCCCTGCCACCCCTGGTCCATGGAAAAATTGCCTTCTATGAAACTGGTCCCTGATGCCAAAAAGGTTGAGGACCACTGGTATAAAGGGAGGTGGGACTGCAGTGTGGGTTCACCATATAGCTGCAAGACAGAGGAGACCAGGCCTTATTCAAGCCTGTAGACTTACTTCTGATCACTGCCACTGGAGGGATACAGCTACAGGGGCTACAAGACCTTTGATGTTTCATAGGAAAATAGTCAGTCTTCCTATCCGTACAAAACAAGGTGCAAGAACAACATGTCCACATGAAATCGTACTTTCCACAAGTAAGATTGACACTTTGGGTTCAATTCTCAGGTAGGGAACATTCTGGTGAAAGTTTTGAGATCTGATTAATTAAGTGCTGTCTGATTGGATCCTTTCTCTTCAAACGCATTTCAAAACCTGTTCATAGCAAAAGTTTCTTTCATTCTCAAATGTGATTGCTACATGAATTTAATGGAGTTCTTTGAATAACTGGAGAGAGAGATAGTAGTTGAAAGTTCTCTTTAATGGGCTTATTGCTTGAATTTAAAATATTTGAGCTTGGCGATCCACAGCCAGGGGTTCATGAAATAACAATAGTGCAGACATTGCAATCTGCTGTCATCTATCAGTCTTCACAAATGTCCTGGTGGTAAGTGAAACCTTGCATTTAAATAAATACATTTGGACCTAATTTCTGCCTTTCATGCTGTGAAAGAACTGTCAAATTTGAAGTATAATGACTGTATGATTTCTTGTAATGGCACCAAAAAAAAAAAAAACATGAAGAACACATTTAAATGTCATCTAAGTAAATTCTCTGTGGGATATAGACCCATTTAGAGATTACTTTCCCTTTCGGCTTTTATACAGCAAAGCAGGAGCACATTGCAAGGAAGCAAGTATAAAGTGATATCTCAAGGAGTAATAGGCAAAGTGAAGCCTCATAGAGCCCAGAAAATGAAAAATGCTGACATTGTTTTAGTTAAACTTCCCTGTTGCTGTGAGAGAAGTGACCTGCAACCGTTATCTGAGATGTATGGCCTTTGCCGTAAGCACATTCTCTGTCTTACACTTGAACTTGCCTAGTGAGACAACCATGCGTATCCTGACTTTTTCTGGATTGATTGGTTTTCCTATATTCCATTTGATATTTCCCTATGAAATATTAATAGAAATTTTAATGTTTTAACATCCATAACAGAGAGCCCTTTATTATATCTCTCTTGATTTTCAGTTTGGGTAAGTCGATTGATTCTGCAATAGGAGAGAATGTGCTGGAATGGACAGGCAAAGGATCAGAGTTCTAGTTCTAGTCCTGTCACCAGTTGGTAGTGTATTAGTAGTATTAACTTGAACACTTTAGCCTTTTAGATTTTTAAATGAAACTCCCTTTTAAAACGTAGGAGGTGGAGGCTGGGTGTGAATCCCAGCACTTTGGGAGGCTGAGGTGGGTGAGAACTTTCACCAGAGTGTTCCCTACCTGAGAATTGAACCCTTGAGCTCAGGAGTTTGAGACCAGCCTGGGCAACATGGTGAAACCCTGTCTCTACAAAAAAAAAAAAAAAACACAAGAATTAGGCAGCCACGATGATGTGCGCTTATAGTTCCAGCTACTTGGGAGGCTGAGGTGGGAGGATTGCTTGAGCATTGGAGGTCAAGGCTGCAGTGACTTGTAATCATGCCAATGCAATCCAGCCTGGGTGACAGAGAGAGACCGTGTCTCAAAAAAAAAAAAGACAATAATAACAATTTTATAAAAAAATAAAATTAAAAGTAGGAGATGGAATAAGTCAGTCATTTTCAAAATGTGCTCTCTGGCTCTCAAGGTTCTGCAGAGTTGCCTCAAGGATCACCATACTGTTTGCCAGCCTAGCTAGGAGACTGGGTCTTTCTCTCTACACATCACACAAATTTATGTTTGGAAAAACAACACTAAAGTTTGAAAATCAGTGTCATAGATAATCTAGAAGAATTTTTTCTAGTTTCAGCATCCTGTAATATGTGTGGTTCTTTGTTTCTTCATAAAAATAATTTTCAGCAAAACCACTTATTGGCATTCAGGTATGTATTAGAGTATAATGCTCATAATGATGTTTGGTGCATTTTCTAGAAGAGATGTTCCTGTGTTACTTAACAATGGGAATCTATTCTGAGAGATTTATTGTTAGATGATTTCATCTTAGTGCAAAAATCACAGAGTATACTGACATAAACCTGGACGGTACAGCCTGCTACCGAGGCTATATGGTACAGCTTAGTGCTTCCAGGCTGCAAACCTGTAGAGCATGTTACTGTACTGAATACTATAAGCAACTATAATACAATGGGAAGTATTTATTTATCTAAGCAGAAAATGTACTATAAAAATATGATATAATGGTAAAAAATGCACACCTGTCTAGGGCACTTACCATGAATGGAGCTTGCAGAACTGGAAGTTGCTCTGAGTGAGTTAGTGAGTGCTGAGTGAATGTGAAGGCCTAAGACATTACTGTACACTACTTCAGACTTTATAAACACTGTCCACTTAGACTACACTATAATTTTTAAAACATACATATTTATTTTCTTTAATAATAAATTAAGCTGACTATAATTTCTTTCTCTACAAACTTTTTAGTTTTTTAAAACTTTTTTGACTTTTGTAATGACAGTTTAAAACACAAACACATTATAAAGTTGTATATGAATATTTTCTTTCTTTATATCCTGATTTCATAAACTTTTTTCCTATTTCTAAAATTTTTAATTTTTTTTTTACTTTTTAAACTTTTTAAATTAAAAACTAAGACAACACACACGTTAGTATTGGCCTACACAGGATCAAAATCATCAAGATATTACTATATTATAGGAAATTTTTAGTTCTATTATAATCTTAAAATGGGACCATTGTGGTAAACACAGTCCATTGTTGACCAACATGTCATCATGCAGCACATGATTGTACTCAAACTGACTTGTTCCTTCTACACTGTAAGTTTCATGAGTGGAAGGATCTTGTCTGTCTGAATCATGCTGAATTGCTAGCGTCTAGACATAACATAATACATAGCAGATGCTCAACAAAGTCTGGATGGATTAACGAATGAGTATATGAATGAATACATGAACCCTATCCAGATTCTTTTGGTTTGGACTCGGAAATTCAACTTCTTTTCCATTGACACATTATATCCCTTTCTCCTTTTGCTGTCTTTTCAGTTTGTAACCTCTAAGAAATTTGTGCCAGGGATACTTATCAGCAATTACCTTTTGGTAAATTGTCCCTGCTATCCCAGGAGAATATCAGATGACTTTGGAACCAATGCAGGCTACAACATGGAACATATTTTTCTTTAATAGCAACCACATGAAAAAAATCAAATGGAGTGATAGCAGTGATATGAACAGTACTCCAGAACTCATCCTATGCCTCTGTATTTAATTCATTAATTAATTCATCCAACAGACTTTTATTTTCTCCTCTCAGCTGGATAGTATGCTAGGGAATAGGGAGTTCATAGTCTTTTAGATGAGGCACATATTTAGAAAGATGGTGACACTGACACAATATGAATAAATGTCATGAGAGAGATGTTAGAAGAATGCTTTGGGAGCCACAGCAGTGAGTAATTTCCCCTGGCTAGGAATATCCATTAGATGCTTTTGGAAGCATTTGACCAATGATGCTTAAACAATTTTTAAGTTACAGTAGTAGACAGTCCCAGGGTTGGTGTAGTATCCAGTGTGATATCATAAATGTGGGTTCTTCCTGCACCTCTTCTCTGCCATCCTCACCATGCCAGCCATCCCCTCAGGATACAGCTTGGCTGCTGCAGCTCAGGAAAAACAAGCTCGTGAGGTTGCTTTCGAAGAAGACAGGCAGTTGGAGTGGCAAGAGAAGGAAACTCTCTTAACACACTTCTCTCCATTTATTAGAGAGGAAAGTGACTCCTAGATGCTGCTAACCAGGTATCTCTTATGTTTCCCTGGCTAGATGTGGCTCACGGGCTACTTCAATGTTTGATCTGTGTCTTGAAGGACTTGCTAGGGCTTGCCTGGAGGAGAATCAGGAGCATTCTAGGCAGAGAGACATAGAGGGACATGCAGGGACATGGGGTTATGGAAAAGCTCCACGCATTTGAGGACCAGAAGAAAGCTTAGTGTGGCCATGGAATAAGTTGTTAGAGAGAATGTGGCATTAAACAACACTGAAGAGAAAGAGGGAGATTTATTTGTATGCCATGCTAATGATTTTATAGGCCATTCTGATCATAACTTCAGAGTGAAAGCTGCTCCTGTTGGTAACCCCAAAAAAACCACAAGTGGAAGTCATATGAAAGAGGAAAACCATCACAGCTTTTTCCCTGGAAATTAACTTTGATGAGAAATAAATGATAAAATTTACTGAAATGAGAATGCATGTAAATAATATCCGTGTGGCAGGTGATTTTGTTTTAACAAATTGTATCTTAGCTCTAACCCTGGGCCTTTGAGAAATTTCACTAACATGAAAGAGCATTGTTTCAAAAATCCTCTATTTTTAGAAATGCTATTAGCAGAAGCATCAGCTGTAACCTTTTCCTTGTTCTTTCCATGTCATGCACATTAATTAACACTTCCACCTTAAAAGAATGTGTTTCTTCCCATGTGCTGGGAATGATATTTTAGAAGCATGCTTTAGATTAGAAACGTCAAGAAAAATAAAATGGGATGATATTAAAAATGCTCTTTGCTGCATGTAATTTCCTGTTTAGACCACCCCCCACCCCATCACAATTAGTTAGAATTTATGATTTGCTTTATGGAGGGCAATGAGGTTGAAACTTACCTTTTCAGGATCTTTGGAAAATGATTTGATAGCCAATTAAATGGTACGCAGAAGACTATAGGAGAGCTATTGTAAATACAAAGAGAATAAAGTTTTAGACGCTTTGGAAATTCCCATTTGCAGACAGTTCGCATGGAATTATTACCTAATTATTAAATCAGGATTATCCAAAAAGTCCTAATGAGAAAACACATATCATGATTTAAAGTTCTATTCATACTTGAATGATGAAACTGTGCTTTTTAATAAAATTTATTGTTAACCTTTTACTAATTTATATTGGCTTTCCCTAACTCCTCAGAAAATGATATCTGCTTTCTGACTACCTATACATAATCTACTAAAAGCAAATTTGTGTGATTTTTTTGGATTTATTTGTATGCCATGATAATGATTATATAGGCCATTCTTTCCACATTAGTAAAGATTTTCCTTTGGTGTTTAGATTCTAAAATAGTCAAACTACTGCAAATACTCCAGTTTTGGAAAGCCATTAATTAAACTTTTCTACAAGTTTCTTGCAATTAGGATTTTGTAGACATCCCCCTTTTATGTCAATTTAATAAAGATAACAAAATAGAGTACAGAGAAAGCTTAAAAACAACACAAATTAAAAACAATAGCAGCAAGATAACCATGGCTTCCCCCAACCCTACACACAGTTTTTATCTTTTTGCAACTAGCTTTTTTTTATTATTATTATTATACTTTAAGTCTTAGGGTACATGTGCACAATATGCAGGTTAGTTACATATGTATACATGTGCCATGCTGGTGCGCTGCACCCACTAACTCGTCATCTAGCATTAGGTATATCTCCCGATGCTATCCCTCCCCCCTCCCCCCACTCCACAACAGTCCCCAGAGTGTGATATTCCCCTTCCTGTGTCCATGTGATCTCATTGTTCAATTCCCACCTATGAGTGAGAATATGCTTTTTAATAGATGTTGGAAACTGTCCTAGTAAGAATTCTCAAAATGCAGGAGTAAGATTTTTCATAGTGATTTTGAAGGAGTATATAATCCTTTGAAAATATAAGTAGTAAATAAATTACATTTTTATTATTCAATAAAGATTTTTCCAACTTGAGGTATAACTGGTAATAAAAAAACAACATAATATAAACAATTTGATGAGTTCAGAAATATGTGCACACTCATGTTACTATCACCAAAATCAAGGTAATGAACGTATTTATCATTAAGGAAGTATTTAAAGGTATACTTTATCACCAAATGCTGGAGTTTTGGCATGTGTCTCATATTTCAAAAGTTGATGTAAGATTTAAAAAATAGGCCAGTCGTGGTGGCTCATGCCTGTAATCCTAGCACTTTGACACCCAGACAGCAGGATTGCTTGAGCCCAGGAGTTCAAAAGCAGCCTGGCCAACAAGGTGAAACCCTGTCACTACTAAAAATACAAAAAATTAGCCGGCGGTGGTGGTGGGTGCCTGTAATCCCAGCTACTTGGGAGGCTGAGGTAGAAGAATTGCTTGAACCCGGGAGGCGGAGGTTGCAGTGAGCCGAGATAGTACCACTGCACTCCAGCCTGGGCAACAAGAGCGAAACTCCATCTCAGAGAAAAAAAAAAAAAAGTAACACATGAAATTGAGTTGATTCTAAATAGCCAGGAGGATATGCCCATCAAAAAGATGCACTATAAATTAAGGTGCTCAGATTCTGATGATGAATCAGGAACTCTGAGGGCCCTAAGGAGACTAAGATGAGGGCCCCTCTGGAAGGAGCTCTGACATGGGAAAATGGAGCCTGAAAAAGCTAAATGATTTGCCTGTGTCTCTTGGATAGTAACTGGCAGATCTGAAACAAGAACACACCACTTAGGAATTTCTTGAAAATGTTCACTAAGTCTGGTGCTCTTTTTATAAAGACACGTGGTAAGAAAAAAAAGTTACCTTTAGTTTTTAAAACTGGCCTGACCTCACATATCTGAAAGCTTCTGGAATCACCTATTTGGCATCTAGCTGAGTAGATGAATCTTTTAGAACATTGATAAAGAAATCTTTACATTTGTATTGCACTTATATTTTCAAATGGCTTCCATGCCTACTTTAGCATTAAACCTTTTTACTTCTTAACCTTATTACTTACCTGTAGCTGATGGTTTCTCCCCACTTCATAGATCAAGAACAGAAATGACAGATGGTAATGGTTTAGTGGGACTCTACCCAAAGTACAGATTTCTCATTCATAACTATTCATAGATTTCCTGGAACTTACCCTGCTTCACTGTTTGTTCATGAGTTGATATTTTAAAAATTAAACAATCTGATTCTAAAGATTTAACCAACTTGAAATTGTAGGCTCCCACAGTTTTGGATCTTCTCGGTCAAGGCCTAACATTCTAATTTAGACTTCTTGTGTTGAAGCTATTTCTAACACTTAACCGTGTGCCTTTTAAGAAAGTCACTTTTCCACTCTCAGGCTCAGTTTTCTGTTTTTGCATGTATAAAAAGTAATAGTCATGTAACTAAGTCTTAGAGGTGTGAAGATTCGGGAAATAAGATAAAGTATTTAATAAAGTAGTCGTTTTAAAAAATTAATTCAACTGATTTATTGGTCACTTACTGTGCACTAAACTGTAAAATGTTAGTTGGTATTGTTAATGATGTTCCCTCTTTGAATTCAAAAGTTATTTATCCATACTTTAAATAATAGCATTTTCAAACTGGAAGCAATTATGGTCATCAACTACTTTAATATTATCATTTTATAACTGAAGAAGCACAGGTTCGTTACTTTTTTTTATCAGGGTCATATAGTAAGTGATTGACAGATGTGATAACATTAAAATATCATTCTTGTAGATATGCAAACCAGGTCAGGAACCCCAGTGTGGTCCCCTAGTTATTCTGTGACCACAGCTTCTGACTTTACTTCCTTGACCTTGGCACCTTTATCTGCAACTTGGAGATGATTATTGTACCCAATGGGACTATTATCAAGATTAAATTTGGTAATTTAGCGTAGTGCTTGGTATATAGTACATGTTCAATGAACACTATTGTTCTGCTGTTCCTTTGTTTTCTAAAAATTAAGGATATTACAATTGCTTATTCAAAGCATTTGTAGCAGTAGAATTCTGCAGACAGATCCCCAAGTTTATTTTGTTCTTCATAACCAATGTATGAGAACATTCCACTTACTGTTGGTCCATTTGCTAGGACTTTATAGATACGAGTTACATGCAATCAGTTTTATTTCTTTTGAGCCCTATGTCTACACTTCAGTTAATTTTGACCAAGTCTTTGGGCAATGATTATTTATGTACTTGAACCAGCTAAACATTGCTAAAACATGAAAATGCAAATGAGAATTTTTCTTACAATCTGATTTTGTTTATGGTGTGAGTTTGTGTGTTCTATTTTGAAAGAAACAGAGATAGCCTTTCTGTAAGGAGATAATGCAAACTATTAAGCTGCTGTGTTTCTCTCTTTCTCATGGGCTGTGCTGGGTTCCATTGGTCGTTTTCTTTTTCTCTCTCTAATTTCTTCAGTTTCTCCTTTTTCCTTTATTGACAACTGGGTTATTTCTTCCATGTATTCTTGTACAAATTCCAAAGGGGAGAATCTTTCTGGACTAGCTAATTATAGCTGCTCTCATGGGGCAGAGATTTTTTTGTTGTTGTTGCTGCTGTTTATTTTGTTTTGTTTTCAACAAGGTCTCTTCATAGATCTCTATCTAGCCTACCTGTCTGTTGTTGATCTTGAGTCAGGTAAACTCCATTGGTTCAGCCCATGCCCACCCATTATTCCAGTAGAAACGTAAGTTCTTCTTTACTGAGCAGGAGCCTCTGAGTGAAGCAGCTTCCCACATGGGGGACAATGATTGTGGAAGGGACTCTGACTGGCATGGACAACACACATATACATTAAAAATACACCTCTTCTTTGATTAGCCAGTTAAATGAACTAATTTCTAATTATCAGTGTTGGTGGAATAAAATGTAATTTAATAAATATTCTTAAAACACCTACGATGTACAAAGTTCACAAAGGGGTGGTAGAGAAAGGTAAATCCTGGGCACAATGTATTTGTTTTCTCTAACTTAATTCAGCTTCAGTTAAATACCTAGTTTCTTCCTGGGTTAAAGAGAAAACAACTTTCAACTTACTGTGCGTGTTCTCCTAGAATCACAGGCTTTGGGGAGGACAAACTCCTCAGCAGGGCTTTAGAGCTTTGGCTGCGTGTCAGAAGGTCTTTTACAGCTGACTTCTGCTAGCCTGTACTCACCAACTATCAGAGAGGAGAGGTCCGGAGTATTCCCAGTGAAGTGCTCACTCTGCTGCGTGTGTGTGCTCATGTGTCACTGTGCACATCTGTGAGGAAGTGTGAAAATAGGCATCTTCATATGCCTTTGGGAAGAGTGAATTTTGTTGTTTCCCATGACTTGACTTAAATCACAAGAGGAGAAGGTTTCCAAAAACATGCTGATATATTGCTGTAGCTGTTGGGTATCTTCTTCCAAACAGGAGCAAGTTTCCCTGGCAACCATATTGTAAGTCACTCCCTCATGGCCTTGCCCATTCTTGATAGAACTTACCACTGCAATGCGTAATAGGCTTCTTTGCAGAGCTTCAACCTCATTTGTAAAAATTGTGGCAAAATACACTGAACATAAAATTAGCCATTTAAACATATATGATCCAGTGATATTTAGTACATTCATAGTGTTGTACAACCATCACCACAATAACTTCCTTCTAATGGTTAAAGTAACCTAAAGCAATTGTACTTTGTCTATCATTTTTAATTTGTTCGTATGTTTTATTTTAAAATATATAATGGAATATTTTTAAAAGAATAATTACGCCCTAAATGCTTATATAGTATGTAGGTAGAGGGATTTTCTAGACAATTCTTTTCGTGTAAAATATTGTGCTTATGATCTGCTGAGGGAGAGATAGACAGACAGATATATGCCTGTTGACACTGGCCTCACTTTTTGATGTGTGACTTGTAACTATAGGTTTTTTAAAAAATACAACTGTAATCTCAAAGAAATAACATAAAGTACCATCTTATCTTTTGACTCAATATGCATCATTTGTTTGTTGAACACTATCCTTCCTTTTAATTTGCTATCATGCCATGTTTAATCTTGTAGTGCAAAGAACATTTACTCACAAGTTAGGAAACTGCCATGTAATAGGTGGACAACCTTGAGCATGACAATCTCCTTCTGTGAGTCTCCGTTTCTTCTTCTATAAACTGAATGGATCATAGCCATTCAACAAAGAGCCTGCTGTGTGTCTGGCACTCATATGCTGCAGACACTGTGAACATAACAGTATCTTCCCTGTCTTTCTTGAAGGGTTGTTGCCCTCCAACTTAAATGTTAGGGATGATCTGCAGAAGAAATGGGTGCTACCAAGTCCCAGGCAAGATGTCTCTCGTAGCCAATGCTGCAGACCTGAGAATTCTGGAAAGTATAGTTCCAGTTTAGCTAACTTTGGACTTTACAAATATGCCATAAACAGCCATAAACACTGAATGGATTAAAGAAAGCTGATGCAAAAGTCATGATAGGGAGAGAGCCAGATTTGTAGGGTAAAACTATTTTATCTAGCACATGGTATAACCTTAGAAATTATTAGTTACTTTTTTTTTGGAGATGTATATTGAGTGAAGCTGTCAATCATAAGGGCCATCAGATAACTAAGGAGGCTTAGAAAGAGGATGGTCTTAGAGGGACTCTTAGGCCCAACCTGATGACCTGAAAGGGAATGCCTACCCTGACTGAGCCTGGCACTGTGAAGCATGCAGCTAAGTTCTCACGTGCCAATGAAGTCTGACCATTGCATTACTGGCATACCTCATTTTATTGCATTTGGCTTTATTGTGTGATATGGTTTGGCTGTGTCCCCAGCCAAGTCTCAGCTTGAATTGTATCTCCCAGGATTCCCACATGTTGTGGGAGGGACCCAGGGAGAGGTAACTGAATCATGGGGACCAGTCTTTCCTGTATTATTCTCGTGATAGTTAATAAGTCTCACGAGATCTGATGGGTTTATCAGGGGTTTCTGCTTTTGCTTTTTCCTCATTTTTCTCTTGCTGCCACCATGTAAGAAGTACCTTTCACCTCCTGCCATGATTCTGAGGCCTCCCCAGCCACGTGGAACTGTAAATCCAATGAAACCCTTTTTCTTCTCAGTTTTGGGAATGTCTTTATCAGCAGCATGAAAACGAACTAATACATTGTGCTTCTCAGATATGGTGTTTATTAAAAATTGAAGCTTTTCAGCAACCTTGCATCAAACAAATCTGTTAGTTCCATTTTTCCAACAGCATGGGCTGTGAGTCACATTTTGGTAATTGTCACTATCCTTCAAACTTTTTCATTATTATTATATCTGATATAATGATCTGTAATCAATGATCTTTAATGCTATTAATGTAAGTGTTTTCGGGTACCATAAATCATGCCTGTGTAATATAGAGAACTTAATTGATGAATGTTGTATGTGTTCTGACTGCTCCACCTGCAGGCCGTTTCCCCTCTCATTTCCTCTTCTTGAGCTTCCCTATTCCCTGAGACACAATCATACTCACACTAGGCCAATTAATAACCCTACAGTGTCCTCTAAGTATTCAAATGAAAGAGAGTTGCATGTCTCACATTTTAAATCAAAAGCTAGAAATGAAGCTCAATGAGGAAGGCAAGTAGAAGGCCAAGAAAGGCTGAAAGCTAGGTCTCTTGAGCCAAACAGTTAGCCAAGTTGTAAATGCAAAAGAAAAGTTCTTGGAGAAAATATAAAGTGCTACTCTGATGAACACACAAGTGATAAGAAAGCAAAACCACCTATTGCTGATAGGGAGAAAGTCTGAGTGGTCTAGATGGAAGATGAAACCAGCCACAACATTCCCTTAAGCAAAAGCCTAATCCCAAGCAAGGCCCTAACTCTCTTTAATTCTTTGAAGACGAGAGAGGTAAGGAAGCTGCAGAAGAAAAGTTACAAGCTAGCAGATGTTGGTTCATGAGGTTCAAGGAAAGAAGCCATCTCCATGACATAAAAGTGCAAGGTGAAGCAGCAAATGTTGATGCAGAAGCTGCAGCAAATGCTGATGCAGAAGCTGCAGCAAATGATTCAGAAGATCTAGCTGAAATCATTGATGAAGGTGGCTACATGCAGCAACAGATTTTCAATGCATATGAAACAGCCATCTTTTGGAAGAAGATGTAATATAGTACTTTCATAGCTAGAGAGAAGAAATAAATGCCTGGTTTTAAAGCTTCACAGGGCAGGTTGATTCTCTTTTTGGAGGCTAATGCAGCTAGTGATTTTAAGTTGAAGTCAGTGCTCATTTGCCATACTGAAAATCCTATGGCCCTTGAAAATGATGCAAAATCTACTCTGCCTGTGCTCTAGAAATGGAACAGCAAAGCCTAGCTTACAGTTTATCTGTTTACAGCATGATTTAGTAACTATTTTAAGCCTACTGTGAGACCTACTGCTCAGGAAAAAAAGAGATTATTAAAAAAAAAAATTCCTGGTCATTGACAACGCACTTGCTTACCTAAGATCCCTGATGGGGATGTACAAGGAGATGAGTGTTGCTTTCATACCTGCTAACACAACATTAATTATGCACCCATGGATCAAGGAGTTACTTTGACTTTCATGTCTTATTATTTAGGAAAACATTTCATAAGGCTATAGCTGCCATAGATGGTGACTTCTCTGATCGATCTGAGCAAAATAAATTAAAAACCTTCTGGAACATTTGTGATTCATGGGAGGTGGTCAAAATAGCAATGTTAGTAAGAGTTTGGAAGAAGTTGATTCCAACCCTCATGAATGACTTTGAGGAGTTTAAGACTTCAGAGGAAGAAGTAACTGCAGATATCATAAAAATAGTAAGAGAACTAGAATGAAAAATGTAGCCAGAAGATGTGACTGAATTACTACAGTCTCATGCTAAAACTTGAATAGATAAGCAGCTCCTTCTTATGGATAAGCAAGGAAAGTGGTTCCTTGAAATGGAGCCTACTCCTGGTGAGGATGCTATGAACATTTTTGAAATAACTAGAAAAGATTTAGAATGGTACAGAAACTTTGATGATGAAGCAATGATAGGGTTTGAGAGGATTGACTTCAATTTTGAAAGAAGTTCTACTGTTGGTAAAATGCTACCAAACAGCATAGCATGCTACAGAGAAATCTTTTGTGAAAGAAAGAGTCAACCAAGGCTGCCAACTTCATTGTTGTTTAATTTTAAGAAACTGCCACAGCCACTCCAACACTGAGCAATTACCACTCTGATCAGTCACCAACCATCGACATTGAGGCAAGACCCTCTGCCAGCAAAAAGATTGCAAGTCACCGAAGGCTCAGATGATCATTAGCAATTACTAACTGTAAAGTATTTTTAATTAACATGTACATATATTAAGACAGAATGCTATTATGTCCTTAGTAGACAACAGACAAACATAACTTTTATAATGCACTGAAAAACCAAAACGGTTGTTACTCACTTTGTTGCAAATTTGCTTTATTGTGGTGGTCTGGAATGGAACCTGCCAAATCTTAGTGTATGCTTGTATTTTACTCAATTCATCTCCAAAAGCCCATGCAGACATTTGATTGACTCACTTTTATGTTTCCAGTTCTTCATATGATGTTTGGTGCACAGTTTGGTGTATACTCATGAATATTTATTGAATGAATGATGATAAGCACTGTATAAAGGTTATTTCACTTAGTAGCAACAACTTTGTTGAGTAAGTTTGGATTACTGCTTTACAGATGAAGACATTGAGAGTCTAAGAGTTTGCCTGATTTGCACAAAGTCAGACAGCAAGTGATAGCGAGATTTTTGAATCTATTTCTACATAATTCTAAAGAACACAGTGGTTGAGGTACAGTTGTCAAACCCTGGTCAATATTGCAGCTATTTCTGCACTGGCTTTTGCATCAGTTTCTTGTGAGCTTTGTTTCTGTAACTCCGTATTGACAAGTGCAGATAAACCTTGGAATTAGATGACGTCACTTTGGTTCTCTTTCGGGCTGGGGACCTGACCCAGGACTATAACAAATTAACTAAATTGACCCACTTGAGCATGTCTGTCTGTTTTGTCAGGTGGCAACCCTCTGTCAATGGACTTCAAAAAGCGCAATCTACCTTGCACCATAGTAGGTGCTCAATGAATACTTCTGAAATAAAGGATGGAATGAATGGATAACTTATTTTTTAAACATATTGTAATAGGACATATGTCCTGCTGATGATAAATCACTAGTGGCTTTTTCATTCTTAAAGGACACAAGAAGCATGATTTCATGTTTTAAATCATTGATTAGCTTGAGGCTAATTATCTGGTGAATGTTAGGCTCTGAGAGGGTGGGGAATAATCTGTCTGCAATTGTCTGCAATTCTCCTACAGGTGCTCCAAACAGGCTCCCTGCTGAACTCATTTCAGGAACAAAGTGTATCTTCCTTCTTGCTTATCTAAAAAGAAGTCTTAGTTTCAGCCTTTGAATCATTAAGTGCCAGTAATACCCAAAGCTATTTTATTCTAATAGACCTTAAAAATAGTTGGTTTGCTTAATAAATATTTCGAAGATGGAAAATATGCATTTTCTAAGGGGATCTTTCATACTTTGTGACAAGTGGGGTCCTGGTGGAACACTGCTGTAAATATCTATAAATAACTATCATTTTCTCCTTTATTCACTTGCTATTCCACAATGCCTTTATGCAGAGAGCATGCGCGGGTTATTGAGGGAAAGCTTTATCTGCTGGTCAAATATCTGTCTGCAGATCACCAGAATGCCACTTCTAGGATGGAATGCATTTGAAAAATAAGATTACAAGAACCAAAGCAGAGATTATAGAGTATTTTAGACTGGGCTGAATAAATAATAGGAATTGCTTCCAAGGGCATGGAAAGAGCTTCTGAGATCACTGTGCAGTTCTTCCAGGTTTTGCTAAACCCTTAAATTGAGTGAGAGGCACATGAATTTTGAGTGCATCTTTTGTAGTAGACTTTAGCTGAATATATTAAAATTCTTACTGGTGTTGGACACAGAACATTCTAAACAGCTTAACAGATGAAGACCAATTTTTTTTTTCAAAATTTAACATTCAAGGGTTTTTTAAAGAGAATTCAAGATAACATCTTGTAATTTACAAACTATTCCTAGAGAATGAATATTGTTGGTAGTAAATTACAATATACTGTTTTAATAGTCTGGGAGCAAAAGACAAGTGATAACCATATTAATGGAAGGCTGATGATATCTTGTAGGCTCATTTTTTTTCTAATGGAAAATACTCAACTATTCCTTAAGACAGAGGTTGTATTGTATTATGAATTTGTGGTTTTTAAATTTTGTTCTCTGGAAGGTACAGAGGTGCATAGTTGGGTGAGGATGGGAAATGTGTGTAGGTGGCCTAGATCTGCCATCACTACCTTCCCAGCCCCCTCCCCAATGTCCTCGACTAACATAGTGTTATTTTTTACTATTTTATGTGTTGACATTCTACCTAATATGTCTTTTAAAAAATTTTTCCTTTACTAAATAAGAAAGTTTGAAAATCAGCTATTGAAAGGAAAATGGAGAGGACTTAAATCATCATATTCTTCTTTTAAATAATAAAGTTGAAGGATTCTAGTGACAGATTTTAGTAAAAGAAGCAGTGTAAGAAATCCAGCAGCGAGAAGTTAGATGACAGACAAGCGGAATTAGGGCATAAAGCCAGTCCTGGGCTTTGGTCCCAAGAAGGTCATTAGATCCCCCAGCACAGGGAATTTTAGCCAAGGTAGTAACTTGGTGGTTGCACATCATGTCAATCCTGATAGTAAAAAAATATCCACAGAGGGCCATGAAAAAGCACAATACTAGAATAGCAAATTTGAGTGAGCCAGTACAAGGGAACTGCCTAAAAGATTGGGTACACTCTTGCCTCCTGATAGAATTATTTTTCCTCCTTGAGGATAGAAAAGGAATAAATGGTAACTAATTTGTCACTTGGTAATAATAGAAAGAGAAGATAAAATGAATCATGTACACAAAAAAATTCCCAGTTTTAGGAGAGTGCATTGTCAAAGTGGAAGATATCCCCCAATCTTATGATTCATTTGCACTCTGTTTCTTTAATTGCTTTATAATCAGCTGCATAAATATTTGGGCTTTGTTGCCCAGAAAAGGGAGCTGTATATCTTCTGCATGAAAATTGTAAGAGGATGATTTCAGGGCCTCATTTGGTATTTAGCTGCTTGTTCTATCACAGAGCCAGCTTCAGTGACTCTCATTTCAAAGACGAGTAGGGTGAATGTTAGCGGAATAGCAATGCATTGTATGGGTATGATCACAAACATGATACTACCATTTTTAGAAAGGCCATGGCTCCATATCAATCTTTAACATCTGGGATTAATAGTGTCTCAAAGTATCCAGGTTTTAAAATGTTGACCACCATCTTCAAATATAGCTTATTACATGTGAATTTTCTGATCCTTTCCAATGGCTTCATTTCTACACTTTATTGCTAAAATTTATATAAGATTATCTAACTTATATGAGTATAGTATATGTGTGTGTGTGTGTGTGTGTGTGTGTATATATATATATATATTTCCCCCAGAATAATTCTTTACCAAGATGCACATAAAATTACCAAATCATAAGGAAATATAAATGGGATGAAATCTAAACATCCTTCTAACCTTAATAGCCTCTGGGTGCAAATAAGTTCACAATAGTATTTGTATTTCACACACTCTGATTCCTGTTCACACCTGTTTGTGTTGTGTATCCCACCCACTGTCAAGTCTCTTCCAGAGTCCTGGAAGTGTTTGAACTGCTTCTCCATCAGCCACATTCCCCATGTGATGGCCACCATATTCTACTTATTTTGCTACTTCCCTGGCTCTGATATCCTCTTCTTTTGAATTCATTTGTTTGTGCCTGTCTCCTCCACTGCTGCCAGAACCCACCAAGAGAACACCAAATGCTACAAAAGTGATATCTCCTAGAATTCTGAAAGTATTTCATTGTCAAGGACTTAGATCTGAGCCATGTGGCATGAAAAAATAGAGGATGGCCCTGCACTCCAGTGTTACTTTTTGTCACCTGGGTTATATACCTGGTCCATTGTACACTGCATCTCACAGGATTTCTTGGGGAAACAGCCTTTTCTGCTGCCACCTGCAGCCCTCTCTCTAAAGGAGTGGCCCCAATTTGGGAGGCTGGAAAACCTTCACCACATTGCCCACTCTATCTCTTGCCCAAGAATTTTGTGCATAACACTTTCCTCTTTCCAGGTGCCTTTCTTCTCCTTGTATTATACTTAAATGGAAAAGATGGTCAGTGATGTCATTCACTCATTCTCCACTTTAGTGGAACTGATACCTCCTTTGTTTCTGGAATTTCACAATGAATAAGTGACTTGTGTGCTCTTGAGCCTACCATACTAAAGAGATGAAAAGATGCTCCACCTGGGTGGAACCCCACGTGTGCTCAAGCAGCTCTACAGAGTGAGTTGTAGAGGAATAAAAAGAGACTCAGGAAACCTGAGAAATGGTAGATGCATTAACAAGCACTACTAGTGTTTGTTATAGTGCTTCATTAGCTTTTGTTCACCTTCAAAGCGTTTCTTGTGCTGGCAATAACATTGAGAAATTACACACCAACAGAGAAAATGCCTTCAACATTTTTCTTTTAATGATTTGTGCTTCCTATTGGGGCATGAACACCTTGGGTTCTGTCCAAATGGCATTCGAAACTAGTCTCTTCAAACAGTGCCAGGCTGAAGCGGCACAGTCTGCTCCGTGTGCGGCAACCACACAGTAAGTCATTTTGTTCTAATTCATATATTTTTTGTGTGTGTGGCTGTATTTTAAGCACAACTAGGGAGCCAGATTATTGTGTTGAATGTATGTTTCCCTCATTACATGGCTTTCATTTTATTTACATTAATTTTCTTTGGAAGCCAGTATGATAGCCAATTCATTTTAGTCTTGGCTGGCTGGCTTTTCTTCCCCTCTTCCTTCTCTTCTCTTTCTTTCTTTCTAATCAGTGTCTTTCTTAGCTTCTTTCCATCCCAATTCTCTTCCTAAATTTATATTTCTAGTTTTCTTATCTTCTTAATTACTTTTCTTTCTTTGTAAATTCCTCTCTTCTACATTCCCTTTCTTCTACTCTCCTTTCATTCTTGGCATTTAAGTCTTTAGAAAGATAACTTGCTGCCAATGTTCCTTCTAAGAAGGTGTCCACGTCTGAATCTGTATTTTTAATCTTGGATTTTTCCGAACTTTTGCATTGTGATGTATTTCTACAGTGGTGATATTGTCAATGTCTTTTCAAACTTTTTTCTCTTTTTAAGATGATTCCTGACAGTCTTTCCTACTCTTTGGTAACGCAGCTTTGGGTTTCTCAACTCAAGGAGGCTTAGGAAAGAGGGATACCTTTTGAACAGAAACAAGGATGGTGATGGGAGATGAGATGGGTACAGACTAGACAAATTCTTTTGCAAAAAATGCTGGAGAAGCAGAGAATGATCACCAGGTAAAGAGACAAGCCAGGGATTACCTTGTCTGCAAATGACTTGCATGATTTCATCTGGAAGGGGGATTCCAATTGATCTTTGTGACTCCAGAGAGCACAATATGGAAGAGGAAATTAGAAGAACACGATGAAAAATCAACTTTAGACCAGGTTCCTATTATTCCAAGGCAAGCCTCCTTTGGAACCTTTTAGGGAACCTTTTAGGGAAATCCACTTAACATCAACCTCTTCAGTCTGACCATTCATAGCACTAATTATCTAATCCTTAAATCTTTGCTATTGAATATATTCAATTAAAAACGTTATCATATATTATCCCTTCTTGTTATTTAATTGCTTTATATTTCTAGTTTCTGTTTTTAGATTATATAATTACCTTGAGAGTCAGAAAAGTGTCATTCTCTTCTTCAGACCATGTCAGACAAAACTTGTCCTCATTATATTGAATTATATTTGAAGTAGGATTCTTTTTAAAAAAAAATAGATCTAAAATTATAATATTGTGGAAATGTGGCTGATTTTGGCAGGCATGGCCTGATTTGAGTGGAAGAGTTCTGCATAGTCTGTGCTCATCTTGCAAAATTCAGAAGCAGAGATTTCAAGACCGTGGAAACAGTTTCCCTGCTACTAACCTTTATTAGTCTCATGAATATAGGCTAGAAATCTAAACCCAAAGGTGATGATGAGAAATTGTTGATAAGCTTTCATTGAGCATAAAACACATAAAATGTTACAGTTAGAATGTTGGCCTTTTGGGATCACTGATCCAATGCCCTTATTTTATAAATGAGAAAACCGAGGTCCAAGGACATAAGCAACTTGCCCAAATTTGGTCTCAGTGCTAGTGAATGGAAGAAACCTTAAACTTGGAACTTCTCATGCCTTTCACAGTGTTGTGTCTTGAATTATTATTGTGGTTTTTAGGTGTGCCAGGAGCCCTTCACAGGTTTGCCATCAAATCTTGATGAAGTTGTGAATGTGTGTAACAAATGGGACCATATACTATCATTACAACAGATGCCGGATTGCCTCCCAGCATCTAGTGTTACTCTAATACTCTGACAAAGTTCTTACATCCATTTAACAAATAACTTATTTTCATGCCTACTATGTGCCAGGCTCTAGGTCAAGTGCTGAGAGCCAAGTGCTCTAGATGGCGTTGAGATATGTCTCTTGGCTCCTACCTCAGCTGGCTCTTCCCAGTACTAGAAGTGTAATAAGGTCTATTTAATTCAGCATTCCATATGATAGATAGCCCTGCCACAGTGATATCTGTATCCTTGATCACAGGCAATAAAGAACAATGAACATGATAATTCAATGGCTAACCTATTTTCTGCTGTATACCTTTATGTATAATAAACAATTTTTTAAAAACACCTCCAAACTTCCTACTTTAAAAGCGTATATTAAGTCCCTACAAGTATGCTTCAACAGATTCCAGTACATGACAATTCCTTTTATTGGAGGGAAGTGTTCTTAGAGACTTCACATAATTTGTTTCTTACAAAAGGTGAAAGGAATTTCTATACTGTTAATGCTATTACCCAGCAGTGAACATGATTAACAATTCACTTGGCTTACCAGCTTTGAAATCATGCAATTCTTGGCAAATTTTTAGTTTGAAGGAATTTGCATTATTTTAAATTTTTCAACCCTGGATATGTATTATGACATTCATTAAAATTTACATAATTGAAAGTTGCATAAAATTAGACCACAGTGTACTCCCAGGAGGGTGATAAAATAATATTGGGACCTTTGAGCATGTGGTGTAAACATTCAGGAGAAATAGAAGATGCAATCCCTGCTCTTAAATAGCTTCAATTCTGTTGGGAAAATGAAAGGGATACATATAAAGCATATTAAAACAACCCAAAGCAGTGATTCTCAGCCTTTTCCTCATTGTCACCCCTACAAGGACACTTTTGAGACATTTTTTCCTGACAGCCCCAACCTCAGGAAATTTTTATTCCTCAGATGTACTGTATATCTGTTTATGCACTCTATGTGTGTCTATGCTTCATACACAATTTGAGTAAGGTTTTTCGTTCCCCAAGAACTCATTTTCCTCCCTTTAGGGGTGACATTTCCCCCATTGAAAACGCATGGTTTAAAGTAATCCTTGACTAAATATATAATGATAAAACTGAAAGATGGATGAGCTATATACAAGGCCCCAGAATAGTAGACATAGGGCCTAGAAGAAAAAATATAAATCAGTGGCTACTGAATGCAGGATGAAATCCATAAAATCAAAATTAATCAATGTTTAATTAAATGTCTACAAAACATAGCATTGTATCAATTTTATGTATTGTTTCATTTTATACTCTTAAAAATTGATTTATGTTTGAAAACAATTTGTGGTTTAGGTTTTTCTCACTTGTTAATAATCCCTGAGCAAGACTCACATTCTCAAGCAATCATATATCAAATGAGTTACTCATTACCGAAGAAGTTCAAAACCTAAATTATTTGAAACATTTCAAAAATTTTACAGCAGAAAAACTATATTTAAATTGGCGTTTGAGTACATTTCATATGTGTGACATTAAGTCACATAGCACTTCCAAATGTAGGCTTGGGAAAGGTTTCTGATGAAAGTGAAATCTGAGTCACTTATTGACTGCCCAGTGGGTACGATGTACCAAAATTGGTGTGTGAAAGAGAGAGGGGTAGCTTCCTTTTGAAGTTAAGCAGTAGGTGTCTTCATAGATATGTAGGAGAAAAATACTTTACAGAATTAATTATCTTCACTTAAGCAGCCATTTTTACAAGCCCCCGGAGGCCATATGTTCATTGTACAAATTGAATTCTTAGCAAGTGTGAAACACAAACATGCACACATAGACCCACAGTATAAGCAAAGAAAGTAAGTAATGTTTTGTTGCAATTTCATAGCAGAGTCCTTTTATTTCCCATGAGCCTTTTTTGTAGATGTTTTTCATTAAGAGGGTTTTAGAGACGAGTGAAAAATTTAATTATTTGTAGCAAAACATAAAAAAACAGAAAAGGTAGCTGTACTATAATTTCTTTCAAAAATAACTCTTGGGTTTATTCTGCTTACGTTTTAGTGGATACATTTAGGGTTTCTTTGAAAGTTCTTTAAAAATAATGAACTATTATTTTTTTAAAAGTTTGACATGAGGTCTCTAATCTTGACTTTTCACCATAGGTTGCCCCAGTACCCTGTTCAGCATGGCCTGGGGTAGTCTTGTTTTTGGTGTTTGATAATTGAAGAGGTGTGAAGGGGGTCATTGTCCCAAATTGCACTCAGATTTAATGTGAACATCAGGTCTGTATTGACCTTCATTTTTCCAACCTGATTTTGTGTTTCTTTTAAGTTGCTTCTAGCAGGACAGTAATATAGCTCAGATACAAAACATGCATTGTTTTTGATAAAAGTCTCAGAAGTGTATCAGATTGTCCTATGGTGATTTTTCCAATTTACAGTCATAGAATCTCAAAGGAAAGTTTAGAGTGACAGTAACAGTAACAATTATGGGACATTCAAACTTTTTCAAAATTCTTTCAGTGTAGTTACTTCCTGTGCTTCTCACAAATGTCTACTGAAGTGAGAAGGGTGAGGAGTGCTATGTGCATTCCAGACCCAATGAGAGATGAGGCCTGAGATGAAGCCATTTGCCTAAGATTACCCTGATGGACTAGCTCTTGGCTTTCCCCTAATTGCTTTTGCTTAAACTGTGACATTCTTGCTCTCCTATAATTTCTCCCTATCTCGTTAAAAAATACATCTGTAGAGCGTTTCCGAGTCTGATACAATGAAAGTAAAACCAGTCATTATGCATCAAAGGCAGCTTGCATTTGAATTTCATATTTTGGCCCTAACTTTCTCTTTTGACCCCCAGACATGCACCACTCTTAAGTTTCCAGTGATCTTTGGTTGCACTTCTCACCTCTGACTCCATTTGATCAGTGCCAAATGGAAACCATTTTCACTTACTACTACCTAAAAGAGATTACACTGACTCCATGCAGGAGAATAGCTCAAAGTATGTGAGGGTGGGCCTCGGTGGCCTCCTGTGTTAAACGAGGTTGAAGGTTGTATATTCTGACCTGATAGAACTGTGGTGAGGACTGAATGGATAGTTGGTTGCATATAAAGCATCTGACATGGGATCTGGCCTGTAGTAAGTAATTGAATGCTGGCTATTCTTAGTATACATTATTGGTACTTTGAATAGTATGAGTGAGTAAAGTTGAGAATTGAAGATTGACAAATAAAGAATATGTTTTCAATGGAAATAAAACATACAGCCTAACCAACTAGAAAGTAGGCTTTTCTACTGTTTTCAATGGAAATAAAACATACAGCCTAACCAACTAGAAAGTAGGCTTTTTCCTGGGAACTTTGCTCCCAGGAATACCAAGACGTCAGGCAGAAAGACACCTTATCAGGAGACAGCTCACCTTGCTCTCAGAGCAGAGAACCCACTCTAGTGGAAACATGGCCAAGAGTTTCCACCTCTACAAAAATTAGCTTTAAATCTTCTGTTCCCAGAGAAGGAGTTCTATTTCTTTTTTTTTTAACTTCCAGGGTAAGAGCTATTCTAATGTGACCAAGTGATAAGAAATTTTCAAAGAGCCCTTTGGCTTCTTTTAGTGGATCTGGCCACAGGAGAGAATTCCCTTGAAGCAGGAGTTAATGGTTTCATTTACCCTGTTAGGAACAGCATATGTTTGTGTTCTATTTTTTGGCCACAATTCTCTTGATCTGTAACTCATACTGTGCTTCCCGATCTGCCATGCCTCGGGAAATTTGCTGGATGGCCAAATATGACAATGGCCCAATTTCTTATTTAGTTGATTCTTTTTCGTATTTCACCTTCCTCAAAATAAATGGAAAATAGTTTAGTCTATGAGATTAAAATTCTGATAGGAATGTCTCTCTCATTTATACAAGAGAAAAAGAAAATAGTAATAATGATATCCTGAAAGCTAATCCATAAATGAAGATCACCAGAATAGTTTAAAAATGGATAAAGTGGGTGTCGGGCACAGTGGCTCACGCCTGTAATCCCAGCACTTTGGGTGGCTGAGGCGGGCAGATCACCTGAGATTAGGAGTTTGAGACCAGCCTGACCAACACAGTGAAACCCTGTCTCTACTAAAAATACAAAAATTATCCAGCCATGGTGCTGGGCATCTGTAATCCCAGCTACTCAGGAGGTTGAGGCAGGAGAATCGCTAGAACCTAGGAGGCGGAGTTTGCAGTGAGCTGAGATCGCGCCATTGCACTGTAGCCTGGGGGACAGGGTGAGGCTCCATCTCAAAAGACATAAAAATAAATAAATAAAAAGGATAAAGTGATATATCCAGGAAACTGTGGGGCCACATATTTCTAGAACACCAAACTTGACCTCTCTACTTTATCATACAGTTAGTTTTTTTCTTCTAATTGAAGCAGAACAATGGGAGAGAAATGCATAGCCCCAATTAGTGCCTGCCAATAGCCATTGGATTTCAATTTCTGATCCAGTTTTTCTCTCAGACTTGGCTTCTATGCAATCTCTAGCCGTCAATAGTTGCCTAAATTTTCATGTTTTATCTTCCCCCTTCTCCTCCATATGTCAGCTTCATAAAGAATATGTGTATATGTGTATCTGCTTCTGACCTCTTTCCTGCTGGAAGCACATACTTTAAGAGGTAAAGAGAGGAAGGCTGAAAATGGTTCCTGCAAAAAGCTTCCAGATTACTGATTGATATGCATTGTTTCCATAGAGTGGCTTCCTGCCTCTTGCTTTAAAGCTTATTTTTAGTTGACTCTTATAAAACGCTAGCCAGTTTGAATTCCTTTTCCAATTTGTAGAAAGCACTGAATTGACAGGCATCGAGAAAACTAAAAATAACATAAGACAGAACAGAGTAGAATTTTAGAGCTAGAAGTGGACATGAATATCATCTATGCCAATCTTTTCTTCTTATAGACAAAGATATGCAAGTTCAAAAAGATTAAGTGCCTCTCCCAAGGTCACATTGCTAGTACATGATTGAGTTACGACATGCACATCTGTTTTTCCACTTATTGGCCTGTGTTTTTCCACTGTGGAAAATAATTATAATGCAACAGGCAGGGCCAATGGTACAAAACTTGCATTGCAGAGAGGGATTTGCCTCAGATGAAAGAAACCTACTTAGTCATTCTAGTTCAGTCTTCCACCTACTTATTCCTCCTTAATTATTATCATTAATTAGTATTTATTGATTCCTCTCGGGTAAACTGCTTCATTGCAAAAACTGGTATTATAAGCCCTTTTGGAGATTACAAACTTAAAAAAACAAAATGCGGCTATATTTTAAAACCTTGTTCCCCAGAACTTTGCCAACATCCCTTTTACCTTCTAAAATAGATCATTCATCATGGCAATCCATTCAACATCAAGGACAAGACCCTTGGAAGGATGAGAAACTGGTTTCCTTCCCTTTTCCTATTTTCTTTTCAGTATTTCTTCCCTTTCTTTCACCCTTTGATTCATTTCTTCATTTGAAAGATGGATTGATTCATTTACTGATTCAGTGAACAAATATTTGGCGAGTGCTTACTGTATGCCAGTCTTAGGCTGAACACTGGAAAACAGAAAGACCCCCTGTCTTGAAGGAAATTTCCACTTTGCATGGGAGGAGAGACATGTGACAGGGTGACCAATTAGGACCCTGTGGCATTTGCAGTGATTCTAGCCTTTCTCACAGGATGGCATACCTACAAAATGAAAATATTGCATGACACATAGCAGGACATTTGTGGTGATTTAGAACCCTAGATGCGATTATTCTTGGACAGAGGCAATGAGTGGCATGTCCTGGCTGCCTCAGACACCCCATTTAGCCACCTCAGCAATGAAATGATCAACATCTAACCCTGGCTTCCTGGTTGGGACACACTGCAATAGTCTTTGGAGAGGAGATTTTTTCCTAAACTGATGAAGTTGTAATAAGAACAAAGAAAAGATTAATCTGTAAGCTATTTAGGAAGTAGAATTGACAATACTTATTGAGTAGACTGTGGGGAAGAAGTCAAGGATGAGTCCCAGATATCTGACTTGAGCAACTAGAAGGATGATGGTGTGGCTTACTGAGATGGTGAGTATTAGTGGAGAAGAAAAGGAGGAGAAGGGAGTTTATAGGGGAGTATGATGTTTTCTTGTGGTGTTGATTGTAGTTCCCTGTGATGGAGACACACTGAGCTGGGGAGTTGAATGTGGAAGATTTATTAGGGAGTTCTCAAGGAGACAATCCTATAGAAAAGTGAGGAAGGGAGGAAATGGCAAAGAGAAAAACAGAGCCAGTATTTAGTTGCAACCAAGATACCAACCAGTCCTACATGAAGCTCTGGATGGCACATCAGAGTCCGAAATTTGAGGCTCTTGCCTTCTTGGGCCTGGCCTTTATATTTCCATATGAACCAGTCCATATGCTGTGGGCTGCCTTCTGGGGGCGGCATACTCTTGGATGGTGCAGTCATCAGAGGACAAAAGCAATGTCCAGCAAGGGACACAGCTGTCAGCAGTCAGCATCTTATGTTCCAAGCAGCTGTAGGACAGTGGGGTGGATAGGTCAGCCTCAAATAAGGAATCTGTGTGGAGCCTCAGACAATCCGCTACTCTGGTAAGTGAAGCTATCTAGGAGGCATTTTACACTTGGGTCTGGCTGGAGTGCTGAACTTGGCATTCATTACCATGTAGGAGATAATTGAAGCAATGGGGGTGATAACAGTGAAAAGAGAAGATGGACTAGAACAGGGCCTTGGGCAATACCAACATTTAATGGGTAAGGTAAGGAAAAGGAGCCCAGGATAAAAACACGGTGTCTAAGGAGGTTGGAATCTCAAGGGAGGTTGGTCACAAAAGCCAAGGAGGGAGAGCATATTAACAGTGTCCAGTGTTGCAGAAAGGCCTCAAAAATGTCAGGTGGATTAGTTGAAATTTGGTATTTCTTGGTAATAACCAAGAGAGTAGTTGTAATTTGAGGGACAGCAGTTTCTGTGGAGGTCTGGAGGCAGAACCAGATTTTGTTAGGTGAAGAAAAAACACAAAATGACCAAATAGGACGCAGTGTGTACAGACAACTCTATTAAGAATTTTGGTTCTTAAGGTCTTAGGGGAAGGAGATGGGGGTACGGTAGAGAAAGTATATAGGATGGAAGATGTTTTGCCTTGTTTTATTTAAGAAGGGAAATATTTGAGCATGCATAAGTGCTGATGGGGGGTAGCAGTAGAGGGGTAGTGGGCTGAGACTCTGGAAAGAAAGGGGACACAATCTTTCTTTCTCTGGAAAGAAAGGGGAAAAGAAAGGGGAGGCTGAAGTGTCAGTGCGAGACAGATTCAAAACACAAATGGGATGTGAAGCCTCTGAGGATTCTAGCTGTTTAAATCTAGAAAGAAACCTGAACTCAGGCAAAAAGCAACACTTTCAAAAACTATATAATAAACATTGGTCAGCAGACAGCATTTGATTCAAATTCTTCATAATCACAGGCAGTGCTGAAAAATACTGACACATAGAAACCCTCTCTGTGGCCATCAGAAAATACTTGCCGAATGTGTTAGGCATTAAAAGGCTGTAATAAGAATGCAATCAAGCATAGCTTCTAAGTCATATCTCGGCTAGAGTAATTCAGTTCATCTTTACCAGGGTGCCTAATGCACCTACTATGTGTAAGGACTAGAGACACGTACTCTGGAAAGGGCAGTGGACTTGCACTTGAGACACAGGTTTAGTTCTTGATATACAGCTAGGACTTTCAGGGAAAATTAATTTCTTTTTTGAAGTAATTTTTCTTTTGAACTCAAAATCACTATTTTTAGCATTTGAAAATACTAACTAGCTCTATGGCAAGTGGTCAACCTTTCTGACCCTCTGTTTCTTTGTCCTTAAGATGTTTGTTGATCGTTAGGGCTCCATTGAGTTTTAATGCTGTGGGTTTACAAGACAAGGTCTTTGAGGTGACCTAGAAGGAAGAGTTTTGGCAGACATGAATTGTCTCTTGACACCATGAGACAAGATTTAGAGAAGTTAAGTGACATGGCAGTGTCCCACAGGTGGACAGTGAACAACGTGGCAGGGATGTGCCTGAACCCCCACCTCCCAGTTCAGTCCTTATTCCTCACACTTGAGTTTCTGTAACTGGGTGAGCAAAACCCTGGGTAGAATGAGCATATGCACAGCAACAGGATAAACATGAACTATCTCACTGAAGATCTTCATTTATTTGGCGTCTATGATTTTAAAACTTTTTAAAATTAAGATAAAAAATGGCTTAAGAACAGAATACAAATTCAAGTAAAAGTGAAAGTTCAAAGGAATTTTGCAGTTTATGAAGTTATATTTGGTCAATATTTCTGAGTGGCTTGAGAGAGAGTTTCTGTGTGTGTGGGTATATTTTTCAGCACAGCCTCTTAGGTTATACTCAGCTCTGGGGATGCTTATTTCCTCTCCCCCACTAGTGCATGTATTTTGGTGCAAAAGCTTGGAAGTACATTAAACCAAGCTGTATTTTTAGCCCCCAAAGAAAAGTTGTAGAGAAAGAGGGCATTTGAGGTTGGCTGTTTCATCTGAGAAGACCAATAAATCACCAGAAGCTCCAGCCCAATCAATGCCCACTGAAAAATTTGAATGCCCCAGTGCTCCAATGGGTAATGAACAAATGTGTACAGTGGGGAAGGGATCGATTTCTTGATGAGTCCTATTAGCATAACCATACAGCATGAAACATAGTCATTATTTGAGACAGAACACAGTACGAGCAGATGATTCTTACCACTGTTAACAGCATATATCCTTGATATGATAGAACTGTGGCTTCAAATATGGGGGTTTCATACTACGCAAAGGTGAGCAAGACTAAGCAGGTGCTACAGGAAAATATGAAGAGATTTACATTTACAGGTTTTGAACTTCTAGCCTTTAACTTTCTGTATGTTACATAATACATGAATAATACATGAATAAACTAATACATGTATAATTTACCAAAAAGACATATATTGGGGGTATATGCTGAAATGTATTTTGTTAATGGTACACATTATCGAAAAGGTTTAGAGACAAATCTCTGGATTACCTTTCTGTGCTTTGAGAGTAAATTAATGCAGCCCTGATCTTTTGTCTAATACTAATGATTAAG
Organism: Homo sapiens; assembly: GCF_000001405.40. Taxonomy (NCBI): domain Eukaryota; kingdom Metazoa; phylum Chordata; class Mammalia; order Primates; family Hominidae; genus Homo; species Homo sapiens. The sequence continues at coordinate 155,923,415 of NC_000005.10, forward strand.
ATAAAAAGTTGTCAATCTGAACCACAAAGACTGATTTCTTACCTCAGCAAAGGGAGCTGGAAAATGGCAAAGATGAACGTTCATAGTTATTTGTTTCATACTCTTTATATAACAGGCTCCTTGTGAATGGATATTTCCAATTTCCACACAAGGCCCTTGGAAAAACCATCACCTAATCAATATGTTAATGTGACAGCAACTACCAACTGAGGAATGTCATTGCATTTTCAATTAGAGTTACAGAGAAGCAAGAAAAGGAATCAAGGGAATTGGACAAACGGATTTTGCTAATGCCAGCAATATTTCTTTACCAAGAACACTTAGTATTTGTTTAGTGCCTTTTAATGAACATTTTGTGTTTTTCGCCTAGTAGGGAGTTATTTACCTGTTTTAACTAGTGAACAAACAATTATTTTTTTCACGTATCACCATATATAGCTTATAAAACACATTTGTGATATTTGATCTTCATAAACACCCTGTTAGGTAAAGAGGGTCAATTTAGAGTTCCCACACTGTGGGTGTGAAAGGGTCCTCATTTAGATGTAAAATAGGTCCATAGAGCTCTTGCCTGGGGTGTTTTTCAGTGTCTCACATTGCAGGGAAAGAGCAAGGCAGTGTAGATGATGAATACAGTGCTCTCTGGTGACCCAAAAAATAAATACTTCAACTTTTATTCCATGGCAGTCTTACCTCTTTTCCTTGTCCTTCTTGTTATTGTCTTCCTTTTGATATAGAAAGAAAACATAGTTGAAAGAAATCCAGAACAACTTTACAATTTTTACCCAACCCAAACATATCTAGTCATAGCAAACCTAGGAGGAAATACTCATCACTAATGCACAAAAGAAGACAGAACAAGGAGGAGGAGGACCTGAATGGGGGACAAAGGCACCTGAATTCATCAAATAGTTTATTGTCAGCACAGAGGAAGGGATGTCTTGCTATAGCAGGAGAACTTTCATCACAATGGATCATCAGCCTCTTGGCACCTGTTTCTTCTCTTCCACATCTATTTTAATCAGGCACTGAATGCTTAGCCAGAGAGAGCCCCATGGAAGGAAAGCCCAGAGATGGTCTTCGATCTTAAAGAGCATGGCGTATAGTTGGGTAGATAAAACATGAAATTGGGAAGCAGGCAGCAAATTAACAAAGGCAAAGCAGAAGAGTGGAATGAATTGTTAAGTTTGGAGTTAAATGGATTTGGTTTCAAACAATAGTAGCTATGCTCTGTGCTAATTGAGAATCGGAGAATATGCCCTTCTGCTTTTGGGATCTCAGTATGTCCTTAGGTAAAAGGAGGAGACTGAATTGGGGTCTCCAGATTTTATTTTAGGGCTAAATTTTCATTATTTGTTCATTAGTAAACATAAATCAGTTGTACAGGTGAAAATATTAAGGAAATGCAAATAAGAGAATGTTTTATTTCTGGGAGGTTTGTAAAATGCTGTTTGTGTCATGTATACCGTCCTATGCATATTGCAGTCACTCTCTGAAAAGATTTGAGGACCATTATCCTTGCAGATAAACTGGAATTGGCAAGGATTTAATGAATCCGGGGGTAGAATTGTGCTAATCCATGACCGAATTTTTTACTTGTCCTTAGCAAAATGAGGAAATTAAGAATTTGTAAAAGTGAAACCTAAATGTGTTAATATTCTCACCTGCATTGGCAGTGAAATATCATTTCCCTTATAAAATGATAGTGATAGTAAAAACAATACTATGGATAATAAATACCTAGATATATTAATCTTCTTTCTTGGAAAGTAAAGTACAAACTACTTTCAGATTACTGAGCTCCTTTTCTTGGGCTAAGAACTTGCTGCTGAATTTCCTTTCATTTCTTTTGGTTCGGGGAGTAAATTTTTCTAGTATATTAGTTTCCTCAAGCTGCCATAGCAAAGTACCACAAATCAGGTGGCTTAAAACAACAGAAATGTACTCTCTCACAGTTCTGGAGGCCAGACATGTGAAATGAAAGTGCCAGCCAAGGCCACATTCTCTCTGCAGGCTCAAGCAAAGGATTGTTTCTTGCCTCTTCCTGGCTTCTGTGGTCGTCATCAATCCTTGGCACTCCTTGGCTTGTGGTAGCGTCACTCCAATCAGACTCTGCCTCTGTTTTTACATGGCTGCCTTCCTGCTGTGTTTCTGTGTCTTCATATGGCATTTTGTTTGTGTCACAACTTCTGTCTTCCTTTATTTATTTTTTATTTGTTGAGGCAGGATCTTGCTCTGCTGCCCAGGCTGTAGTGCAGTGGTATAATCACAGCTTACTGCAGCCTCAAACTCCTTGGCTCAAGGGATCCTCCCACCTCAGCCTCCTGAATAGCTGGGATTATAGGTGTGCACCACCTTACCCAGCTAATTTTTGTATTTTTTTGTAGAGATGAGGTTTTGCCATGTGGCCCAGGCTGGTCTCGAACTCCTGGCCTCAAGTGACCCACACAGCTCAGCCTCCCAAAGTGCTGGGAGTACAAAAGTGAACCACCACCACACCTGGCAACTTTTTTTTTTTTGTTTTGTTTTGTAGAGACAGGGTCTCCCTCTGTTGACCATGCTGGTCTCAAATTCCTGGTCTCAAGTGATCCTCCTGCTTCAGCCTCCCAAAGTACTGACATTATAAAAGCGAGCCACTGTGCTTGGCCCCCAACTTTCATCTGCTTGTGAGGATATCAGTCATTGGGCTGTGGCTTACACTAATTCAGTCTGACCTCATCTTGACTAATTACATCCACAAAGACTATATTTCCAAATAAGGTCAAATCCTGAGGTACTGTATGGATGAGAATTTTTGAGATACTGTTCAACCCACTATTTCTGGCATGAAAGATTCTCCGCAAGTTTGCTGTTTTCAATCTCTTAGGCCTCATCTTCCAACCACTGCATTCCATTTACCCTATGTTTGTGCCGCCTGTGGCTGTTCAAGTGTGAATGCAGGACTTTTGGTTCCAAATATGGTGCTCTTGAAATACAGCAAAGATTGAGCTAACAAATGCTTTAGCAAAACAATGGTAATGAAACTTAATAAGCTTGTTCAAAGAATTAGAAGAGAGACATACATCTTCTTTAATTATATTGGTGGAACAAATAGATATATAAAGTAAAAGGATATATCTTTTTCTAAACAATTTAAATTAAAGATATCCTATAGTCCAATAATTCCTTTTGCTAATCAAATCCAAGGAAAGAAATTAGATAAGTAGAAAATAATTTATGTGTAAAGATGTTTCTCGTGAAATTGTTTTCAACAGCAAAAAAATTGCAAACAGGAAATATTCCATGGTGGGGAGTGTTAAAATAAATTGAGGTATATACACATCTGTACCCATTAAAATTGATGCCTACCAAAATTTTGTTTTTTAAAAAATATAGTAATGGTGGGAAGAAATTTACAATAAAATTTCAAATTAAAACGCTAGAAATAAAATCATACGCAGTATGATCCCAATCAAAAAAAGCAGCAGTTCTTAACTAGGGATGATTTTTCCCTCAGGGTAGTACCTTGGCAATGTCCAGAGACACTTTTGGTTTCTACAGTCAGGAAAATGTGCTTCTGGCATCTAGTGGACAAAGATCAAGGATGCTGCTAGATGTCCTACAATCACAGGGCAGCTCACTACAACAAAGAGTTATCCAGTCCACAATGAAAATATTGCCATGGGTGAGAGTACTTGATTTCAAACATATAAGTGCTTTGTCTTTATATTTCTGTCTGTCATCTCTAAAATAGAAATGTTATAGTATCCATTTCTAACGGTCATAGAGATGATTGAATTAGTCAATATAAGTAAAGCGCTTAGAATAATGACTGGAGAATAGTTAATTATTCAATAAGTTTTAGTTATTGTGAGCTATTACCTGTGTTACAGTGCAGAAAGCTGAAATGCATTGGAATGTGATAGTGATTATATCATAGGTACTGTCAGTGCCTTCCAATCAAAGATAACTGGAAAATATCTGTAGTTGAACAAGTTGGAGCCAAGGAGAACACACACCATGGAGAACCATCTGGTGTCTCAGCAAGAGAGTGTTAAAAGGGACCTGTTTTAGGGTTTGGGCTTTGCTTGGGTGACTGTGGAAGGGTGTAAGGAAGCAGGGATTCACTCTAGATTGCATGCTATCGAAAAATGGGGGCAGTTCTATGATTAGGCATCTTAATAAATCTTATTTATAGGGAGGGCACACTAGGGTGAATATAAAGTAGTAATTGGTAAAGCAGTAGCAGTTATGCATTTTGCCTGAGAGAGGGAGTGTTTAATATTTTGTGGGAAGCACAATGACCTTGTCACTGTGCTTAAATAAAACCATGAAGTGGCCTTGCTTTGTCTCATTTTGTCATTGTCTCAGAGTAATCTTTGAAGTTGTTGTTTTGTAAGATGGTTTATGTCCAACAAGAGAATAACATGGTCAGTTGTGAGTGGCATACCAACTTCTGAATGTCAGAGGCTGCTCCTTCTTTCTTTCTCAGTACTTTTAGTTTTCTTAACACTTTTTTGAATAGTTTCTAATTTTTCTACTTTGAACTTGAATTACTTTTGTAACTAGAAAAAATTGCATGCTAACTGAAAGATAACAAAAGGCGTGCTCATGGGAAAACGTGTCAGGTCTGCAGCATTATAGAATGAAATCTCATATTTGTAAAATAGGCATTAGAAGATAATTGTGAATAATTTGTACTGTTCCAAATAATATTTCATGATCCTTGCCCTTGATGAACTTAGGAAAATGGAAGGGAGGTAGCTATTTTTTGATGCCCCACTTCCTAGGTGGCCCTCTTTAATATAGAAATTTTAAGGAAAGGTCCTTTATAGTCACGGATTTTTAAATGAATTACACATGCAGAAAATTGAGTTGCTTCTTCAGAGGAGGATATCATGTTTGGATGGTATTATGTATCAATCAAATGAATCTTCATTTATAGCAAAATAAATGTGGCTTGTCTTTACTCTTTTAAAGAAAAGTAAAACAGGCCGAGCATGGTGCCTCATGCCTATAATCCCAACACTTTGGGAGGCCAGGGTGGGTGGATCTCCTGAAGTCAGGAGTTCAAGACCAGCCTGGCTAACATGGTGAAATCCAGTCTCTACTAAAAATATAAAAATTAGCTGGGTTCGGTGGTGCACACCTGTAATCCCAGCTACTGAGGAGGTTGAGGCAGGAGAATGGCTTGAACCCGGGAGGCGGAGATTTCAGTGAGCCGAGATCGCACCACTGCACTCCAGCCTGCTGACAGAGTGAGACTCTGTCTCAAAAAAAAAAAAAAAAAAAAAAGAGGTAAAAAAAATACAGCACATATGAAAGAAAATATGAATGCCTTTAGGATCTCACATTCAATAGCAAGCAAAGGAAACAACTTAAAAATTGGATTCTCTCTCAAATTTTCCAGTAACATTAAGGACAAATAAATTAAGCATATTTTATGCAACAACCAAAGCAAGCATCTCCAAGGATATCTTTAAATATGTATGAATTCCCTTTATATTCTGAAATCCTTTTGAGACTACGTTAGGGGGTGTCTCTTGAACTTTACATGTATTTTTAATTACTTTTTAATCTTTATTTACTTTTTAAATGTTAAAAGTAATATTTTCTCATTATAATACTTTCAAACAATACAGAAGGGTATAAAGTGAACGGTAAAATCTTTTCCTTTTCTAATTCAAATCCCTAGAGTAATGACCTTCTAATTCTAATCCAATTCTAATTTGTTACAGGTTTTAGTGACTTTTTTTCTGTTTTTAATTGTGGAGAATAATTTTACTCTCATACTTGAAATACTGATCTAAAGTCTGACATGTTCTGTGAGTCTGGAATGATGTCTGATTTTTCTCTTCATTGGATCATCTCCAGTACCTAGCATTGTACATACTTGCTCAGCGGTTTGAATGAGGGGATAACTGCAGGAATTCCTTATCTCAGTAAATGCTTTTGTGCAAACTCAATTATTCAGAAAAGAGAATTTAAAAGATTCTTTCTTTCTATATCTCCCATATTATTTCTCACAGACTTGGCAATCGAACCTCATAGTTCCCTTCCAAATTCCCATTTTTTCCTCCTCTGCTATTGCTCTATTTTATTTACACATCACATTTACCTTCCACTCTTAAGATAGCTCAGCTCATAGAGTAGCCTCTCTCACTAATCTCTTCTATTCCATCTCTCCCCACATTTTCCCCTAAGTTACCTTTCTAAAACATAAATCTGGATTCTTCCGCTCTGTAAAACTTCTGATGAGTCTCATTGCTTCCAGGATGTAGTCCTGACTTTCTATTATGGCACAGACTTCAAAGATCTTTTTAAAAAGTTAATCTCAACCTCTTTTCCTAGTTCCATTTACCCCTACTCACTGCTCCACAGCCTTTAGCAAAATAATCATTCACACAAGTAGTTTTTTGTGTGCCTACTATGATTTCAAATTATGTACCATTTCTACACAACTTTCCATATTCACTTTGCACTTTCTACTTATCTTGTTTTGATCCCTCTTCAGAAATTCATTCTCTCCCTTCTCCTTCAGAAAAAAATCTGTGTGTCCTTTAAAGCTCAAATGTCTCCTCAATGCATAATTTACAGGGTCCTACAGATTGAACTCCCTGCTTTTCTGTGCTGAGTAGGATTTTGCTTATACCACCAATGAGGTCTCACTTGTTTTGAGGGTATGTGATACATATGTCTTCCCTATGCCCTTTTCAACTCTCCACCCCTCTTGCCAAAGTTAAAACACTTCTTGAGTATAAGAAATTCTTTCATTTCTCTATTCATCATTGTATTTCTCTAACAGTGTATTAACTGTTTGATATCTAGAAACACCTCTGTACAACTTAAAGAGTCCTTTGCCCAAGAAAAATGATGACAAATTATTCTTAGTCAGTGGGGTGTGCTTATATGATGTGCAGTAAATGAAATGGGTCTGAGATGAATGCATTAAACAACTTCAACAACTGAAGCAAAAGAAGTTTATCTAATCCATTGAGCATACTGTATTGTGCAAGCAAGATGCTTCTCCTGTGTCTGGAGGACAGCAAGAGAGGAAGAGAGTGAATTAGAAAGAAAAACACACAATAGGTTCTCTGATATTGTTGGAATATTATGGCTAATGTGAATGGTCTTTAGAGCCCTTCCTTCTTTGAGTCAGTGAGACTTATCCTCAAAGAATGGAGTAGACCCAGGGGTTCAGGGACTTGTGCAGGTCTGGGAGTAGGGTCCTCTTTTAGCTCATGGATTTTTCATAATTAATAAGTTCTGTTCCACATTTATTATGTATGATAGTCTGAAATTAACACTCTTCTCAAATGTCATTACTTGGGAAACTGGAATAGATGCTCTGAATGGTTCTTTCCAATTAAAATATTTTGCAATTATCAAACATTGTTCATACTTGTAACTGTTAAGAACCACTAAAAACTTAAGATTAAAGTATTCTTACTCTCCTTACTTGAAATGACTTTATGATGAAAGGTCACATTTGAATGGGAATGATCACAGTAATCATAATCCCTGACATTTGTATCAGGTTTTATGTTAAGCCTCATATAATCTTGTTTTGAAGTTACTCTTTTTTTTCCTTCTGTCTTCTCATGAATTGTTGCCAAAGCACTCTGATCTTCCATAATGGTTAGGATAGCTTAACATTTATAAATGGTTGCATGGGTTTTTTAATATGTTGATGGGATATGTTCCTAAACTGAATGATCATATGGTATTTGAACCAAGTCACAGAGAAGGTAAATTTACCAAACACTAAAGAAAAGAAAAGCTCTTCTCATTATTTTTAGCTTTCTTAAAGCTTCTTAAGAGTAAGCTTGTTGGGTTATCTTCAGTGAATAAAACTTACTATTATATGCCTTTATATTCTGAGTTCCATTGGGGGTTATAAGAAAATTGAAAGAAGTAGCAACCATTGAAGTAAGTATTTTATTCAAAATTGCTTCAACATCTTAATGGATTATTTTTCCATTTTTTATTTTAACATCAGAAGCACTTGTCTATGAATGTATTTCAACCTAAGTAGATTCAGTTACACATACACCCAAAATATTGCAAATCCTTTGCAGTTATCTTCATTTAATGTCATTTATACAATTGTTTCTCTATAAGGATTCAAAATTGTGGGGTTTTTTGTTTTTTAAGTGCTTGGGGGCTATTAAATAAATTAAGCAATAGTTGTGTTGAACATGTGTTTCTGGTATCCCACTAATACATTTTCTTAATTAACGTAAGCAAGTATTCTTAGCATTTTGGAACTGAATAAATTCCAGGTTAAATTAAGTCTGGAAGTATGTTAGCTACCCTTAGCATTTCATTTGAAAATTAGAAAGCCCGAGTTCGGATTTGCTTTCAGCCACTTACTATCTGTCTGTTCTTATGCAAATCTCCTTAGTCCATTTGGGCTGCTGTAACAAAGTACCATGAAGTGGTAGCTTGTAAACTACAGTAACTTATTCCTTACAATTCTAGAGGATGAGAGGTCCAAGGCACTGGCATATTCAGTGTCTGATCAGGTTCCACTTTCTGGTTTATAAATGGTGCCTTCTCCCTGTGTGCTCACATGGTAGAAGGTGTGAAGATTCTCTCCCTGGCCTCTATTGTAAGGGCACTAATCCAGTTAATGAAGTCTCCACCCTCATGATTCAATCACTTCCCAAAGACCCCACTTCCTAATAACCCACCTTGGGGGTTAAGATTTCAACATATGAATTTTGGGGAGAGACAAACATTCAGATCATAGCACAAGTCACTTCCTCTCCAAGTTGAACCAACAGTTGAATAGTTTCATAGCCTGTCATGTACTCCCACAGCACGATACTCTTTTACTGTAGCACTTTGTACACTTTTCATTTATATATTTAATTGAGTAATTATTTCCCAACTGTAGACTTTCTTCCTGAATTGTTTCTTGAGGGAATAGATAGATTTTCTTGAGCTTGGATACACTGGGTAGCAAGCTTGACTCTGGACATTATCTGGGCCTCTACTTATCAAACAGTTGTCATCCAAAGGTATTCTCCTAGGCAAATTTCATATCAATAGAGGTAATCATGAGAAATATATTTAAGTTAGCTTCGTATTCTGCATGTGACAAAATTTCATGTATTACTTTGATGTGTTTTAGTTCATAGATACTTTGACCTACTCACCCTCAACATAACTGGTTTTTGGAGCTATTGTTGTAACACAATTCAGTCCATACAGGTGTCTGATTAATCACTGAAACTGGACCCTTCATTGGACCAAAATGTTTCACCCGTGTGATGAGACATTTTGCTGATGTGTAAAATGTTTTAATTCCCCTGATTTAAATGTTAGGAGCATTTGGTTTATCTCTTTGTATTTAATGAATCATGAACCAAACATAGTTATCAGATGGGTCTACAACAGCTGGAAAAGGTACTTTTATTTATAAACCAGAACATTGACTCATATGCAAAAAGATGGAGTCATTTAAGGTGACCACCGTGAAAAGCTGGATTTAGTATTCCATTTTTGCCTTTTCCTTGTCATCCATCATATTCTTTATCTCATTATAGAATGTCAGGGCTGGGAAAGACCTTTCAGGTCCCTTGCTCCTACCTCTTCTGCATTTTCATTTTATAAATAAGGAAACAAAACCAAGAGGGTTAGTATGTTGCTTTGTCCACTGTTAGAGACAGGGCTGCAACTAGAATCCAAACCTCAAAGTTCCTATGTCATCTGGCCTTGGCCTATCAGTCTGACTTTAGTTTTTTATCCCTCTTATCCTCTCTTTTCTCTAGCCGTAGGGGTCTTCTTGGTTTTCAAAAACGTCTAGCTCAGTTCTGCCCCAGGGATGATAATCCTTACATTCTTGCCTGTCACAAATGCCCTGTCCCACGTGTTTGCATAGCTCCTATTTTATCAGATATTAATATCATATATATCCCATTCTACTCCCTTATCCTTCTTCAGTTTCTTGCTTTGTACTTATCAGAAACTGCAATGCTCAATTACTTGTTTATTTTGATTATTTATGGTTTGTCTCTACCATTGGAGACAAATGTGGAGATAACTCCACAAGCATACATAGAGTATCTTGTCTTTCTTCACCATTTCTACAGCTTTTAGAACAGAGCCTGGCAAAATATAAATATTTAGTCATTAATTGTTAGGTGAATAAATGAGTGAATGAATCTCATTCTTACTGTTGAATGCATAGTGGCCAAGTGCATAGGTTTTGGCTTAAGATGGAACTGACAGCTTTGGTGCTTCTATGTGTACATCCTTGGAAAGCAATTTAACCATTCTAAGCTGCAACATTTTTAGCTGCAAAATGGATATAAAATATGTACCTACCTTGAAGATTTGTGAGGATTAAAATGGCATCATGCCAATAAAGCATTTGCCCAAGGCCTTTGCTATAATGTGTTTAATTAAATCTTAATCATTAATATTATTTTATCAGTCATCCCTAGGTTATCTTCAGAGAAGACCGTCAGTTAAGGCTTGTTGATTTCAAGCAACAGAACCTGTGTGAAACACCCACAGAATTAAGGAAAAGCTAAGAACCAAGCTTAACAAGAATGGAAATGAAACCATGATCTAGGTGCCTGGAACATTAGGACACTGCCATGTGGGAGCATCATCTCCTATTGTTTTCTGTCTTTACATGGTACTCATCAAAATTCAAATTTCAGAAAGAATGACTGATTAATCAAGCTTTGGCAGAATTGGATGCACACCTTGATTGACAATCCTATCAAGACAGTATCAGATGGGAGTGGATGGGTTAAGCCAAATCACCAACTCATGGTAGAGAATGTTGCCAGGTGCAGAGCCACACGAAGTGAGCAGGTATCCCAGTAAAGAGTATTTGACATCTGCATTTTTGAAAAGAAGTTGAGGATTTATTTTCCTTGATGAGCAGCAAGCCGTGAAAATGGCCTGACTTAGTTGGCATCTTGCTCACATCCCAGAGCTGCGTTGGCAAGAAGCCTTTTTAACGATCTTTTTTTGCGTAGCACTGAACTATGCAGGACAAGAGTTCCCTCAAATCAATACTCAAGCACATTTAATATCCCACTACCTGACAAACAGAATAACTTATGAAAAAGTTGTAAAATGAGTGTTTCCAACTTGGTACAGCTTTAAAGAATTAAGCAGTAGTTTTTCTTTGTGTCTTCTTTTATTTCAGTAGTTTGTGAGTTATTTTGCAAGGAAGCAGCTCTTGGTAATTGTATTGTTTTGTGGTTAATATTTATTAACCATTGTAGTGGAAATTTGTCATTCTTTTTAACTGCTCAGCATCTGAACCTTGTTCCCTGGTTTGGAAAACTCCTCACTCTATGATTTAGGATGTCATAGCCTTTCTTCCATTACAGAAGCTGAAAATGTTGGCTACTTCCTTTCCCCAAATTTTTAGAATGGGGGGCCATCTGACCTACAGTCTGCCCATTGGTTGTACATACCCCAGATGTGAACTGTGGACTAATGACATGACGAAGTTGGGACATGGAGGAACTGCTGTGGCCAGTGCCTGGAGTAAGTAAGTTCCTGCAGTAAGATGGATTCCCAGAGCTATCGTCAGCACCCAGTGTTCACAGATAGACAACTGTTGATGCAAGCTGTTGTGTCCAATGCTTGGGGATGGTGGCAGCAGTGATGTCCTCAGCACATCATTTTGTGACTAGTTTTGGGGCAGTATACTTGACCCTAAGTCCCTAGTGATTTTTGAATCCTCCTGGTTCCTTTGTGAGTCAACTGATACCCTTTGAACAAATTATTTTTCTGCTTAGATCAGCAAGAATTGGTTTCTGTTGCTTGCAATTAAGACTCTTGGCTGAAATAAGTTATTTTTGTATATCTTATTTAATCTTTACCATATCCTAGTGACTTTTGTTTATTCATTTATTCATTAATTAGTGTGTTACTGAATTCATTTATTCAAAACGTATTTGTTGAAGGTCCATCTTCTTTTTGGTTTCTTTCCCCTGGCTGGGCTATTGTGGTTGACAAGATAGGAGAGGTCACTGCCCTCATGGAACTTCATTGTTGTGGGGGGAGATTGATGCTACAAAATTATATAAATGAGATAATATCAGCCAGCAATAAATGAGATTGAAGTAATGTAAAAGAATAATGAGATAGAAAGTGAAGGGGACAGACTCAGGGAAAGCTATCTAAGTAGTCATATCTGATTTGAACCTTAAGAAACAGCCAGTTAATTAAGGAGTAAGGTGAGGAGCATGCAGGCAAGGGAATAGCTAGTGCAAACTAGCTTAGCATGAGGACAAGAGGGAACGCTCATGTGTCTAATCACTTGCCTAAGGTTGTTACAGGAGCCTTGGGGTGTTGCTTTTCCAGCTGGAAACCTCTGTGGCCAGTGGTGCTTTTGCATGAGTTTTGCTCGGGCCCACTGGGACCACTCAGCCTGGCAGGCTGCACTTGGCTCACGCTACCAGCATGGATCCATCGCCTGCCAAGGGTGAGCGGAGTTGTCAGGGGTGTGTGAGCGAGCAAGTGAGGGGTCCAGCCACTGCACACAGTCAGGCACACCAGCTGCAGCAGGGCAGATAGCTCCAGGCACCAGCACAGGTGCTGGCTCCCTGTGAGGCTGCAGCTGGAACAGGTGTACTACAAGCAGCTTCCATGGCTGACACCAGGGAATGCTGTGGCGCCTGGAAGCTTGGAGATGCCAGGAATCACAGAGGCCCAAAGAGGGTATTACAGTCCTGGCTCAGGGAGCTCCTAGGTCTGGGCTCCCCGAAGGACTGCAGCTCTTCTTTCCTTCTCTCTTCTCGGCATCTGCAATGTGGCGAGAAAGGGGTGCGTTTCAGCCCTGTATGTGTTACAGCCCTTTTAGCCCTGCCATTCGACGGGTCCCGAGTTCTTGTTCTGCACCCAGGAAGAATGAGGTATGTGGACAAGTGGAGGGTGAGCAAGGCGGAGAGGAGATTTATTGAGTGATAGAACAGCTCAGGGGCGACCCTGGGATGGATAGCTCCTCTTTGCAGCCAGAATGTCCCAGTGAGTGTTCAGCTCGCAGCAGAGAGCAGACGCTGGGGTGGGTAGCTCCTCTCCATAGCTGGTCGTCCCATCATCCTTTTAGCTCTCAGCAGAGAGGAGACCCTGGAGTGTGTGGTTCCTCTCTGCTGGTCTTCAGGTTGAGTGCTCAAGTCTGGCTAGGTCTGGAATTTTCATTTTTATAGGCTTCAGAGGAAAGGAGGTACATGGTGATTGGTCCATGGGCGGCCATGGGCAGGCCCAGAAAAAGCACCACAAGTTCCCACTCTGGTCCACGGAACTGGCAGTCCGGCCCCCAGGTTTTAGGCCCTGTCCAGCTTGAAGGTGGGGCTTCACTAGGGACGCGCCCCCTTTTACCCAGGAGCCTGTCTGCCTCTTACCACTGTTCCGTACAGCCCAGGCTGTTCATGCCCAGGGGCACCTGCAGGCCAGCTCTGAGCTGCCCCCACTCACTCAGTCTCCCTCCCATGCTCCTTGGTGGCTAAATTCCGGAGGGGGCTGAGGCGGCAGGAGGCTGCCATGTCAGCACGGCCCCGGGTGTGCGCACACCTGGCCAGGCTGCAACAGCACCCAGGAGCCCCGCCCTCACTCTGAGATTAGAGCGAGTGCCAGGGAGTGGGGGGAGAGACCAGACAGGGGTAGCAGACACGTCCAAGCCTGCGGGGCCAGGGAAAGCCTTCCCAGGACCGCAAGTCTGCAGAGATACCCAGGTCTGCAGCCATGACTTGGGTGCCTGCTCCCAGCCCCAAAGAGCACAGAGAGGCCCGGGTCTGCAGGCATGACTTGGGTGGCTGCAGCTGTGCTTGGGAGGGTGGGGAACCTGCCTGTTCCCGGCTCCCACTGGCTCCATAGAGCATGCAGCCAAGCCATGCCTCCCCCACTGCAGCCAGCATCTTGGCAGCAGCTGCTCCAGGCAGGCCGCTGCTTCCATCAAGGTCACATATTGAAGCGGTGCTGGAGCCAAGGTTTGATTCCAGGTAACCTCCTCCTAAAGCCTACTTTCTCAAAAACTATAATTTGGGAAATAAAGGAACAGAACTGAAGAAGCCAGAATGTTAAACTTATTTACACTAAAAAGGGCAGAAGAAATGCCTGCATCCATAAAAGAAGTGGAGGGAGAAAGGAAGAGAAAAGGCCAGAAAGGAATGAGTGTTTTGCAGAAAGATCTTCGGGGAGTCCAGAGTACTTGAGATAATATTTGGGATAGCTGTTGTGCTGGGATGAACAAACTTGGGGAATTTGGATATTCAGAGCACTGTGGTCAAGACAGTAGACAAGAAAAATGCAGTTTCTGACCCCAAAGAGCTTATAATTAAGTGGGGGAAGATGGGCATTAAGTTGAGAAGCAACAAACCTATGTCTGACTGCAAATGTGACGTGGACACTGTGCAATGTGTTATTGGACTGCATTGTAAATAGATCCAATCCTGCCTCATTGGGGTGTTCAGGGGAGGATTCCCTGAGGAAGTAGCATTTCACTGCTGAGAATATACAAAACAGATGAGAAGAGTGAAAGCTGAGGTTCACAAGTTTGATGATTTACCTGTGGCCTGTAGCTTGCCAATGACCTAGTCAGGATTTGAACCCGGCTTTGAAAGCTGACCTCCAGGTCCTGTGCTCTTTCTTTGAACCACAGTGATGGGAACTGTCTCTGGTCACATACAGACATGAACGCAAACATGCACATACCTGCACATACAGACACTCAAAAAGCTGTTGTTTGTTGCCTTGTTGGCCCAGGGGGTGCTTTCTACAGAGGAAGCAGTGATTGCTAATGACATTCTTGGTGCCTGTGATACTTAGATCACTTTATCAATCAAACGCAGCATTTGATGGCAGCCCTGCCACCTGTCTCTTTCCATCAGTGTCAGAGAGTACTTCACTGCAGGCCACAGGTGCCAGCTGTCAGCCTGAAACAAACTGGGGTCTGCCCCAGGATAAGAATGCTTAGGGAATCACTTGAGATTGAATTTTTCATCTGACAGCCCCTTCTGAGTTTGGGACTCAAAAAGGAAAAATAAACAAATTATAGATGAGTAAACAAACATGTGGCTGTTTATGAGGTGTCAGGCTGGCTGTTACTGGCGTTTCATTAATCACCCTGTCCTTTTCTTCTTTTCCATTGGCCTGGGTATCATGTACAGTGTATTGAAATATAGATGAAGTTAATAGGAATGTTCTTAATTGGGCTGTTTATCAAAGTGCTAATACTATGGCAATGGTTTTTCCCATAAGCTAGTAGCTGTTCCCCACTGTGAATGTTCTGACTTGAGAGTTTGAGAAGGAAGAGAAAGGATAAGGAAACTGAGCTAATAGTTTTTCATCCCCTGTGGCACCAGACAGTGTATTAAGTCCTTTACATGTCTATGCACCATGTCATTTAATCCTACCAGTATACCTGCGAAGTAGACATTATTAACCCCATTTCACAGATAAGACAACTGTTAAACTGAGAGTTTAAGTAATTTGTCCATGAAACCAACTAATTAATAGGAGTCAAAGTTGGGATTTAAACATCAAATCCTGTATTTTCTTTCCTTTATCATCCTTGTCATCAGCATTACCATTATCACCTATGTGAAGCTGCACTAATAGCCAACCATTGTCAACATGCTGTAGCATATAAGAGACAATAGCAGAGAGTCAATTGGCAGTTACCAGGGACTGGAGGGTTTGGTGACATGTTGGTCAAAAGATAAAGAATTCCAGTTAGGAGGAAAATGTTCAAGAGATTTATGCATCTATAAGCATGGCAACTATAATAAATAACAATGGATTGTATTCTTGAAAATTGCTAAGAGAATAGGTTTTAAGTGTTCTCAAAACAAACAAATGATAAGTATGTGAGGTAATGACTATGTTAATCAGCTCCATGGTGCCATTCCACTATGTGTACATATTTCAAAATATCATGTTGTACACACTAAATATATATAATTTTTATTTCTCAACTAAAAATTAATTTAGGCCAAGCACAGTGGCTCACGCCTGTAATCCCAGCACTTTGGGAGGCTGAGGTGGGTGGATCACCAAAGGTCAGGAGTTCGAGACAAGCCTGACCGATATGGTGAAACCTCATCTCTACTAAAAAAAATACAAAAATTAGCCAGGTGTGGTGACATGTGCCTGTAGTCCCAGCTACCCAGGAAGGCTGAGACAGGAGAATTGCTTGAACCTGGGAGGCAGAGGTTGCAGTGAGTTGAGATTATGCCACTGCACTCCAGCCTGGGTGACAGAGAGAGACTCTCTCTCAAAAAAAAAAAAAAATAATAATAATGAAAAAAATCTCATGCCCTGCAAATCAAAAAGAATTAAAAAACAATTTAAATTTCTATCATGGGCCTTGACACTTGGCTAAAAAGGACTAAAATGCATGCTGTATACTAATCTATCTGAAGAGACTCTTATTACATTTATCTCCAAGTCTGCTCATATCCAAATGTCTCTTTTTTTTTTTTTTTGACGGAGTCTCGCTCTGTCACCCAGGCTGGAGTGCAATGGTAAGATCTCAGCTCAATGCAACCTCCTCCTCCTGGGTTCAAGAGATTGTCCCACCTCAGCCTCCTAAGTAGCTGGGATTACAGGCACCCATCATCATGCCCGGCTAATTTTTGTATTTTTGTAGAGATGAGGTTTCACCATGTTGGTCAGGCTGGTCTTGAACTCCTGACCTGACCTCAGGTGATCCACCTGCCTCAGCTTTTCATGTGTTGGGATTATAGGCGTGAGCCATCACACCTAGCCAAAATGTCTCATCTTAAGTTCTCTAGATTCCCCAAAAATCTTTCTTCAAAGCTCATTATTATCAGGGCTTTTCCTTTCTTTTCTCACTCCTCTTAATGTACAGATCCAGGTTTTTCTCCCTCAAGTATCCTATGGCTTCTTTTAGCGTAAACCAGTGTAACCTTTATGCTTTTCCAGCTCTGTTTCTTTACCTTCTAAATTATGGTTGTTTGGATAGCAGACCTTTAGTAACAGATTTCCTGGATTCAAACTTTGGCTCCAACATATTCTAGATGTGTGAGCCTGGGCAAGTTATTTGACCAACCTGAGCCTCAGAATTCTCTTTGGTAAAGAAGATATAATAAAGTCTGCATCATTTGGGCTGATTTGAAGATTAAATAAATTAATACACATAAAACCTAATATAGTAAGTACTAAAAACATTAACGGCTGGGCTTGGTGGCTCATGCCTATAATCCCAGCACTTTGGGAGGCTGAGGTGGGTGGGTCACAAGTCAGGAGTTTGAGACCAGCCTGGCCAATATGGTGAAACCCCGTCTCTACTAAAAATTCAAAAAAATTAGCCAGGTGTGGTGGCACATGCCTGTAATCCTAACTATTCGGGAGGCTGAGGCAGGAGAATTGCTTGAACTCAGAAGGCAGAGGTTGCAGTGAGCCAAGATCGTGCCACTGCACTCCAGCCTGGGTGACAAAGCAAGAATCCGTCTCAAAACAAACAAACAACAACAACAACAACAACAAAAAAAACATTAACTAGTGTTATTATAATTGTTATTATCCTGATCATTTCATGAGGAGTGTCTTAGTCTATTTTGTGTTGTTATAGCTGAATACCAGAGACTGGTAATGTATGAAGAAGAGACATTTTTTTTTTGGCTCGCAATTCTGGAGGCTGAGAAGTCCAAGATTAAGAAACTGCAGCTGATGAAGGCCTTTGGGTGGCATCATCCCATGTCAGAAGGCAGAAGGGCAAAAGAGTACCAGAAAGCAGGAGAACAAGAGAGAGCCGAACTGACTTTTATAACAAACCCACTCTCGAGATAACTAACATACTCCCGTGATAATGACGTTAATCAATTCATAAGGGCACAGCCCTCATAACCTAACCACATCTTATTATGCCTGATCTCCCACACTGTTATATTGGAGATTAAGTTTCCAATGCATGAACTTTTGAAGATACATTTAAACTATAGCAAGGAGCCACATACAGGAACCCAGTAAGTAGGCACATTTTCCTTGCAAGGTAAAGGGACAGGAAACTATGGATAGTAATTTTGTGGGAACTTCTGTCACAGTTATAATTATATTGCTATTAACAATCACTGATATTATTTAAATAATTATATTGCTATTAATAATATTGATATTAAATAATTATATTGCTATTAATAACCATTGATATTATTATTTAAATAATTATATTGCTGTTAATAATCAATATTATTTAAATAACTATAATTACATTGCCATTCATAATTATTGATAATTAAAAATTTAATTACATTACTATAGTACTAAGGTTTTTCTGAATGCCTCTATGTTCAATACCTCTATGCTCAATGTCTCATACATTCAATGCCTCTATGTTCAAAGTCTCATACATTACTTATCATTACCTATATTATCTCATTTAATCCTTATAATAATTAATTGATGAAAAAAGTCAAGCTATACTATAGGAGGTGAAGTAGCTTTTCTTTAAGACAATGTTTCACAATCTATTTCATATTGTAGCATACTCAGAAAATGAAAATGTATTTGTTGTACACTGGGATAAAATGTAGCAGAAGTAAAAGGCCTCCTAGTGCAGAGAAGGTCACCCATTATTAGCACAATGGCAAAAAATGCTCAGATCTAATGGAGAGTTAGGGGAGGATACTCAAGTCTGTCTGATGTCAAAGTCCATGTTCCTGGTGGGTAACTCCTATTGGAGCAGCCTTCCCACAGATAGCAATGACAAATTCTGCATAATATATTATATATGTAATATAGTATTACACATATACATGAACAGACATGAACTATGTGAAGATAATGGAGACTGGACAAAAGCAAACAAATTGGAGGAGAGTCAATACTTGAAAGAGGGGTATGGCAGTGGATAAGTTTTGTTTTTATAGCATTTATCTATCATCTATGTATCTATGTATGTACGCATGTATGTATGTATGTATGTATGTATGTATGTATGTATGTATCTATCTATCTATCTATCTATCTATCTATTGTCTGCCTACCTACCTAATCAATCACGTGGGCTAAAACCCTCAATCTTTCTGGCATGAGGAATTTGAAAACAGAATTTGGGGCAACTTGAGAAGTTGAAAAGTAGGAGAGAGAGAATTCTAGAAAGGACAGCACAGTAGTGGAAGCCCCAATTCTTCATATAAACTCTTGTCAAATCTCTGGTTGACCCCTAAACTATGCAAGTATGAAGGCTAAAATAATTGAACAGAGATTTCAGTGGCTGCCCAATGCAATGGAGGCAGAATTTGGAGTTTCAATAAAGTCAAGTGTTGGCTAAAATAAACAAATAACAATGACAGAAACAGATTTCAGAGGAACAGAACACAGATAGAAACTATGATGTACAATATGCAGGATACCTATCAAAATTCCTAGACACAGACATATGAACAAATAGGAAAATGTGAAGATACTTAAGGCAATAAACCAAGGCAACCCCAAGATAATCCAAATGTTAGAATTAGCAGCAAGGATTTTAAAACAGGTGTTATAATTATGTTCAACCATGTAGAGTACAATGTGTTCATAATGAGTCATCATAGTCTATGTTCTTCATGAACATTCCATAATGCCTCCTAGACTTTTGTTAGTGTGTTTTCCACATAACAGATTTAAAAAGTGAAGGACAGAAAAGTGTCTTGCCTAAATTATTTGTACAGCTATGATAGAGTTGAGGACAAAGTCCAGGTAATCTTATTCCCTAAGTAGATTTTCCATAGAGGTTAGGAGCTCAGATGCCATAGTATATCTGTCTTGGTTTGAATCACTTACTAGCTATATTAATATATTTAATTAATCTAAGCCACCTTTTCCTTAAATAAATTACTATGAGAACTACACATGCTATTGCATATAAAATGCTTGACAAAAGTGTTTGACACATAGTCCCCAATAACATTTTTGTTACAATCACTGTTGTCATCATCATTATCATGCCATCCTATATTCATATGTGGAATTCTGCTTTATTGGTGAAATTTAATTACTACATTAATTAGTGAAAAGGGAAGAATCTACCCTGGGAGTCTGTTTCTTCATGTATTTATTTAAAATTTAGTAAGCACCTACTTCGTACAAGAAACTGTGCTTGATCTAGGAGAGACATAGGCATATATAAGACATGATGGTTGTTATCAATGGACTGTAATAACTAATTTTAAAAATTAAATAATTTGCATAGAAGGGAAACCAATAAACTCCAGAACTATATTTTTCTGATTTTTCATAGTTGGTATAGATGAGATGATTAAAGTTTCACAGGTGTAATAATCCCCTTAATGTCAGTAACAAATAGTCATCCAGTTCCTCTTTGGGGGTTGCTCAACCCTACAGGAAGTGGAAGCAAATTATAGAGCCACTCCTCTGAAAACATGTACACACCAACACAATTTTGAACTCAAATGTAGGGATTTACTGACTCTCAAACTCTATTTACAGACTCTCCATTGCAGACACCTCTACTTTTAATAATGCAAAACTGGCTCCTTCAAAGTTACCCACTTTACTGTAAAGCAGCCCCTTTATTGTCGAATAGCTCAAAGGTGAGAAAAAACTTCCTCAGAGCTGAAATTTGCATCTTTGAACCTTCCACCTGTTCAGTGGTCCTCCTTCTGTCCTGCAGAGGGCAGCCTGCACCATTCTGCATGACCACAGCCCTGCAAGTATTTGAAGATAGTTTGTTCTGCCTTGGCTGTCTCTGGGCTGAATGTCTCCATTTCTTTCTGTGGTTATTCATTTCTCATGGGATGCAGACCATTTATCAGCCTGATTGCCTTCCTCTAATTGTGCACTAGCTCTGTGAGTTGTTTCCTTTAGTCACACAGTAATATATACTTACTGTAAATTAAGATCAAACCAAAACCCAAACAAAGGAAAAATTATAGGGTTTTGTATGGGGGGATAAAAGTAAATGTGTATATATGTATTACTTAGGCAAATCACATTCTTATGAACGATGATTGTTAAAGGTTTGCAGATGCCATTCCAGACAATGACTAGGCATGTGCTGTGCATTTATCTGTATACACACGTGTTTTTTTCCTACTCAAATTGCACTGTTCTCTAGCTTTTAAAAGCTTAATCTATGATAGACATTGTTTTACCTTAAGCTATAGATTACCTCGTTGGGTCACATGGCATCAAAAGTATAGAGTTGAGAACAGAACACAACATTTTAATTATTTAACTTAGAATCAGCGCTGTTGTTACAGTCATAATAGTTTTATTTGTTCAACAAATATGTATTGAAGACATACTGTGTTAAGTGCTGCGATAAGAACATACACTGTGAAGATATGAACCTTACCCTCAAGAAACTCATTATCTAGTGGCAAAGACAGATAATCTGACAAAAAATGTGGTAAGTTTATGATTGCACTGAATTTGTTTCCAACTTCGGGTCATATTTTCTTCTCCTTGTCTTTGTAAACTAACCTTTAGCATATCTTTTTGAAGTTAGGCTAATCTTTAAATACATGATCTTTTGTCTTCCCAAATACATGCCTTTGAAGATGTAAGAGCCATGCAAAAAAAAATAATAATAATAAGGGAGTGTAAATCTCACCATATAGATGGTGGCCCAAGTGAACAAACACATACCGAGAGTTTTTCTAGATACCAGTGGTTTTATTTGTTTCTGATTTTAGGTACCAAAAATAAACCACATCAACAAATAGATAGAAGTTAAGTTTACAGATAAATTTCCACTTGTTTTCAAGAAGAATTAATATCAGTTAGAACTGTCTACAAATGAAAATTTTGAGAACCAATGAGGTCTGTGTTATTGGATACATTCAAGCAGAGTTTGTAAAACCATGTTAATACTGCCAAATGAACTAACTGGCTTGGAGTAGACATTCAGTAAATATTTGTAGAAGGGATGGAAGGAGAGAAGGGAGAAGACAAAGGACAAGAGGCAATAGGGAAGGGAGAGAGAACTTTTAGTCATTCATTCAAAAATATTTATTGAACATCAACTCTGTGCCTGGCTCTGTGTTAGTTACTGGGAAAACAGTGGTAAGAACAATAGAGATGATCCCTTCCACTCATAGGATTTACAGTGTAATGGGGAAGACAAAGACCAAGTAAAAACATCACACCAACATGCAACTACAAATGATGGTAGGTTCTGGAAGGCAAAAGCCTGAGGAGCTGTGAAAGCATTTGCAGAGGACGGAACTAGCCTGAGGCTTCAGGGAAGACTTCTCTCATGATTTAAGTCTTCTGCTGAGCCAGCAAGTGGAGTGTCCAAGCATAAGTGCAGATTGTGTGTCCGGAGGGTGGTGCCAGGGACCCTCAAGGAATACGAGAAAGACCAGTGTTCCTGAAGCCCAGAAGAGGAGGTGGATGGCGAGATAAGATGGGGCTGGAGAAGCGGCCAGGGACCAGCTCAGGTAGAGCCTTGAAGACCACAGTGAGGAAGTTTTCACCCTGAGGATTTAAAGGCAGGAGCGACTTGTTGTGATTTGCTTTTTAAAATATCACTGTGGCTGCTTTGTAGAGAGTCACCTGGAAGGGTGGATGTGAGGGAACCAGTTCAAGTGGGACAGTACAGTTCAGATGTGACAGGGTGGGAGCATGAAGGGAGGTGGATGGATCGGAGAGATATACGAGGTAAAATGGGCAGAGCATTGTGATGAAACATGGATAGGAAACTGAGGGTACATGCAGTTGGAAGGTGTCAAGCGTGACTCTTACAAATATTCACATTCCACTGGGTGGCTGGTGGTGGTCACTGGGGTAAGAAATGCTGGATTGCAAACAGCGGGTCTGTGGAAGAGAACTCATGATTCCTCTTAGAAGCATGTTGATTTTTAGGCACTTTGAGTCATAGGCAATGTGTTAGGTGTTGTGCATATTTTATTTCATTTAATTATCATAACCACCTTGCAAGTTAGATAACATTTTTCTCATATTATAGTTGAGGATATTGAGGTACATAGAAATGAAATTAATGGCCCAAAGTAATATAGCTAGTTAGGGCAGAGACTGAATTTGAAACCAGATCTAGCTGATTTCCCAAGTCTTTTCTGTTTGTACTATATTTTTCTTGATGAGAGTTTAATTAAATGTTTGCCAAGTGGTTATATGGTTGATAAATGTGAAGACCATTTTCCAAATGGTATTTTGAATCATTAAAAAAAAATTAATGCAAATAGGGTTGTGCTGTCCCCAATCTCCTTCTCAATCTTCCTAGAGATTTAAATAGTCAGAGATTGATACTCCCATCTTAATCAAAGTAAGTTTTCATGCCAAAAACAACACAGTTTCAGTAGTTCAAAAGTTACTGTTTATGTAACTATAATAAAATAATCTTGTGAAATTCCTCAGCCACTAAACTAGTTATAGCATATCTCCAAAATGTGTGGCTGACCAAACCAGCTGGATCACTGAGACAGAACTGTATATGATTTTCCTCCTTTGGCCAGTAGCTCTGGGAAACCGAATGTAGCCATCACATAGGGTGATGGCACATTATAACAATGATGAGGTTGTATGGACTCTGAGAATATTGAACATTTTAAGGGCAGTCCAGCAAAGCCCCTTATTTTTATGGACAAGGGTCATAGAACCTGGCAGGAAAGATCACAAGAGCAGCATAGGAATGGTAATAGATTTGGGCCAGGAACCCAGGTTTCCAGTCTGTGACTCTTCCTATTCTGCCAGCAAACTTCTGTCATTCACAGATAGAGAGATGGGGAGGGAGATATGTGGAAGCATGGATGGACATTCAAGGAAAGATAGATGGGCAAATGTCTTCCCTTTAGCTACTATGGCATTGATGCTTTATTTGTATTTTTTTCACTTAATTCTTGCAACAGTCTAGTGATATAGTTATTATTAGCCCCGCTTAGCAGATAAGGAAATTGACGCTCACATTGTTAGCTTGGTATTATCATAAATACTCTTGTGTGTGTGTGTGTGTGTGTGTGTGTGTGTGTGTGTGTGTGTGTAATGTTTTGGTTTTTTTTTTATTATTAAGATCTTGGAAATTGCATAACAGTTATGTTAATGTCTATACAGTTTTCCTAAAAAAAGATGGAACTTTTTTGGTGAAGAATGAGATTACAGAGGAAACCTTAATAACTTTCCTCAAAGTCTTAGAAATACCATGGTTTTTGGACCCAGACCTGGATAAGAATAAGGCCCATTCACCCACTCATTTCTGATCTCGAGCAGGTTACTTGACTTCTCCCAGGCTCAGTTTCTTTGTCTGTAAAATGGGTATTAGAGTATCCATCTGCCAGAGGGAGAGAAACATCCTAAAGAAGTACTTTTGAAAACGATTGCAATCAAGGTAAGTTAAAGAACAAGCATGGCAGAGATGAAGGTGGGACCCATATTCAACTCTCTGTCTTCTAACTGCAGCAGGTACATGTTTGTCCTGAGCAGAGAGAGCTCCTGTAGTCACTCTGATTTAGTGACTCAGCAGAAGAGATACTGGAGAGAGAGAGATTGAGAGTTCAGAGTTTACAAGCTTATAAGCTCTATGAACTTGCGTAAGACACAAGATCTCTCTAAGCCTCAAGTTTTTCATCTATAAAAGTGAAAAAAAAAGGACTTGCTTCATAGGGTGATTATAAAGATTTCATCATATGTTTAAAGTTCTAGCCTGGCACGGTGGCTCACTCCTGTAATCCCAGCACTTTGGGAGGCCAAGGCAGGCAGATCACCTGAGGTCAGGAGTTCAAGACTGGGTGACCAACATGGTGAAACCCTGTTTCTACTAAAAATACAAAAAAATAGCCAGTTGTGGTGGTGCATGCCTGTAGTCCCAGCTACTTGGAAGGCTGAGGCAGGAGCATTTCTTGAAATCTGGAGGCAGAGGTTGCAGTGAGCTGAGGTGGTGCCACCGCACTCCAGCCTGGGCGACAGGGTGACATTCTGTCTCAATACTGCTACTACTAATAATAATAATAATAAATAAAGTTCTTAGTGTAGTGCCTTACTCCCAGTAGGTACTCAACATATACATTTTGCTTTTTGGGTGGCTGGCCAAGTCGGAAGCAGGTATTTGTGAAAAATCCACATCTCCTGTTGCCCATGTTTATTGTTATTAATATGGATTCAAATTTCTTGCTTAACAGATTTATTCATCCAAATTATACTGATTTTGTTTGCATCATTCAGGCAAAAGCAAACTCTAATTGGCTTCCCTATAGCATAGCCCAGAAAAATCAAACCAGCTTGGTGCTCTCTTCTACAATAAGCGGCAATCCTTCTGTAAGTCATCTCATTAGCTCCCCTGTGATATTTATGAAGCCTGGGATTTGCTAATGATCTTAAATGGGGTTAGAATCTTTAGTGTGTGTTGAAGAAGGGAGTAGTGGAGAGAATCAGAAGACCTTAAGAGACCTTAAATGCAAATCTTTACTGAACTATTTTTTGTTTATCAGTTACCCAGTGGGGTGTCTGACAAATACAGTATGGGGTCTTATTCCCTATCATCTGTGTGATGGGGTACCATCTGGGCTCAGAGAAAAAGACATAGTCTATAAGATTTGGCTGAACTAATTAGTCAATGAATAAATTATCAAAACCGACAAATGCAGTTCAAACCAGAAGTGACCACGAGTTTTAAAATTTTTATCAGCTCAGCTGAGTCTCTGCAAAAAAAATTCATTTCTAAAGAAATGCATACCACAGGACTGGGCACATGTCCCTTTTCTCCATCAAAGAAACAAAACACTCCTTCTTCTCTTCCTAAATACTGATTGCTGCATTGAAATGAAAAGCAAGATACAGAAAGACATCTAAGTTTCCTAAGCTAAATGGGGGGCACATTAGGTCAATTTAAACCAATATCCCTTTTCTAATGTGTTCTTCCAACAGATGCCTTTGTAAACTCTCCAAGGCACAGATCTGAGTAAATTTCCTGCTCAGAAAACATAGATGGTTTTCTTTTATTAATATACATAGCCTAGTGTCAAATGACCTTCATAATCAATCATAAGAAAGATGGCTAGTCCTAATTGAGTGCTGTGTATCAGATACTTTGCTCAATGTTTTCATGATTAAATTATTTAATTCTTGGAACAAAACTGTGAGTTAGGCATTATAGTGTTCCCTGTTCTACCTATGAGACAACGAGGTTTCGTGAGATTAAGTAATTTGTTCGATGTTATGTAGCTAGTATATGTTGGAGTAAGAAGTTGAATCTAGAAATTTTGTGTTCACTCTATCTCAGAGGTCAGCGATAGATTTTACACGTCTAAATAATTGGAAAAGTCAAATTGAGAGCAATATTTTATGGTTTGTAGAAATTACATGAAATTCATATTTCAGTGTCCATCAGTGCAGTTTTATTGGAACATGGCCACACTTACTTGTTTTCGTATTGTCTATGGCTGATTCTGTGTTACAGTGGCATAGCTGAGTAGTTGTGACAGAAATCACCTGGCCCGCAAAGCTGAAAATATTTACAGTCTGGCCCTTGACAGAAAAAGTTTGGGGATTACTGATAGATCATAACCCATGTATAATACCACCTCCTATCATGTTACAGCCTTTCTAATTTGGAAGCATGTCCACATACCTTTCTTTACATCCTTCCTTCTTCCCATGCATGCGCCTGGAATAAAATGTAATGGCAACTCAACTTGTGGAATGTCTCATGCTTTCTAAACCCAGGTCTGATATCATTCAGTTTAGTTTTGAAAATTTTTATTGCAAGCAATAGAAAACTTGACTCAAATTGGATGTTTGCAAAAAGAGAATCTATTAGCTTGTGTAAGAAACATCTACGAGTTTATCTCAGTTAAGACACAGCTTCATCCAGGACATAAACAATATTATCAGAACCTGTGTCTCTACTCCGTTCTTTGAATTAATCCAGTTCTCAATGTCTGTATAATTTATGCTCCCCCTACCTGCTTTGTCTAGTGTTTCTCTCCAGACCTTCTGCTTCATACCACCTAGCCTAGAAATAGTCAAGAGAGTCTCTGTCTTGCCTTCACAAAAAGACTGAGTCTCACAATAATTGAACTGTCTTAGGTCCTATGTCCTGATGTCCTCAACCTAATGTCTACGGCGAGGAGAAGGAATTACACTGATTGGCTCAGAAGCGGTTAAACCCGTCCCTGAACTTTCACTATGGATAAAGAGATGGGGTTCCCTGATTAGTTTAAATCCATTAATATCCACCCCTAAAGTTAGGGGTTGGATGAGCACCATACCAATCAAATGGATGGGAAATTTCAGATATGATTAAGAAGGAGGCATGTGAGAATTGTTGCTAGGAAGGACACAACAAATGTCTGTACATCTCTCTTCCCCAAAGACTTCCAGGCCCCTGTATACCTGAGCTTGCTCCTGGCAGAATTTATCTTCCTTTATTTTGTACTCCCCCAGCCTTTCCCACTTGATGACTTGAATTATGCCAAGCTGTATATATTCCCTCTCTCAACAACTGCTACCACTTGATACTCTTCAAATAGTTGGAGTCTGTTATAATTATTGATTCCTGTGCTGAAGGCAGGAAACCCTCTCACCTAAAAATCCTCCTTTAAAGAATCCTTACCTGGTTTTAAAAGCATGTTTTGTTGACCCTTTTAGGAATTGCATGTGAGCTGGGAGGCTCCTTTAATGTACTGCTCACTTCTCCCAAACACAGTCTTTGAACTTCATAGGATGGTCAGGGCCAGGAGCAGAGTTGAGGACAGTGAGAGGGTCAGAGACACAGGAGAAATCAGGAACATCTCTTTCACACTCCAAACACAAGATGCGGATTTCACATTTTAGCATGATGAATTTGACACAGCTGTGTCAAATGCTGCACCATAAATTTTTTCTCACATCAAAGTAGCAAGATCAAAATATCTGCCATATTCACTGAAAGACATATACAGGATCATTATAGCTGCACTCTTCCTGATAGCCCACAGCTGGAAATATCACAGGCAACCATCAAGACTGAGTGGACAAATCATGGCACATTCACATAATGGAACTCTGTAAATCCATGAGAAGCGACAATATGTAACTAGACCCAATGATGTGGTTAAATCTCAAAAATATGATGTTGGCCCAAAGAATTCAGACAGTAGAATGTATTATGTGATTTCATTTATATAAAATAAAAAACTACCCTGTGATGCTAAGAGTCAAGAAAGTGGTTATCCTAAAAGGGTAGGAAGGAAACTTTTGGATGCAGTTAATGTTATTTTTTGTGCATGCCTAATTATTGGTCACATAGGTGTGCTCATGTGAAAATTCATCAAGATGTAAATTTATAATATGTGCACTTTTCTGTATGTATATTTTGATATAATATTGAAATGGAAAAAAAAATAAAAGTGGAGATAGGCTATGTCAAATGCCTAACTGTGCTCTTGCTTTTCTCCATATCTCTGAGGTGGGGTGGTGCTCTGAACTGAATGATACATTTGGGTTAGGGTCTGACCTGCCTGGATATAGCATGGATTGGGATCCTTTCTATAGAGGGAATAGAATGAGGTCTTCAGCTTACACAAGGCACAGGCCTTAGTTGAGCTAACCAGCAATGGTTAATGTACTAATGAACCCATATGTCCTCTGACCACAAATCAGAACAGTCTGTGACTTGATCTTTGACTGGATTCTCAGCCTCACCCTGGTGCTGCTACTTTAGCTGCCAGAGGTTCTTTCACAGGATGAAAGGGCTTATCTAACATCCTAAAGTTAATCTTTTCTTGTCTCCTTGATGGTAAAGAAAGAATAAACAGGTGTTCATTGTGTACCACTCTTTCTTCTTTGGGCTAATTGCCTCTGATCTTGGGGTGTATAGATTCATAAAATTTGTGCTGGAGTTTCATCTTTCAAAGAGAAAGACACAAGTAATTGGGTAGCAGTGCTTCTGAGAGTTTTCAAAAACCCCAAGGAGGAAGATGCTGACTTATATTGTTAAGGTCACTTTCATTCCCTTATTGTGAGTACTACTGACATGCATTATACTGCGTCAAAGTGGATGTTTTCCTGCTCCTGAGGAATTTTTTTTTTAATGTGACTGAATTTGCCTATTAATGCTTTATGTTAGTTGGCCTTTAGGTGTGGTGTTCCTATTCCTGTCTTTGAACAGGTCATTTCCTCCTAGCTCTTCCTCATTTTCTTGGTCACATTATAAATGTCCTCCACTTGTCAATGTCTGCCTTGGTCTTGCTGGTCCAAAAGACGTACCCTGTTTGAAAATGTGGTTGCTGTGATGCTGAAAACAGTCATGGGGAGGGCTGCTTGCATTCTGGTGTTTGGTATTTCACTTCTGTTTGCATCCTGGCGCTGTAATGAAATATCATGTCGAGTTCCCATAGGGCTGATAAGCCACCGTCAGCCCCTAAAGATAGCTCTGCCTGTGCATTACTGCTTTCCAAGAAAATCCCTGTCATTATGCAAAATGTTATGCACTTCCTTTCAAACCTAGTCATTTGCATTTTTTGCCTTTGAAAAGGCAAATTTGCTTTGAAAAGTGTAATGAAATGTGCCCAGATGAAAAATGGGCCCTGAGGATGGCTGGTGCCAGCATGGGGCTTTAATTAAATGATTAGATGGCAATTTGATATGACCAGCTTTTGAACTGCATCATGTTATCATTTAGCTTTGGGTGGGGAAATGCAGCTCGACCTTTAGAAACACTGAAAGATAATATGAACTTTGCTTTCAACCACCACAGAAATATGCACAGAAAGGCTTTTTTTAATTCTGTGTTCATTTTTCGCTGACCTCACTCGCCCAGTTATCAAGCCTCCTCATGCTTACTCTTCCTGAGCAAGCCATGTTCTTTCATGCTTCCATGATTTTAGCCGTCTGTTCCTTTTGCCTGGAGTTCCCTTTTTACTTCCTGCCTTTTTAGGGATCCTTATTGTTTCTTGAAAGCACAATTTACTTAATACCCTCCTCTGTTTATTGAAGTTCTTAATTTCCCTAGACTGGGAGCTAGTTGAGCTCTCCAATATCAAGAGACCTGCAAACTATAGCCTGTCTGTCTCCTGTTTTGGTAAGTAAAGTCTTACAGGAACATGATTGTACTCATTCATCTACACATTGTCTATCTCTGTTTCTGCTTTATTATGGCACAGTTGAATAGCTGCAACAGAAACCATGGCCTGCAAAGCCTGGAAAAGTTTGGGCAGATAAGCCGTTCATTCAATCAGTCATCACCTGCTGGTGCCTGCAAGCTCCATGAGGCCAGTAACTTTTGGTTTTACTCACCACTGACTCACTAGCATCAAACACAAGTCTGACACAAAGAAGCTACTTAGAAAGTACCAATTGTATATTGCAGTTGTGAGAATTCAGTGAGCTGATGGAGCTGTGATGTCTGTTAAGTGCTTTGTGCAAATTAGGCACTTAGTGAAAACTTGTTTGCTTTCAATTAAAGACCTCAGAGTTCCTTCCCTCCGACCTAGGCAACTAGGTCATCTTGTATTTCCTCCAACAAATTCATTTTCTTCGTGTCTGCCAGACTTAATATTAATTTTTCAGTTGTGCGTTAAAATATCCAATTTATCCTAAAGTTTAACCTAAAGATCTCTGCTCATTATTTTTACCTAATACCTACTGAGAATTTAATGTGTCCCACAGAGTGTGCTCAGAGCTTTACATCCGCTGCCTCACTGACTAGCTGGTGCCCCCATTCGGAGACAGATATTTTTATTATTTCGTAGCAGAAATGGAGGCATATTTAGGCTAAGAAAATAGACCAATTTCACAATTCCTGTCAAACTAAGACCAAAAATCTTGTCTATTGACTTCTAAAACTTGACTCTTCTCCATCATATGATCTAAAGACCTTCTGTACTGTTTTTCTATTTGTAAAAGAAAACAAAGCATTATTTCAAAGAGCGTTTGAAAGTATCCTTGTCTCATCAGTAATTATAGACAGGTTTCTGTGCAAGTTTCCCT
This sequence comes from Homo sapiens, assembly GCF_000001405.40. Lineage (NCBI taxonomy): Eukaryota > Metazoa > Chordata > Mammalia > Primates > Hominidae > Homo > Homo sapiens. The sequence continues at coordinate 155,954,261 of NC_000005.10, forward strand.
ATTGCTTCTTGAACTTTGACTCCTGAAGAAAAGGCACGCTTTTGCTTCTTAGGTCATAAATTCGCTTTCGACTGAATTAATTGCAGAAGTATGCACACTTCACACAAAGCAGCACATACACACGGAGTGTGCAGTAGCTAAACTGATGAGACATGAATCAATAAAAACAAAAATTAAATTAATACTGCAACAGCAACTTGAATCCATTTGATTAGCGATCTGGGCATGGGGTTAAAGCAATTCTTAGCACCCCATCTGTACAACAAGGATAAAAACTATCATTATGGGCAGCTTATGGGGTTCTTTTTTTTTTTTTTTTGGGTTAAATGACTAGAATATAAAACTTGCAAGGCATGGCTTTTTTGTCTGTTCTTTTGATAGAGGTAGCCCCAGGACCTAGAGTAGTGTCTTTACCAACTTTGTTCTATCAGTAAAGGTTTTCCAGAGAAAGAGAACTAACAGGATATGCTTTACCAGAGAAAGAGAACTAACAGGATGTATGTATATCCAGGAAGAGCCTTACTATGAAGAATTGGCTCATGCGATTATGCACAGTGACAGATTCCAAGATCTGCAGTCAGCAAGCTGCTGGTCTACGAGAGAGCTCATGTGTAGTTCCAGTATAAGTGCAAGTGCCTGAGAGCCAGAAGAGCCAATGGTGCAAGTTGCAGTCTGAAAGCAGACAGGCTCGAGACCCAAGCAGAGCCAGTGTTTTAGTTTGAGTCTGAAAACTGGCAAAGACCAGTGTCTTGCTCAAGCTGCCAGGAAGGAGGCGTTCCATCCTACTTGCAGGAGGGTCAGCCTTTTTGTTCCATTCAGATCTTCAATTGATTGGATGAGGCCTACTTGTGTCAGGGAGGGTAGTCTGCTTTTCTCAGTCTACTGATTCAGAAGTTAATCTTATCCAGGAATACCCTCACAGACACTCTCAGAAGAATGTTTGATCAAATGTCTAGGCACCATGTGGCCCGGTCAAATTGACACACAAAATTAACCATGACACACTCCGTAAGTATTTGATGATTTAGTAAGTAAATGAATTCAATAAATTTGAAGTATTTAGAATAGTGGCTGGACTAGAGTAAGTGCTAAATAAATATTATTATGAATTTTCCCAAAGCTATTTGAAGTATTCTGGAACTAGGGTTGGCTTATAGTTAATCATATACAACACAGCATGAAATAGTTCAGATTTGGGCATTTGACAGGAGCCTTTCAGTTCTAATGTTATCTATGCAAACACTTGATTGCAGGCTATATTGGAGACACTTTTATCTTTCTCATTTTTCTTTGTGAAAAATAATTACCTAACATATTATTGGAACTCTCATATGTGATGATAGTTGATGCCAAAATTGATTTAGAGTCAAGTATTTCTGTTGCGTGTTTGTGTGTGGGTTGTGTGGACACACACATGAGCATGTTGCCTGTATAGTTTATAGATCTGCCATTACTCTGATATACCAATACTTTGGTATTTGTGAGTCAAAATAGTTGTTAGAGTAACAGATTATGAACAGAAAAACAAAGATACGTCAACTAATAGTTGCCTCTTAATGATTCATTATTTACTTAGCCCTGTAAAGAAACTGAGGGCACGAGAAAAGAAAATTTAACATAGTCCCTACCCTCAAACAGCTTACTGAGTTAGCCCTAAAGTAAAACCGTAGGGACTTAAATGTAAAGTGTGTAAGATTGGCGATGAGCACAAATGTAATTCAAAGGAGAAGGAGTCAGTATTACTTGTAATAGGTGGAGGAGGCAGACATTGAAATAATTGCATTGCCACTCTAAAAATTTAGATTTCTTTTTTCAGTATCCCACTGAAATTGCTTTCTTGCTCTTCTTGTTTTTTTTTTTTTTTTCCCACCTCTCCCACCTGTCACAGCTTCCAAGTTCTCTCTGGTTCATCTGGGGTGGGCGTGCCTCTGGCTGAAGTATTCCTGCTCATGATTTAGACCCTTCCTGCTGTTTCTGGTAAATCACAGATATTACTAGCTTGCAAGAGGTGATTTTATTGACCTGGCAGCTGGCTTGTACAAAACTAGATTATTTTTGAAGTTAGGAGCATTTGTGACCAATGGAACACTGAGTTTTAAAAAATCAGAATAGATGTAATCAACTCTGAGGAGAAGAAATCAAAATTACAAATGCAGGGAGATTCTTCTCTGACGGATGATGGCTGCTCATACCTTGAGCTTGGGTAGATAATGTAGGCGCTGGCATTTATTTTCATCGTCCTGAGGATACTTACTCTATTAGTCTCATAGGGCTGCCATAACAAATTACCACAAACTTGGTGTTTTCAAGCAACACAAATTTATTCTTCCATAGTTCTGGAGGCCAGAAATCGAAAGTCAAGGCGTCAGCAGGGCCGTGCTCCCTTGGAAGGTTTTAGAGAATCCATCCTTGGCTCTTTCAGCTTGTGGTGGCACCAGGCATTCAACATCACTGCAGCCTCTACCTCCACCTTCACATGGCCTTCATTGTGTGTGTCTTCTCTTCTTTTTATAAGGACCTTTTTGTTGGACTCAGGGCCCCCCCCCCCGGTTAATCCAGGATGATCTAATCTCGAGATCCTTTACTTAGTTATGTCTGCAAAGATCCTTTTTCCCAATAAGGTCACATTTATAGGTACCGAGGGTTGGAACTGGATACATCTTTTTGGGGCTACAATTCAACCCACTTCACTTACCTTCCCTGCTTCTTGGTTCATTCAGACCCTGGGAAGGGCTGCAGTGTTGCTATCACAGTATGTATGGGGAAAATAGATCAATAAAGGTGACAGAGGGTGATAGGAGTGCAGAAGTGATGCGGTTTTGAATAAGGTGCTCAAGGAAGACTTCACTGAGAATGACATTTGATGAAGATCTGAAGGAGATGGAAAAGAGAGAGTCTTGCATGTGTCTGGGGAAGGAGCATTTTGGATGGAGGGAAGAGAAGTGGGGAAGTCTGCGTAGTGAAGGTTGTAATGCGCTGCTCAGATCCCCCTTCAGTGCTGAGGCTGCTGGGAGCCTGGGCAGGTGATGATGTTCAGCTGAATCCTTCTCTGGGAATTACTCTCACCTGAAGAGAGCTGCCCCCACCAAGGTCACACTCTCTCCTTAGTGGCAGCCAATATAGAATGACTAGTCCCTATGGGAGTATAAAGCCTGGCTCCCATTCCTCAAGGCAGGATTACAGTTCTGAAGGTCAGTCATCTAAAATGGGTTTCACTGGGCTAAAATCAAAGTGTCAGGAAGGCTCCATTTCTTTCAGAGGCTCTAGGGGAGAATCTATATCCTCTTTGTTTCAGCTTCTAATGTCTACTCTCAGGTTTTGGCTCATGGCCCTCTTCTTTCATCTTCAAAGACAGCAACAAGTGGGCCAAGTCCTCTTCAGATTGTATCACTCTGACCTGACCCTTCTGCCACCATCTTGCACACCTAAGGACCCTTGTGATTACATTGGGCCCATGTAGATAAACCAGCCTTATTTTAAGGTCAACTGAACAGCAGCCTTAATTCCATCTGCTCCCTTAGTTCTCCTTTGCTATGCATATAATACAACCTACTCACAGGTTCTGCAGGTTAGGACATGGACATCTTTGGGAGGCGAATATTCTGCCTACTACAGATGGAAACATGAGTACGTCATTCACAGTAACATACAAGGCAGAGTGGGCACAGGTGCAGAGTTGTAGGTAGGTAGTCCTGGGAACTTGTGGAAGTTCTTTTCTGATTACTCGGTAAGGGAAGAAGGAAAGTCAACAGCTGGGAGGTGCCAAGGGCTTGAAAAGAGAGACAACGTTATGAATGTCCTCTGAGAGAATAAGGGATGAGTTTACCATGGCAATATAACAGCATTGCTCAGCAGTACTCAAGGCTGTCATCTGTCCTGCTTACCCCAGGATTGCTGTGAGGGTTGCTATGGATGATGCTTATAAAAGTAGTTTTTAAACTGTAAAGCACTGTATTAATGAAAGTTAGTTGACTTTCATTGATTGGGTACCTTGTGATGGTTTCTGTTCTGTGTGGTTTAGGTATATGAACTAAACTAATTCTCAGAGCAAGACTAGGAGGTGGATATCATTATTCTTATCTCCACTGGACAGATGAAGAAATTGAGGCCTAAAGACATGAAATGCCCAAGGTTCCTCAGCTAGGCATTGGCAGGCTGGGATGTAAACCCAGTTAATCTGAACTGAGAGATTATACTCTTTATCACCAATCTATTCTGCTGTCTACTTCATGTGTTCACTTCTCAACCAGATTTTGTGTTCCATGAGGAGTGAAACCAGTGTCTTCTACTTAAAAGAAAAAGAACATCACTCATTGCACCTAATATAGACAGAGAGTGAGCATCCATTGAGCAAATGTAAGCATGCTAACAATTAAAAAATAGATAAATCTTGGGGTCAGAACAGTATTTGAGTCCTAGTTTAACCATTTAACTAGAAATATTGTGACATTTAGAAAGTCCAAGCTTCGCTTTCTTCATCTGTGAGATGGGGATAACAATAATGCCTACCTCAAAGGGTTGCTGTGAGGATAAACTGAAGTTATGCGTGCGGGAATCCCTTTGCCTGTCACTTAGAAGGCACATAGTAAGTGTGACTAGCTATTTCGCTAAATAATTGCTGTGTTGAAGGCAGGCAGTAGGGGTGATTTTTCAACCTAACTCCAAGCAAAACTCTTCACATAATCCCATACCAGGGACCTTCAGTCCCCAGTGTCCCCCAAATTTGGGAGTTTATTGTCCAAAGACCACACACATCACCCTTTCCTCCTCTCTATGTCTTATTTTCTTTCCACATTAGGACATCAACAAATGTAATTCAAGGTCATGCAAAACACAAGTTTATTACAAACTAGAATCTTATGGTACCACTTGGCTACAGTGAGGTCATTTATAGGTACCTGGCATAATTTCTTAGTTTAACGTGACATAGCTTAGCACATTAATAGCCGTCCACACTCACCTGCAGTTTTTCTTCCTATATCTTCATTCATTCCTTTATCTCACATATATTTATAACCCAGGCCCTGAGCCAGGAGGCCTGGGCCAGTGCAGAGCTGTCTCCTTCATCCCTCTCTTCAGGTTCCTTCCTTATGTTTTCTCCAAGTCTGTAGCCTGAATTCAGCTGGAGAACTTGCCAAGGGACATTTCCTAGTAGGTCCCAAACTTTCTATAGCATATAATAGGGGGATCTGAGTAGTAGCTTCTCTTTGTGGAATCTTTCTCTTTGAATAGTCTTTAGCCAATTATCCTAAGACTCCCCCAACATTATGGTTTAGAAAGCCTTATGTTATGTTTCCTTGCTTTTGTTTTTTTGAGAGAATTTTGGTGAGATGCCTTTAAAATAACTTTGAGTAGCTAGAATTCAATTAAATGCTAAGTAATATTTTATACATACAATCAATATTTTAGAAGTTTTTAAAGATATCACTTGCAAGTTTTAGTAGTACTTTTATAAATATGTTAGCTATATATTTAGCAATAAGTGTGTACTATGTATTAGCCAATATGCTAAGTACCATACATATTAACTTATTTAATTCTCATAATATCTCCTGGAAAGGTGAATTTATTTGCCCACATTTTTTCAACTTGAGGAAACTGAAACCCAGAGAGGTTACCTGATTTTTTCAAGGTTACATGCTAGTCGATTTCAGAAGGCTTTCAGAAGTCCTCTGAGCTTTCATACCATGGCATATGGCTCCAAGGCCCTTGTCCTAACCCCAGGGCTAGAGAGAGAAAAAATGTTTTTTAGTAGGACACAGACAAAAGTTACCAACTGCAGATTCAAAAACAGTGATTTCTGTGGCTCATAGAGTTTGCCAGGGCATGATACAAAAGACATGACTTTGTCTTCTCCTCCCTCCTTTTTCTTCTCCCTCCCCTTCCATCTTCCTTCTCCTCTTCATTTCCACCTCTCCCGCTCCTTTTCTTTACACCACTCTTTTCTTGCTCTGTGATAACTGGCAACAAGGACATCTGTTTCTCTCAGGGGAAACCTAGGCCCTGCTACTCTGTTGTCCTGGCTTGCCAAGGCCCAGGGGAGGCACTCAAAGGACATGACAGAACATTTATCCACATCTGGGTTGCTCACCCACATCATGAGTAGGAGGACGCCAATAGTCCTTTCCCTAGCCCAGCGCCAAGCCCAGGCCAGTCTTCTGTTTGAGGCAAAGAGAGCTCAGGCCTGTATCTTTCTCCTAGCCTGGTCCAATTTCATGGTCCCCTCTGAGCAAATCCTTTGACAAAAACAGTAGAAGCCTAAACACATACCCCTACCTTACCCTAAGCAATTGTTTTCAAGATAGTCCAGATAAATTCATATTTAGAAAAAAATTAAATGCACCTGAGAAAGGAGAGGCCTTTCAAAGATGAACTCATTTGACCTTGTTAAGCTGAAAGCCTAACATTTTAGAAGCACCTTCTTCCTTGGTTGTTTCACAGATCTAAGATTTTTGCAAGGATTGTAAATAAGCATTTGTTTTATATCTGCATATCTCAATGAGTTCACACAAGAAATTCCTTATGGAAAATCCACAATGTTATAATCCACTCAAGGACAAACTCCAGCTTCTCTGCCAGCGTGCTGAAACTGACACACACATAATAAGTAGTTTTCAACTTCCGCTTGAGGCCAGGCTCCCCGTCACTACTGTAACTTGAAATCCTACAGCTCATTTTCCAGAACTCAAGCATTTTGATCATGCGATCACGACAGAATTATGGGGGCTAAGTGGTTTGGAAGAGAAGAGAAATAATGAACTCAGTAACTAGGACTTTCAGAAGCACACTTTCCTTTTGTTACAACTTTTTTTTCTCTTGGTTTTCCTCACTGAAGTTTCTGATGTCCTGTCAACATATTAGGAATATCAAATATCACCTTTTACTTGGTTTAGACTATTCCCTCTAATGTAGCTTTGCTGTTAAATAGTTAATATCTGTAGAATTATACCCTGCTTAAAGAACAAAAATAAATATACTCTTCTCTATTTACTTTAAAACTTATGTTAGTTTTAGATTGTATTATTCTGTATATTTTATTTTAATTTTTGAGCAATTACATTTAAATTAGTCTTTAAAAATAATCTTCCTTGGCTGATGAGTATTTACATTTCTCATTTTAATTCAACTGTAGCTTCAATTTTTATATTTTAGATGGGAAATAATTTTAAATGTCTCATGAAAATGAAGTATGAATCATTGTAAATATCCAGGTAACCAGTTGCTCCCTTTGGCATTTAATTGGTCGGCAGTTTAACATTTCAGCCAACAAACAAACATAGTGTGTTTTCATTGCTGAAGACTAGTGAAGATTAAAAATCCAATTAGCCATGCTGTGTGTTGCCGTCCTACCATCACATGGCAAGGCTTAATCTCCATTGGACAGCAATTAAGAGCCAGAGTTATCAGCCACTTCAGTAAGTAGGAAAGTAAGGTATTTATGAAACCAAATGTGAATTTTTTTTTTCTTTTTTTACTTTTTGGTTTGCTACGGAATCACTTTTTAAATCCTTACTTTAATCCAAGCCTTTACAGAGTAATGCATATTTTCATTGAGAAAAGTAATTTTTAAAAAATGCATGAAAACAGAATAGTACTTGGTATGGAAAAAAGCTTTCTGCGTAGATATTTGGTAAGTACATATGATGAAAAATTCATGCAGGTTGATAAAGGGGATTAAGCAAATAATTACGGTCTGAAGACTTTCTAATTAATTATACTAATGATAACTACAAATAATTGTTGAGTGCTACGCATCAAATGCTTTATTGAATTTAATCATTGCAACATCTAATGGGGTAGGAATATTAAATTCCCTATATTACAGATGAGAAACCTGAGGCTTCAAGAGGTTGTATGATCTATGCATAGTTACATAGCAGTCAGGGGGCAGAGTCAGAATTTGAACCCAAATCTGTCTGATTAAGAGCTTATTTTCTTTCTTAATCATCAGGTTTTACTCACTATAAGCCTATGATGCCTTACCGAGCTTAGGAAATCATTCTATCAGGTGTCTGTCAGAAACTCTGAAGTTCATATTTACTTCTGGAAATAGTTCTGAGCCATTCCTCCCAGAGCCCCTATCTTTATTACTAGTCAAGGGTATATTTGGGATTTCACATTCAAATGGCACTAACTGGACTTTTCCTGCCCATCCACTAACCTAGGTCATGCTGAGGACTCGCATTGCCCTCGATTGGATACTGTCCAGTGGTTTCTCTGTAGCTACTCCTTCTCCTATGAGTCCTGCAAGCTCCTGCATCAAAGGAAGCATTCAGAGGTAGTAGCGGGAATAGCAGGAAATAAAATTGCAGCAGAAAGCAATGAGCTGTGCTTCAGCTGAGTGTGGCAAGACTGAAATAAGAAAAGGTCCTGTATCATCCAGAGAAATTAGGAGGGCTATGGCATGGGTCACCACCTGGGAACATCTTTGAGAGCCGGTAGAATAGGTGCCTGATTGAGCTTGCACTGTGTGCACAAAACTATACTAAGTGGCACGAGAAGACATAAAAGGAACAGAAAATGTGGTCTCTGCTGCAAGGCAATGTTTTAAGACACTGATTCCCGATAAAACCACCAGGACTTATGTGTTGAAATCATAAGCTGTCCTCTTCAAAGTAGTCGCCTTAGCAATCTATGCCCTCATTTCGGCAACTCTGCTAGTGCTTATTTGCAAAAGCCCTTTGAAAATTACTTTCAGAATTCTTTTGAGGCACAAAAGAAAATCTGACTCCATTCAAAGCAGGTCTCCGTTTGATTATCCAGTTTAGTCACCTGAATTTGGCTCTGAACTAAGTTGAACTCTTTCCAATAATCAATGCTAATATTCAGGGACAAAGGTTTTCTGTCACCATGGGTATTGGCAAGAGTGCCTTATGCACCACCAAAGCAGTTCCTAAGCTTATTCTTGTATCCACTGTGCCCGGATCTTCAGCCAACCCATCATAAATGTTCAATAAAAAGCTTTCTTAACTTGAATTGAGAAAAAAAGAAACAAAAAATATATTCCACACACTGGCAGCATATCTGGAATAATGTAGTATCTTTTCATCAACATGTTCTGAAATAGATATTTATAATTTTATCAAAGCAATTATTTGATATCTCCCCATGTCACTTACCTAGTTATAACTGCAGGATTAAAATGAGTCAAAAAGTCACTAATGCCATGTATGAGTCTCTCTCAGTCTTCATATTTTGTTTGAGAGTTACTCTCACTGGCCTACAAATCGATCTAGAACAATAACAGCAGTGATGATAATATTTCTTGAGCAATCACTTCATACTAGGTATTGTCCTAATTTTATTCCACGTATTGCCTTATTTAATCCTCACAACCACCCTATAAAGAAAAAATTATTTTTATCTCCCCATTATAGAGCTAAGAAAACTGAGACTCAGGGAGTAAAGTGGCTTTTACAAAATTCCATGACCAATAAAGGTGATTCATTACTTCAAAGAACCCCAGTCTTCCTTATTCTCCTCTTTGCTATTGTCATGATGCATTCAGTAGGGACTTATTTTAAAAATAAAAGTTTAGTGTTTTACTTTTTTTATAATTTATCTTTTTTTGTATTAAAAATGAACCCCTTCCAAAATCAGGAAACTAAAAATCACCTGAAATTGAAGCATCAAAAAGTTGATGCTTTGGTGCACATCATTGCAGATGTTGAGTTTTTGTTCATATTTCATACCTCAACAACATTCGTTGTTCCTAACCTGATTTTCTCAGAAGCTGTTTGTGAAGATGCATGCAAAAGTCAATGGCTACTTTCTCTGAGTTACCTATTGCTATAGCTAGAAAACATATGCGTATATTCTAGATCTGTTTTGCTTTTCCATGATCTTATGACTAGACTGCATTTCCCCTTAAGACAGTTGGATGTTTTTCTTTGACTTAAATATGCTTCATCATCTTCTTTTATATCATGAAGGTAGGAAGAGAAAGATGAGAAAAACACTTTTTTTAGATATCTGTGTTGGGCTAGCTTTTGTGTTTAGCAAATATTATGATTTGGTAATATACTCTAATGTATTATTTTGCTCTAACTATACTCTATATTGTACTATATAATTCTTTAGCCTACTAACTTTTTTTTGAGTTGGAGTCTCACTCTGTCACCCAGGTTGGAGTGCAGTGCATGATCTCAGCTCACTGCAACCTCCACCTCCTGAGTTCCAGTGATTCTCCTCCCTCAGCCTCCCGAATAGGTGGGATTACAGGCACCCACCACCTTGCCTGGCTAATTTTCTATTTTTCGTAGAGACAGGGTTTCACTATGTTGGCCAGGCTGGTCTTGAACTCCTGACCTCAAGCCTTGGCCTCCCAAAGTGCTAAAATTACAGGCGTGAGCCACCACAACTGGCTGTAAGTTTTTATTCTAGATAGAAATGCTACTAAGATTCCTCATTGCATAGATGAGGATGCTGGGCATCCAAGGAGGACTAAGAGTACACAGAGAATCCATGACAGAGCTAAGATTGGCTACCAGGGCTATAACTCCAGAGGCCAGGCAATTACCCTACATTGTGTGGTGAGAACAAGTGCATCTTTGCTGATGGGCCTACAGCTAGGGTATTTGCCCAGCTCTGCTACATAAAGGTCATTCAACGCCTGCATGTATTCTCCACTTGCCCCAGCTATTTGTACAAATGAATGCCAATGTAGATTTAGCATTACTCCTGGGTGCCAGGATATTCAACCCTGGGGCATTGTACCACCCTTTCTGGCCAGACAAGTAGGTACTGGAATTGTTTGTGGCTTCCTGGGTGCAGGGGGATGAAGACTATTGAAGACAACTTTCAGAGAATGGGGCCAGAGTCCTCCTTACCTACCCTTGCAAGTTTCAGACATCTATTAGGTGCATCTCTGCCCTGTACACAAAGAGGGTTGAAGGTGTGGTAGTCCTAAACATTCTCCCTAATTTCTGTATACCTGATGTTTGACCTTGTTTCAGAATCCTGCTCTTTGTCTTAAGTAGATATCCATGGCAAATGATGCTGCCATCAACCATACGTCTTAAAGCTGCCTCCTCTGATGTATCCTAGACTTCAACCTACATCAGCAGTATCAGAGGCACTTGATCTGTTATCCTGGTCCTCTCCCAGCTCCTTTCTAAGTATTGTCTTTGCCTCTTATGTCAATCATTGTTCAGGTCCTGCCTGCAGCCTTAAAAAAGGGAGGTTCTTTTTTATGTCTCACTTTAATTCTTTGCATTACTACATTGTAGAGAGACAAAAGCTGCAGGATCCTGACTAACTCAGCATTACACTGAAGGGTGTATGATCAAACAGCAAACAGTTTATCATGAATGCAGGATGTGGGCAAACTCACATCTGTGCCTGCCACCAGAAGGTATGCTGAGTGCAGTTACTCCCTGGTGCTGTGCTCCTTGAGGTTATCTACTGGAACATCTGGAGACTACTGTGCAGAGAATGCAGTTGTGCAGGCTTGCACCAAGTCAAGCAACTAACTGACAACCACCCCTTTCTCCCTATCTCCTTTACTCAATAAATACGAAGGGCTCTAAAAGCTCAGGGCCCTTGTTCACTAGAAGCAAGGAGCCCCCGACCCCTTCTTCCAAATCTACTCTTTTGTGTTTATCTTTATTCCTGCGTTCGTCCCCCTTTGTTCAGTCCAACAGGGATTGGGGCTGCATCACTACATCTCTTAGCTGAGTTTAATAATATGGGTTGTAGGACTTGAGGAAAAAAAATTTCCCTGCCTGATGCTCCCTTCATGAATTTGCTTCTTTGATTTAAGCCACTTAAAAAATCATCATTAAAAGGTTACAAATCCTGTGAACCTCTTAAAATAGAATGCACTCATTAAAACACAGACCTCTAGGAGTGTGTCGATGCTGAGAGAAGTGTCTGGAAATCCCACGTTCTTTACACTCTTGTCAAATCCAATAGAACCAACACCTTTTAATATATGCCTGCCCAGTCAACGTGAGACCACATCACCTTGACTTCAGCATTCTGAATGTCAACATATACTCCAGTCTCAGAACTACATAGGAAGCAAATTTTGATTTGATGTGCTGGGTTCAGGTTCTGTGTCTTCCTTTAACAATTGTGAAACTTTGGGCATGTCTCTTGGCTTATCTGAGTCACACTGTCCTCATCTATAAAATGAGGGCAATACCCATTCTTACTGAAAGGGTTGATGCAAGAAATTAATAAGACCATGTGTGAGATAGCACTTCATAAATGCTAGGCAAAAGTCAAGTTGTTTTCATGATGGCATTTGGCAGCATTTCTCTTGAGGCACATCAACAAGTTGCAGGAGACTGGAGAATGCACAAGGTCTGAATCACCTGCCAGCATTTGAATCTCTGGCTTTAACCTTTCTTTTACCAGCTGTGTGACCTTGGGTGAGTGATGTAACCTCTCTGAGCCTCATTTCTCCCATTTCTAAAATGGAAGTGATAATAATGGTCTTAAATTCTTGGAGCTGTGAGAATTCACTGAAGTTGGTTAGCACAGGGGTAAGTCCTCACCCAGAGTTGCCTAATGTTAATATTAATACTGGCTTGTATCAGGTAGCAGATGATCAGCAAATGTTAATGAACTTCGTATGGTTCCATTTCACTGATCAGATTTTAAGCAACTGTTGCTATTAGCAGTCTTGTACTTTATTTTCAATTCTTTTACAAAGGCCAATATAGGTTTTCATGTGTGTGTGTGTGTGTGTGTGTATGTGTGTGTATGTGTATGTGTGTATATGTGTGCGTATGTGTGTATTTGTGTGTGTATGTGTGTGTGTGTCCATCTCCTCCTTTATTGTCGTGCATATTGGAGATCAATTATGATAACTAGCAGGCATTTTTTTTCCGAAGCATTTCTTTCTTCTAGAATCCCTCATTGTTTCACCCTCAAATTTGGGAGAGTATAATTCTGTGCTTGCCTGAGAACCTAGTAGATGTTGAGCTGCCTGGGGAATTGAGGCTGAGCTACACCTTGCCTGTGATGGGTGTCTCTGTCTATTTAAGGTCCACTCATCATCTTGAGCCCTCAGTTTAGTGAGGGTTGTGTTGTTGCACTTGGAGGGAAGTTCCCCATGTCATAAGCAGAGGTAGAGGAGCATGTTGTGAAACCAGCTGCCATGAAATTGAATTACAGGTGTTGTATTCTTCCAGTCTTAAATTGCTCCATTATTGCATGGGCCTTTCTATTTGTTTGGAACAAAATAACTGCAATTTACTAGGATGCTAAGAGATGAGGGTACAAGCAGTCAGAGGTTGTTTAAGGTTTCCATCATGATGGAAAATTACTCCTATCCATTTCAAGTATGGTTTCTCCCCCAAGCCACCACATTTAAATGTGAAGAAAGTAAATGCCTCACTTTTTAATACTCCTCTCTTAGCACAATGCTCTTTAAAGGCTCTCCAGGTTTCTTTAATGTTCTTAACCACACACCCAATCAGTTTTATTTATTATGCTGTGGAAAACGTTCAGTAATGACTTCTGAGGCAGCCAAGAGTGAATGGACGATTTGCTTTCACTGCCTCGATCTCCTCAACCCATTTCCTCTTAATTTGGTAGAGATAGTGTGGCGCTCCTGGAACCAGAAGCCACAGAGACACCTCAAGAAGGAAAGCACTGAGACACCTTTTTTTCTTCCTCATAATTGAACATCGTCGGGAGTGATTTCTATGTCTCACCTTCTTCCTTCAATACATTTCAGCTTCCCAAGGAGCACAGTTGTTTCCCTTTCAAGAAGAAATGTGCTTAATTATGAAGTTTGGATTTCTTCCCTCTGATACTGTTCACAAATTGATAAACTGCCTCAATATTTGCAGAGTGGTTGGGATGATGTGTTGGTCATTTTTTATAGGAAATAGGCCTTAAAGTGATCATCACTTTCTCAGAATTAAGCAAATGCAGTGTAGGAAGTTGATCAAAATGTGTGTTTTGTGGATGTTCTAATTTTTAAAATTGTTGAGTTTTCTAAATGGTAATTGCCTATCAGCAGTACCTGAGACATTTCTCTTGAAATGAATCTTAGAATTAGGAAATTTGCTGAAGTTACACATGGCACGTGGGTGCTTTTGGACTCAGTTCTTGAGATACTTATCGTTTTAGTCATTTTTATTTACTATATGAGTATATATAAATACAGTCATCTCCCGTTATCTGAAGTTTCTCTTTCCATAGTTTCAGTTACCCACAGTCAACCATGGTCCAAAAATAGGTGAGTAGAGTACAATAAAATATTTTGAGAGAGAAAGACCACCCCATGCATATAACTTTTATTACAGTCTATTGTTGCAGTTATTCTTTTATTAATTATTGTTGTTAATCTCTTATAGTGTGTAATTTCAAAATTAAGCTTTATCATAAGTATGTACATATAAGAAAATAACATAGTGTATATAGAGTTCAGTACCGTCTATGGTTTCAGGCATCTACTGGGGATCTTGGAACGTATCCTCCTCAGATAAGGGGGGACTGCCATACATTCTTCTTACGAAACTCCCATAATCAAGAAGAACAGACGAATTGTACATTTGCATCCCCATCCCCCAATGTAGTCCCTGCTCTATAAACACTAGTTAAATGTGTGGGTGTGTCTTCCAGATATTTTTACAGGAATGAACATATATTAGCTGGTGCATACAGCAATATATAGTTTTGTTTTGTGATTGTTTTAATTAAGTGGGATCATATTTTAATTCTGTAGCTTGTTTTTATTAAGTAAACACTATATTTTGTAGATCTATCCACATCAATACATACACATCTAGGTCATTCTTTTTAAGGGCTGATAATTCATCTGTTATGTATATACCACAATTCACATTGATGTACATTTAAGTTACATTAGTTTACTCTTACAAAAAAAGGTATTGCTGTGAACATCTGTATGTATGTCTCCTTATGCCTGTATGTGTTAGATCTCTAGGGTGCGTGTCTAGGTTTTGTTGCACTGCTACATTTTTGGAACTTGTGGACTGGTCATACTCATGAAAGATTGACATGGCATAGGTAGACAATGTTTAACTGATACAAATATGCAAAAGTATATGAGTTCTGGTCCATGGAGTAATGTTGGGCAAAGGTATTCAGTTAGAATTAAAGCATAATGGTGATTTATATGTGTTTGTTTGCCTGTAAGAAATCCTACAGAGCTGAACATGTACACTTTAAGATGTGAGAGAACTGCACACATTAAAAAATAAATAAATAAAAGAATTCATAGCAATCAAGTTTTGGATCATCTCCCACAAAAGTGAAAATGAGTGTGTGTTGAAGAATGGCCCAGAGACATTGAATTTGAATTGTTTTAGCACATTAGGCAGAAGACATGTGGTGTGAGAATAACACGCAGAATATTTGGAGTCAGAGCAGCCTATGTCTGCGCCCTGTGTGTCTGACATAGGTAGCTTTGAGACCTGCAATAGCTCACTGTTTCTAAGCTTCTTTAGAACAGAGTTAATCATAAACTGCCTCTTTCAGTTGTCCTGAGCATGACGTGGGCTAGTGTGTGGAAAATGCCTAGCACAGCACCTCCTACCCAGTGGGTCATCAATATTGTTTAGAAAATCTTGCTGCTATGTTCACTGTCATCCATGGTCCCCATGACATTGGTCAAGTTAATCTCATTAGCTCTGCTAATCGTTCGACAAAAGAGGAAGCAGAATTGGATAATTTCTAAAACTCTTTGCTTTTTTTTTCAGCTTGACAAGTGATTTTTCGTTTTGAAAAATGAAAGTTTTAGCTTATTGTCTTTGTAAGCCTTTAGTCAACAGGACACATACACACACACACACAACCTAACGATAAGTTAGGTTGATGATACCATAAGCCTCAGGCCTTTCCAAGACAGAACTTCAAAACAGTCAAAGAGTGATAGTCTCAATCTAGAGGGATTGGGTGTGAGAGATCCCCTTTACTAAGGACAATAAGTAATTCACAAAAAGAGCTTTCCTATTCTTCTCTTCCAGCCCCCATCCCATTTCACCCATCAGCTTACTCTTGCTCTGTCCAGATGACCACATCTCTCCTCCTGCTCTCTAGCTCTGTCTCTTCCAGTAGATGTTGCTTGTGTAATAACTATCACTCTCTCTGACAACAACTTTCGTTTATTAGGGCATTTATATACTAAGCATTTTACATATAGTTTTGTTTATTCATTTGTTGATGAATATCCGATGTGAATTATGTGTTAAAAATGATTCTAAGGTGCTAGAGTTGTAGCAGTAAACACAGCAAATTATCTGGCATTGTAAAGGATTTACTTCAGTGAAGAGTCCCAGACAACAAATAGATAAATAAATAATTGCCATTATATTTTATTCTTAATACAAATC
Organism: Homo sapiens; assembly: GCF_000001405.40. Taxonomy (NCBI): domain Eukaryota; kingdom Metazoa; phylum Chordata; class Mammalia; order Primates; family Hominidae; genus Homo; species Homo sapiens. Next base: position 155,970,574 of record NC_000005.10, read on the forward strand.
AGTGTGAAAAAATAAAGTGGCTACAGAGTGATGGGAAATGCTAATTATATAGATTGTCAGGTAGGACCTCTCTGAGGACTGTCATTTGAGTAGTGATATTAGGATGTGACTATGTCATAGATTTTACATATTATGTATAACGTGTATACATTTATGCTATGCATCTGTGTGTGCATCACTGCAAGGTAGGCAGTATTGTTTCCATTTTACAGATAGTAAATTGATGCTTAAGGCTAAGTAATATATGAGGGAGTTGTTTCAGTAGCAAGTATCAGGACATCTATCTAACAGTGATTTCACCAAACAGGATTTTATTTTTCTCATTTGCAAGAGCTCTTCTTAGGCAATTCAGTGACGTCCAGGCTGGCATGTCTGTGATTTTTTTCAGCCTTTTCCTCATGGTCTCAGGGTGACTTCCACAGATCCAGACAGCATGTCTGCATTCTAGGTAAGAGCAAGCAAGGAGATACACCTGTTTCATCTGACTCATTTATTAGGAAAGATAGCAGAGCTTATGAATTTTTTTCTTTAGACTTTTTGGGAAGATCACCATCTGTGGTCACCCCTGGCTACAAGGAAGGAAGACTGAGGAAGTATTTGGTTTTTATAACTTCTATAGTGAAAGAAAGTAAGGGAGGAGACTTGGAAGTGAGTGTTGGGTTAATGTTGGCTTTGCATGAATTACATGCTCAACATGTCTAATAAGCCAAGTCTGTCTGGCAGCAAAGTTCTCCTCTAATCCATCTTTATCTGATTCATTTGGGATGGTCATTGTCTTTTGCAGAATCCAGAGGAGGCGACTAATGTTAGCGACAGCTCCTACTAAAATGCTAACAGCAGTACCACCTAGGAGGTTACAATACAGTTTTTATTCCCATATAGCTGATACTGACAATGTCATTCCCTATTCTTTTAAGTATAATTTCCAGGAATTGAAACTCGTCTGGCCCAATTTTTCCTCTGATTAGCCTATTGTTTCATAAGATTGGCAGACAATTGATGTATGATTTGTTGCAAATCCAGAGACCACAAACCTGCCTGCAGATGCAATTGAGATACGGGGTCAGGGGGAAAATACTGAAGTAAATAATATATCTTCAGAAGATATACTGATATAATATTACCTGGGAATTGTCCAAAGTCACAGAATCCTTCATACCTGTTGAGTGTCCTATAGTTTACAATTGTTTTTACCTGCATTGACTCATTCGCTTTGCATGGTGGCTATCCTGGGAAATAAGGCAGGAATCATTCGTGCCACTTTACTTGTGGATAAATTTTGTTTATAGGTAAACTGATGCTTAGAAAAAACTAAATGACAGAATATCAAAACAAATTTAGTCTTTTTTAATCATGGGTTCCTCAATCTTATTTAAAAAGCACTCTTCTAAAGCAGATTCAATTACTCGCCTTCAAACAAATGACTGCCCCAAGTTCCCTCTTATATAGAAATTCTGAACTGCTATTGGTTAGGAATAGAATGATCATTCTTAAAATATACATCTATTTACTTGCTCTAGCATATGCCAAAAGCCTTTTAAAGAGAACAGATTAGGTCATTAAGTCTTTTAAGAATATTTTCTGGCCATTTCTAATTGAGGAAAAGAATAATACATGCTAATTGTCGAAAAGTCAAACAGTACAGAGAAATGTACACTGCATAGTGAATTTTTTCTTTAGTCCCAACTTCAAAAGACAAGCAGCATTAACAGATTAATTTATATTCTTTCAGGCATTTTTAAATGTCCTTTTTATTTTTGGAATAATAATTATTATCATCATTAATGGATATGATAGTGTTTTGTGACTTTTGTTGCCTAATACTATGTTGTGAACATTTTCCATACTGGTATATCTACATCTAACTAATTATTTTTAATGACTACATGGTATTTTACTTAAAATAACCATGAATTATTACTCTTGTAGTCAAACCTTTAATAATAGCCATTTCATTTTTCTAAATGTTTAATGTGTTAGTAAATGTTCATGATATGTGTGTTTAAGCATATGTTAACTATTTCCATAGGGAAAAACTTCTGAAGTGGTTTTGATCAATTAGACAGTGGGCACAATTAAAATCTTACAAAAATTACAGAATTACCCTCCATCAGTGGTGTTTGAGAGTGTCTGTTTCCCTACACTCCACGCTAGCACCAGGTATCAGGCAGTTTTAGTCCTAATTAATCTGAAAGACAAAACAATTTTTATATATTTATTTTAATTTGCATTTCTTGGATTAACAGTGATTTCAAGAATCTTTTCATATGACTGTCATTCACCTTTTCGTTTGTCAATTACATCTTTATGCCCCTTGCCCATTTTTCAATCAGGTTGTTTTTCTTCAGATGAAACTCTTTAGATATTAACCCTAGATATGTCACATATGTCGTTAATCTTTTTCCCCTTATTTTGTCCTTTGTTAGTCATTTTTATGATATCTTGTGCCATGCCAATTTTAAAATTGTTATATAGACAAATGTGTCAATCTTTTTCTTTCTTGGTTTCTGGCTTTACCGCAAGGCAAAGAATGTCCGAAAAAGTCTGATTTTACAATATTTCAGGATGGAAATCCACTCTGAGGGGAACTTTGCAATATGGAAACTCATCAGACTTGAGTAATTATCATTCTGTGGCTGATATTTACCCACATCCATTTGCAGTGAAGTCCAAACCAGGATTTAATAACCCATAGCATATTTGCACAGACTTTCTCATTTTCTAACCATTTAAAATTAGTCCTGAAAGATGAATGACTCATTTTTAAACATATTCCCTTTGAATTTAGCTCTACACTGAGAAGGTTTTTAAGGAGAATGTGGCTAAGTCGTGCCAGCACAAGTGTTAACTTCTTAGAAAGTTTCATGCTTCTGTTTTGCCCAAATATTCTCTCTAATGAATGAAATTTAAGGTTCAGCTCACACTTGTCAATGGTGATGGGTTTTCTAAATTAAGGGGATTGGAATGAAAATGATCAGACAAGTAAGAAAAAGAAATGCTTTGGTGTTTGGCCATTTACCTAAGTCTGCAAGTTAGTGGGGCCATATGAATATATATGATGCGCAGAATGAAATTTACAGAATCTGTACTCATGAGTTCTCCAACTATCAGGGTAGACTTTGAAATCCTACACACCTGGCTTTGAATTCTGGCTTGTCCAGTTAATAATTAAATGAGAAGAGTTATTTAACTTTGCAAAGCCTCAGTTCCTTTCTCTCTAAAATGGGGAGAGTGCTTGCAACTGCCATTACCTAAAAATCACTCATTTTGTCATTCCTGATGCTCATTTAACCCCAAACCTTATAAAATTGTATAAATCTGTGTGATCTGTTTTAACTCCAGTATGGTCTGGCCTCCAATGTAGGTGCTCTTTAAAAATCATGGCAGATGAAAGTAAGGGTGAATAAAAACTGAGTAAAACTGCCATTAATTTAGCATTTTATAAGCAAGTTCTCTCTGGCAGTCAATTCATGCTGTCTGTTAAAGTAGCCCAACTTTTCATTTTTATTTTATCTTCTACATCTCAATCTTTCGTGATTTAAAACTGATGACATCTGAATATTTTTCAAGCAGTTACTACATATTTATGAAGAACGGTTAATCTATGGAAAAGGAGAGAGAGAAAAATCATGAAATTTTAGAGCTGAGTGACTTTTGGGCTCACGTGCAGTAGAGGAAATTGAGACCCAGGCAAGTTACATGACTTGCCCAGCATCAAATATTAGTAATAATGATAAAATGCAACTACTACAAAGTTGTAAGGCAACAAGAAGTTCTTGGGCTGGTTCTGTTGTATCCCATGTAAGAGTGAGGTATGGGAGCATAGTGAGTTTCTCTTTCACACACCCTCTTTCCCCAGGGTATCATGTATCATGAGCCAACTAGATGTCCAGGAAGGGTATTCCCACAGGTCACAATCCACAGGGTATCCAATGATGTCTGGGGCACAGATAGGTCCAACTCCCACTGGACGGCCAGTAGCAGTGACCATGTAGTCAGCGATGTCTGGGGCCAGTAGTACTGCTACTGGCTGTCCAGTGAGAGTTGGACCTGTCTGTGCCCCAGACATCATAGGTGGGGACTTTCCTGCTGGACATAGGCTGGAACATCAGGTATTTTGGAGGCTTTAGAGCAGATTATTTGCACCATTCCCTTAAACAGCACAGATGGCATGTCAGAGCTTGCCTGGTTCCCAAGAGTGTAGGGCGGACAGTGGACCCTTGAAGGGATATCCCCGTGGAGAATGGGAGGCCTCATCTCCTCTTGGCACAACCCCACCATATCTGGTCCTTCTATCCTGGACCTCTCTAACCCCCCATCCTCTGGGCAGTACTATTATCTCTTCTTTTCCTTTCTGCCTACCCTCTCCCAAGTCTATTTTCTGTGCCCAAAAGCATCCATTCTCTGGGACTGGAAATTGACTCCTCCTTCCCATAGTTTCTGTTATTTCTTCTGTGTCATGCCTCCTGGAGAAAACAACAGCAGAAGCAGAAGCAGAATGCCTTGATGATGAATGAAGAAGAGCTGGGAGAGAGAAGGAAACCCTGAGAACAAAAACATGTCTGTGGATATTTCAACAATATCTTTCTGCCCTCATCAATATCAGTGTCATCATCATCACCGTTATCACAATCTGCACCATCATCACCATCACACATGTGCATTTATTGAAGGCCTATTGGGGGCCTATTGACAATTAGGGTGATTAAATAACTTGCCTAACACAATGGTTCTCAATCAAGGACTATTTTGTCCCCAGGAGACATTTGGCAGTATCTGGAGACTTTTTGATTTTCATGAACAGGAGGGGGCTACTGGGTTAAACATCCAACAATGCACAGGACGGTCCCCCAAGCAAAGAATTATTTTGCCAAAAATATCAACAGTGCTGAGGTGGAGAAACTCTCACCTGGCAAGATACATTTACAAGTTGAAGAGTTTACTTGTTTGTTTTTATCATGAATGGATGTTGAATTTTTCTTAAATGCGTTTACTATATTCAGAGAATCATGTGTTATTTATTTTTCTTTCTTTCCTTTTTTTTTTTTTTTTTTTTTTTTTTTTTTTTTTTTTGAGACGGAGTTTCGCTCTTGTTGCCCAGGCTGGAGTGCAATGGCAAGATCTCAGCTCACTGCAACCTCCGCCTCCTGGGTTCAAGCAGTTCTACTGCTTCAACCTCCTGAGTAGCTTGGATTACAGGCACCTGCTACCATGGCTGGCTAATTTTTTTATTTTTAGTAGAGACGGGGTTTTGCCATGTTGCCCAGGCTGGTCTCAAACTCCTGACCTCAGGTGATCTGCCCACCTCAGCCTCCCAAAGTGCTGGGATTACAGGCGTGAGCCACTGCGCTCGGCCATGTGTTATTTTTTCATTCTGTTTATGTTATAGATTCTAGTAATAGAGTTTCAAATGCTAAAATCATTCTTTCATTCCTGAGTTGAATTCTCCTTAGTCACAGTATGATACTATTTATAGGAAAATTTTAAACATACAAAACAGTACTATATATTTTTATGGACATTTATATATGCAGTGAAAGCATAAAAAATGCTGTAAGACAGATGCACACTGATTTCAGAATAATGGTTACTTCTGAGAAAGAAAGAACTGGAAATCACTAGGAAGGGCTCTCTAAAAGGGTCTTATACCATTTTGTCTCTATAAAAATAGGTCTGAAGCTCAAAGTAAGTGTTTGCTAAATATGAGGGGAGTATTGCAGGGGTACCTGTTACATTATTTGACATATTTTGGATGTTTGAAATACTTCATATTTAGAAAAAGAGACACAAAACAAAAAACTAGAGCTAAAATGATATCAATGGCTCAATCCTAAATAGTAACTAATGCCAGATCCAGGATTCCAAGTTATGTATAACTCTCTCCAGAACCAAAGCTGTTAACCAGCATACCAAGAACGTAACACAGGCTCATGGCATGCCAGGCACCGTGCTCGGTAGCTGACACATATTCACTCGTGGAGTCTTTCAAATAATCTCACTAAGTAAGTATTCTTGTTTTCTTCATGTTATAGATGAAGACACTGAGGCACAGGGAGAGCGTGTGTTGTTTGGAATTTGTTCCCTTTGTTCACTTAGTTCCGTTTGTTCCTCCTCCTCCTCAGAGGAACAACCTTGAATTAGGATTCACAAGGACCAAGTGAAAGGCAACGGGTGTGTCCAGGCTCCAGGCATCATCCTGGACACCGCCTTTTACCTGATGCCACATTTTCATCAATGATGAAATCCTCCTGAACCCTCCAGCTGCCCACATCTCTCCAAGCCTGCAACCACTGTGTTACCATCTGAGTTACCATTGTCTTTCACTGTTGCCGGTTTTGTCCCCTCCTTCATTTTCTAGACTCCAGCAGATTGATTGAAATGCATATTGGATCCCCTTACTTCCCTCCCCTGGGCTTCACAGTTCTTAGAATAAGAAGAGCATCTTGAATGTAGTTAAAATTCAGGCGTGATCTTGCTTATCAGCCCCATTTCTTAACACATCCTCTTTGCTTTCCAGTCACTGGGCCAAGCGCTTTGCACCTCAGGGTCTTTGCACAGGCTGCCTCTATGCAGGGAAGCACCTCATCATTGCCCTGGCCCCTTGTTTGTCCAGATCTCATGCCCTTACCCTTGCTGAGTTGTTGATTCCTGCCGCCCATTTAGTGTTCACATCACTTATTGTTTTCTCAGAGAAACTTTCTTGTGTCTTCCAAACTTGACTAGACCCACTGGTACTTACCCTCATAAAACTCCAAAAGGAGTGAATGAGTTGCTCTTCATAATACTCACAAGTTTAAACAGTTAATTTTGTAATTACCTTAATATTTGATAGACTATAAACTCCATAATACTGGCCCTAGGTCTTTTTTTAGTCACTGTATCCTCAGGGCATAGTATAGTGCCTGACATGGAATGGTGTTTAATAAATATATGTGGAATAAATGAATGATTGGGTGAATACATTTTTCCCTATTAATGTGATATTAGACAAGAAGAGGACTAGACTATTTCACCCTTCGTGGCCTCCATGTGTTTCTTACCTATGCCATGGTACATGCATCTGAAGGATGAAAAAGATAGCCCAGAATATTCACCCAGGAGGGGAGGCATCAGGTTACTATTGTTAGCCAAAGTGTGGAACCAAATAGGCCAGGAAACCAAGAAAGTGAAGAATGAGGAACTGGAAGGTCATGGTGGATATTTTCATAAGTGGGTAGCCTCATTTAAAGTGGTCAGAATGGGCCGGGCGCAGTGGCTCATGCCCATAATCTCAGTACTTTGGGAGGCCGAGGTGGGCAGATCACGAGGTCAGCAGATGGAGACCATCCTAGCTAACATGGTGAAACCCGGTATCTACTAAAACACAAAAAACTAGCTGGACGTGGTGGTGCATGCCTGTAGTCCCAGCTACTCGGGATCCTGAGGCAGGGGTATCGCTTAAACCTAGGCAGCAGAGGTTGCAGTTAGCTGAGATCATGCCACTGCACTCCAGCCTGGAGACAGAGCAAGACTCTGTCTCAAAAATAAAATAAAATAAAATAAAATAAAAATAAACTGGTCAGAATGGATGCATCTCTGAAAAGACCAGAATGTGGCATAGCCCATGTGTATTTGGGGTTCCAATTATGAATTTACTTGTCAAGACTATTTGTTCCAAAATTTTATTTTACATAATCATCACATTGTGCTTGCTAAAAATGCAGATTCCAGAGCATCTTTAGAAAATCATTCTGAATCAGGAGATCTGGACCAGGGCCCAAGGATCACAGTACCTGTGGTTGGAGTGGGACAGGGTGGGAGGGAAAAGAATAAAAGGAAAAATATTTTGAAAACACCTGGCTTATTACAACCTTGTGAAGGAATGAAAACACAGGCCATAGTGAAAGTCTCAATGATAGTGTGGCAACTGTGTCAATGGATTGCCTTTAGGCAGGAAAGATTATGCAGTGTTATTACACCAATGAGATGTGTTAACTAATCTGCAGGGCCTGGTGGCTTTTGCTTTTAAGTCACACATGACAAAGATTAATGTTGACTTTGTTTCCCTTGTCTAGACTTAGTCCTCGCCAGATATAAATATCAACTGTGGCCTTTCATGCTGCCACCTTCTTAATTAAGCTCTAAAACAATAGAAACTGTTAGTCTTCAAACCTATAAATATACTCATTTTTGTTATTTTTACGAAAGTAACCTTCAGGAGCAGGGCCATTTCTTCCAAAAGAATGCAGGGGGAGGGGGGATATTGGAGTTATTTTAAAAAAAAAAAGAGTTAAGGTGGAAAATTGTAGAGCTATTAAGCTGCCCTACAAATACAGTGTATTTATAGCAAGAAAATCACTACTTAAAGATCTGGTTTTAAAAAACTGTCCTCTCAGATGACCAATTAGGTCATAAAGTTGGACGGTCCTGGTCCTGATTTCATTAGCATGTAGCACAGAGTGTCTCCTTGGGGACTTGTATTTTCTTAGTCATGCAGCACTTCACAGCTGGGCAGAAAATGCTGCCACATTATTTTTGAATGCAAGAAACTTGTGATTCCAGACTCTCCCAGGATTTTAACTGTCTTGCCTGAACAGATTGGCACAACAACAGATGGTCCACGTTGGATCATTGCAACTACCTTGAATATTAAGGATCAAACTCCTTGGAATAACGAGTGCATTAGCCTTTGTAGATGAGTGTTTAATGTACATATACCTAAAGAAAGACTGAACTCTGTATCAGAGATATAAGGTGCTTAGGGGAACACAGTGCCTGGCACATAGCAGTGCTCAGTAAATGCCTACGATATAAGGTGAACTCATGGGGATAATCTGTACAACTGTTCTTCTAGTTCTTGGTTGACAGAGATCTATTTTCCCAGGAAGTGGGCTCTGAGATGGAGATTAGCATGCAAGACTTCTATTAAGAAGAGCTGCTGAGATCAATACATGTGGAAGGGAAGGGAAAGAAGGACTGAACAGAGAGAGAGGTTGGGCTGGGATGCAGTTTCAAAGGCTCCTCTGTCAACACCATGGGGAGTGATGAAGCTGGGCTGGCTCTCCACAATTATGCCTAGTGGAGGTGAGGAAATGGCTTTTGAACTGCTGCTGGCCCAGTTGTTGGGTGTAGGCTGGCCCACAAGGTTGATTCTCAGAGAAGGTTGACAGCTGAGGGCTGTCTGCTGGAAGAATTCCTGGCAGCTGGGTGAATGAATCCTTCATTTCTGAAAGAGGGTTTGGGCAGTGCCCATCACAGCACACATTGTGATGATACTGGAGTACCCACTGGGGCTGGCTCAGATGATGGTATGTTCTGAACTTAATGCATATGTCCTCTCCACATTCATATGCTGAGATTCCAGCATATGCATTTATATGAATGGTATTAGGAGGTGGGGCCATTGATAACACTCATGAGGGTTCCACCTTCATGACCTAATCACCTCTCCAAATTGCATTTTGACATTAGAAGGGGATATAGAGACCAGAGCTCTCTCTCTTCTCCATGTGAGGATATAAGGAGAAATTAGCAGTCTGCATCCCCAAAGAGAGCCCTAACCAGAAGCCAACCATGTTGGGACCCTGATCTTGGACTTCCAGCCTCCAAAACTGTGAGAAATACATTTTTGTTGTTTATAAAGCACTTGTTTATGGTATTTTGTTGTGGCAGCCCACACTGACTAAGACAGAGTGTCTGTGACCATGACAAGGTGATTATGACTGAAATAGACTAGTAAAGAGTTCTTATTGGCCAGGAGCGGTGGTTCACGCCTATAATCCCAGCACTTTGGTAGGCCTAGGCGGGCGGATCATGAGGTCAGGAGATGGAGACCATCCTGGCTAACACGGTGAAACCCCGTCTCTACTAAAAATACAAAACAAATGTAGCCAGGCGTGGTGGCAGACGCCTGTAGACCCAGCTACTCAGGAGGCTGAGGCAGAAGAATGGTGTGAACCCGAGAGGCAGAGCTTGCAGTGAGCCGAGATCTTGCCACTGCACTCCAGCCTCGGTGACAGAGCAAGACTCCCTATCAAAAAAAAAAAAAAAAAAAAAAAAAAAAAAAAAAAAAAAAAAAAAAAAAAGAGTTCTTACTGATAGCATAGACATCTCTGGAAGGCCGCTTAGTACATGGACTGCACAGGTGAACTTTGTTTTGGTAACTCCTTTTATTGACCCTTTATTTAAAAGGCGATGTTAAACACATTTATCTTTGGTAGGAGAATGCAAAAATAATTCTCCCAAAGAAACACAAAAAAACAAAATCATTACCTCGGAAGGTATTAGTCCTACATGCTGGACATGCTGGGAAATACATAGTCTTTAAGCCAAGAAAGAAGAATTGTCAGTTGCAGGGAACCAAACAACTGTTGGCACCATCTGGGAAACCAGTGGTCAACTTACAAAATCCAAAGGGGCAGTGTAAACTCAGGCTCAATCTGGATCCTTGTCTATCTCTGAAGGATTCTCTCTGGCTCACAGGAGAGGTGTGGAAGCAGGAGGAGGTGGTCTCCACAGTGCAGCAGATGGAGGAGGGCGGATCCAGCTGGAAAGGCTCCAGCCCACTGAGATGAGGGCTGGGAAGAGGACCTGCATCTAGGTGAGGACATTAGAAGAGCAAGGGAGAGAGGCTGTGTGGCATTGACAATGTGGGACAAAGCTCGTGGCTCAGTTCAATCTCAGTGGCGACCTGGAGGACATTCAGAGCTGCACACAGAATCCCCGACTTGGGGCCATGGAATTAGGTCCAGATGTGTCTGCTGGTGGACCTGAGCTCAAAATACCCCAGCAGGTGTGGGTATAATTGGTTAAACTGCTGACAGTGCTTGGAATCTATAGTATAGCAGTATAGGCCTGAGGAAGGGCAGGGCTCTAGAGCAGGTTTAATCATGTTGTTTCTGTTTCTCTCTGGAATTTACTTGTATTTATGACTTTTGCCATTACTCCTTATCACACAAATTTTTCTTAAACTGATGTTTAGAGGAAACGTTGGGTGGCCCCAATGTTCATGCCTTTACTCCAAGTGGTTGCCCTTTACGTTTTCAACCTATTTCCCAGTGCCTCCTACTTCTGCTGTGTTCAGCTTAGTCTCCCTACCACCTCCCTTCACCAACACAGCATGCATTTTCTCCCAGCCCCTGCCTTACCCAGGATGCTTTCCCATTCCTACAATGAATCTGTGCTATATCTGATTGTATCCTGCCCATCCTGGGGGCCCTCCACAAGCCTCTCCTTACTTCTAGAATTCTTTTGAGACTTGGCATTTAGTGATGTATCATATGGTCTTTGCCTTGGGTTTATTATTTGTTTCACATACTGCCCCAAGGAGATCAAGACCTTTTAGGGTGTCAGGACAAGGTTTCACATCTTTTGCTTCCTCCTTAGTACCTACAACAGGACATGGATTATTCTAACCAGGAAGGGAGGACCCTGAGATCCTCCCTCCTCCTGGAGCTCTCCTCCTCTCATTTGTAATCTTCTAAATGTCTATTTTGCGTTTAGTCCTAAGCTTAAATATCCTCTCCGTTCACTTTCTCTCCCAATTTAAATTATTGGCCTGCCTTGACCTTGTGTGTGTCTCCATTGTGATAGGTGCCTTGAAGGCGCTATGAGAGACAAGTGTGTGTGATGATCCTTCTCTGTGTTTTTGATATTTGATTCCTGTTTCCATTCAGACTGTCGGGGCATGAGGGCAGGGCTTTGTCTACTTTTCCCTGATAAGTATTGCATCCAGTGCAAGTCCATTCTCAATACATGTTTGAACAAATAAATGATAGGAGAATATAAATAACTTTTTATTTTTGTAAGTAAATCAAATGCTAGAAAGTTCTCAGTTGCTGGTTTTGCAGTATATTTTAGCTTTCTGTGAATGAACTCAACATAAATCCATTTGGACTTTGAAAACATTCTTTTCCAATCTCAGTATACTTGTTTGTACTGCTTGGGCCAGTAGGATTTGGTACTCAAGGAGACCAGATCTGGACACTGTCCCTCGCTGCCCTTCCTCAGCCAGCTCTCTCTCTCCAGGTTACTCTTTGTCTCCCAGAGTGCCTGCTCTGTCATTTTATGTGTAATTAATGCTGTCCATGATAAGGATTTCTTTGACAGGTTTCCCAGGCAGTAGAGTGAATTTAGAGACCTAATTACCGCATGCCTGAACTCTGGGCTTCCCTCTGAGCCCTCAGCTACGATACTGGTGATGAATGACTCGGTCTGGGCTGCTTTCCGGGGGTGAAGCTTTTTGGAAATTATGACAGTTCCTATCTCCAAAGTATTTCAAATGCCAGCATTTGAGATTGAGCTCCGAAACAGAGGATGTGTGGTTTTCTCTACTTAACACAGTCCTAAGTTTTGTAGTTTCATTTCTGCCTTAGATAGATAACCCCAGTGAAGAAAAATAGCTAGGGATTTTCTATAGGCAGGATCCAGTGCTTTTTATTTATTTTTTCTCTTTGTTAATAGTGGAGAGAAAAGAAATAGGCTGCTAAATAATTAGTGAGATAATGCTTGTGTTTTTTAAATACTTTTTTCCATCTTAAAATAATTCAAGCTTTCAGGTTTGCACAGGGAATATAGATCAATAATAGCAATGATTATAATAGTATTTGCTAAGTATTTCTGTATAACAGGCACTGTAGAAAGTGTAATCATATATGTTAGATCCTCTTACTATTCCTATTTTGCTGATGAGAACACTGAGTTTTAACAGTTAAGTATCTTTCCTACCAGCTAGAAGAGCTAGGGCTCAAACGCAGGGCTCTTGGACACCAGAGCTCTCACTCTATCACCCAGGCTGGAGTGCAGTGGCATGATCTCGGCTCACTGCAACCTCCACCTCCCAGGTTCGAGTGATTCTCCTGTCTCAGCCTCCCATGTAGCCGGGATAACAGGTGCACGCCACCATGCCCAACTAATTTTTGTATTTTTAGTAGAGATGGGGTTTCACCATGTGGAGCAGGCTGCTCTCTAACTCCTGACCTCAGATGATCTGCCTGCCTTGGCCTCTCAAAGTGCTGGGATTACAGGTGTAAGCCACCACACCCAGCCTATGATACTCTCTTATGTGAAACTCCTTAGCTGGAATTCTTGGTTAGAATTAGGATATCAGAAAGATAGCACCATAGAAACAGAATTTTCCTGGGTTTTCAAGAAAGGGTTCTGGTAAATATATAAAAATTATATTTTAGAAGAATGACAAATTTGTACTGATTGCAATTTTTGGTAGATGTTAAGTCAAAGAATAGCCCATGTGTTACATTAGTAATCCCTATGATTGTGGCTTCTTTATTGCTCTACTTATTTATTGCTCAGGATGCTTTGTCTAGCCTAATTCTTTGCCCCTCTGCTGACATCCCCCTAATCTTGTCCATGGCAGTGGCTGCAATTCCAGTCATAAGTGCATCCGTGGATGAAAATTTCATGACCTTCTTCACTGACTTGTTCCAGCCCATTTGTCAGTATCATTTGCATGACTCTTACTTCTATCTTCAGAAACATAAACAATCTCTCCTTGTTTGAAGACCTTGTTGGCTTAATCATAACCATGATTATTTGCATTTGCGAAACATTTTCCACTTTGCAAAGCACATTCACATACTTGATTTTCATTTGATCCTCTGAGTCAAGCAGGGTAGGAATGTATTCACTTATTTACTCAGCAAATATTTATAGCATCTCTTATTTGCATTAAACTATCATCTCCACTTTGTGGATGAATAAACTGAGCCTTAGGATAAATCACTTTCTATGCATCTGTCAGTCATAGAATACCAAGTGTAGGGGTTTTTCCTAAATCTGTTCGTGATCTAAAATGTGGAGGAGAGGCCTGTACTTTGTTTCGTAAGCCTTGGATTAAAATTATAAAGCTAATAGCCCAGAGGAACAGCTTGAGTATCATTTCATGTACATGACCGTTTCTATAATCATTAATCAATAAATAATTCCTTTCGTTCTGAAGCATGATGCATGTTTTTATTTCTTTTATGGACAATCGTTAGAACAGCTCACAAAGACTCATGATGTAGCTTTTGCTGGTGTCTTCGGCATTAATCTGTTATCCCAGCATTCCGGTTTCTCACACGCCTAGGTTTTCTTTTGCTTTAAGGTCTTTGCTGGTCTTTCTGCTCAAAAATCTCTGGATCCTTATGTCCCACCTATGTGTACTATAGCTCTCAGCTTGAATGTCAGTGCTTCAGGAAGGTCTTTATGGAAACACCCCTCCACCAGAACCTCTGATATAGACCCTCTTAGTGCCAGGTGCTCCCCCTCCGTTTTATTCATCACAGTCTGCTATTGCATATGCATTTATGTAAATTTTGTTTGTTTAATACTTCTGTCCCCAACTGGACTAAACACACAGGAGCAGATCCTGTTTTTGCTCATCACTATGAGATTAATTCTTGTAAAACTTACCACTATGCACCTGAGTGGAGTAGTTGAGGTGCTCCAAAAATAGATACTGGGTGGATGGATTGAAATAAGGCTCACCAATATCAAAACTTTAATGACCCTGGGTTAATTGGATAAGTCCCCCATTAGTTGTCTATTCCTGAAGTAACAAATTACCGTACATTTCACAGCTTAAACCAACATCCATTTATCATCTTTCTGTTTCCATTGGTCAGAAGTCTGGGCATAGGATGGTTCAGCTGGTTCTTTGCTTTGAGTTTCATGAGGTCAAAATCAAGGTGCTGGCAGGCCTAGGCTCTCATCTGCTTCTAGGCCCATTCAGGTTGTTGGTAGGCCTCAATTCTATGTGCTTTATGGCTGTTATCCAGGGTGTGCGCTCAGCTCTCATCTCCTAGAACTCACATTCCTCAGCTGTGGCCTCGAATTCTTCTTATGCTTAGAATCTCTTGCCTTCCCTTCTGCGTCGTCCTCTAATTTCCTCTTCTTTCCGCCTCCTCTTTTAAGTGCTCCTATGATTACATGGGGCCATCAGGATACTCCATGATAATCTCCTCATATTGAGATGTTCTAGGGATTAGGATGTGGAATATTTGGAGGGTCATTATTCTGTCTACCATAAACCCCAAGTGCCCATCAATTTGAATATGACTTACGTTAAGGAAGAGAATGGTAGAATGTAGTTTGTGTGGCTTTCTCCCCTACTTCTGCAGATGTCGCAGAATTTGGTAGATGGATTCCCTAGAAACAAAGCTAATGAAATTGCAGACTGCCTGGCCTCAAACCATTTAAAATAATGGCACTCTCACTCCATTACCTTTGAGTGATAGCAGTTCACATTAACGTACCCATTTCCTGAGGAACTGGTGGACAGTTGTGCCTTTGGAGCTGTCCCTCACTTGCTTGTAAATGCTTTTCCCCTTTCACAGAAATGCCTCCTCTCAGGTGTTTGCAGAAGGCAATAGGTTTTTGATAAAAGAAAGTTTACTTTGAACTCTTCAGAATTTTCTCCTGGTGGTCTAAAACTTTTGGAATGCTTCTACTCCTCAGGTGTAGAGTGTCGAGGCACCCCAGGAGAGGTAATTATTTCTAAGAAAAAAAAAGTTACCTTTTGTTCTATTAATTTTGCTCATTTCATTAATGCATAATTAATTAGTTCACTCATTCATCCATTTCCTGTATCCTATGACCAAATATTTGAAAACATTTTATTGGTAATTATGTTTAGTTCAGTTTACTCCTTTGTGTATCTTTCTTGGAAATGGTGTACTCACTTAAAATATCCATTTGCAGGTTGGTATCAGAAATCTTTTGAAGGTTCTTATGCTCCTGAACATTTTCAGTGCATGTTAGCAAATTAAAAGGACCAATTTTTTTACTAAACTCTTTCCTTTATGACTGCAGTCTTCCAGCCTATGTGACAGCTGATTCACATGCATGGGTTCTAGGGAGCATGTGGGAAATAGTGACAACATGGAACACATGAGGTTAAGTATGCCAAGGAAGACATAAAGGATTCCAGAAGCCTGAGATGAGCATGGCATCAGGCTCCTCAGAGTTGATATGTGAGCCAGTGCCCTGGAACAACCCAGGCACCATTTTGAGGGGTAGGAGGGATATGGATTGTGAAGGACATGAAAAGCTTTTAGGTCAGAGGCTGAGGATTGATCATGTGTAGAGACACTGAGGAAAATGTAGGCCTTGGGCTACAGAATGCACATAAATCACCTAGAACATGATTCATGCAAATGGCTCCGTGCCCTTTTTTTCTCAGACCTTCTCCCACACCTGTTTCTTCAGAGGTTATGCGGTGATCATTGATGACTTTAAAGCTGACCCTTTAAAGTGCATCAAATCAATTTTATATCAAATCAAAGTAACAACTATCTGTTGAGCACTTACCATTTAAAACGCCCTGCACTAGGCATGGTAGCAGTGAGGAACTGGGGTGGATCTTAGTATGAGCCATGTTTCCTGACTGCAAAGCTCTTATAGAATTGTTGGCAAAAGGGCTGGAAATCATATTTCTCACTTAGGTGCATAAACAACCGTCTTAATGCATATAATGGTTTATTAAGACAGAATGTGGCCAATCCTTATTCCTTTGCACTGATGTCATAGGAGAAAGTGGACTTGAATGACATTCAAGGAGAATTAGGTGAGCCTTTAGTAAGGCCTTGACAGAAATAGCTTATTTCCAAAAAGGCCATATTCTCATCATTTGAACTTGCATTAATTAATACACTTTTTGAACACTCCTATCTCAGGTAATGGCATTTAATAGCCCCTAAACCCCTCAGTCAAGACAATGAAGAATCAGTTTTGAGTCTTCGATTTCCTTAACCTTCCAAATTCCACTGGAGTCTAAGATTCATCTTTCTACCTCCAAAATGTCTCTAAAATCCACGCTCTTCCATGTGTTCCAGGCTCACTGTCCTCGTTTGGTTTCTCATTATCCTCTGGCTGGTTATAGAAATAGTCTCCTGATGGTGTTTGTTACTCACAGTTTCTACGAAACCCATCTCCCAGTCTGCTGCCAATTATCTATCTCTAACAGAGACTTGATTATGTCACTGCCTTGCTTACAATCTCTGAGGCTTCTCTTTGTTTTAGGATGAAGCCCCAAACTCAGCATGGCATTTATAAGGTCCTTCACGATCTGGCCTTAGCTTGGACTTTCAATTTTACTGTCTGCCAGTTCTCACAGAAGCTTTTACTCATTCATCTGCCTTCCCTGCCAGGCACTTTCCTGCTAAGTCTCTGCTGAAAACACTCCATTCTTCCTCTTATTTTTATCAGGCAAACTCCTATTCTTCTTTCCATTTCTAGCTCAAATGTCACTCTCTCCAGATGGCCTTCTGTGGTTCATATTTTCCTTCCCCCACACTACACCCTTCCCTCATTGACATTTAAATATGTATTATTCATATCCCAGTATGCTGATAACAACAATAGTAATAATGACAATTTCTAGCAATTATGTATCAGGCCATGCAAGCATCAAAACTGCACTCTCACTTAATCTTCTGTCTACCATATGTGGTAGATATTACTATTCCACATTGCAGATGAAGAGACAGGCTCAGAAGAAAGTTAAGTGACTTGCATAAGTTCCACAGCCAGTCAGTGGCAGAAGATGAGTTTAAACCCAGATTTTTTGACTCAAGAGATTAGACTATTTATATATTGGTGCTTTCTGAGTTCTTCTACAACATCTCTGCAGTTCCTTTTTTTTTATTCCTGTGTATATTGCCTAATGGTCACAGGATGACTGCTGTAACTCCAAACATCACAAGCGCTTTTAAAGCATAAAGAAGGAGAAAATGGAAGTGGTGCCAGCCATACCCTTTCCTTTCGTTAGAAAAAAATACGTTTTCCAAGACTCCCCCCCGACCCCATAGATATCTTTCTGCTTCTCATTGGCCAGAATGATGTCTTAGGGTCACTCTGAGTGTCAGGGAGAACTGGAAATTGTATCTGTCACTTGAGCCTAGGCACAGACCCAGCTTGATTGAGGACAGGTTTTGTTAGCAAAGAAAAGGAAGAGTGACAGACAGATAGACAACTAATAGTGCCAGCCGCAGTGTATGCTATTCTTCTTAATTGGTCAAACTGATCTTATGCTCCAGTCTCCGTCATACTTTATACTTCCAGATGTCGTATTGTCTAACAAGAAAGGTAGATATCTAAAATGATAAGAGATGGAGGGATATATTGAAGATTAAAAGATGTTTGTGGGAGGTAAAAATAAGCTCAAATTATTCACCAGGAAAGTTACTTAAATTCTTCAAACTTCAGTTTTCTCCTTTGTAAAATGGTAATGGTAATAATGACACCACGGGATAAATGTGAGACTTAAGTGAAACAATACATGTTTGACCAGAACACTGGAAACATTCAGTAAGTTTAGCTGTTGCTTTTATTATAACTATTATAGTTTTTGAAGGACACCCATTTCTTTCCAATGGACAGTGGAAGTTTAACTGTGAAAGGTGGAACCAGTGAAACTGTCTCTTCCTTTCTGTTATTAAAGATGTAAGAATATCAAGTATTTACCCATTGACTGTCTGCCAGGATGCTCCTTTTCTTCCTCCAGTGAGATTTGGAACTTTCGTCAATTTTGTTGATTAATTAATTCTTAGCAAAAAATCCATTTCGGGACTTGTAGCATGAGTGAAACCCACTGAAGTTAGCTGCTATTTGCTTAATTCAAGGGTTGGCAAATCTTTTCTATAGAGAATGAGATGTTAAATATTTTGGGCTTTGTAGGTTATGTGGTTTCTGCCATTGCAGTATCAACACAGCCATAGACAATATGTATATGTTTTATGTATAGAATTTTATTTATGGATACTGAAATTTGAATTTGATATACTTTTCATGAGTTATGACATATTCTTACGTTTTGTTCAACCACTTAAAATGTGAAAACCATTCTTAATTCATGGGCCATACAAAAACAGGTTCTTAGTTTAACTTGGCTTTTGGGCCATTGTTTGCCAATCACAGTTCTAAATTAGATGTCATTTTCATCTAGTCTATCATACTAGGTAAAGTTTGTTATTCGCTCTCTCACCTCTCAAATCTCCTTTCCAATCAAAGACTGTGGATTTGAGTGCTACCAAGTGGAATTTTAATGTACAAATTACTAACTGCTATTATTGGAATAATAGCACCGAATTCAAAAGCAATGAAATTTATTATACATTCTGTAAATAAATAATATAGCTTTCAATAAATGTTATTCAATAAAATGTAAATGTCCTTAGTTTATGAGGAAGCAAGAAATAATACCATGTCTTCAGCAGGTGATAAGCAAGACTCATTCATCTGATCAGCCACAACTGTGTGTTTTCTTCATCTCATCGCCATTGGGCTGGGCACATATAATACAGGACTAAAATGCCCTTGCATATTTTGCAACATGAAGAACTAGTTCGACTTATAGAATTCCACTAGGAGTAAATAAATGCCAGACTGATAGCTTGTGAATAAAAATGAGACCATGTTGTTCCTCCTTTTGTTCAATTTCTTCACTCTTCCAAACCAATTACTCAGGCCCCTCTACCACTTCTGGGAAACAGCCTTGAAGTCTTGAAACACATTATGTCAGGTTGAAAATGAGAGACAACTGCTGTCAGAGCCAGCATTTGATGGCTTTGACTTGTTTCCATGTAGTGAAAAAAGCATGCTTGCAAGCTGTACAATTGAGAGGATTCACTGTTTTTTAAACTAAAGGTTCTGAGCAGCTCTGAGATAGTGTTGCTCTCCCCTAAGCTGTTTTGTACAAAAACATACCTGTTTTATTTTTCCTGAAGATACAGCAACATGTTTAATGTCAATAATGGTATTGAAACAAGGCAGCCATAGAATTTCTGAATATGACATATAAAGATTTTTTAAGATAACAGTGCTTTTATAAAGATTTAAAGATATAGCAGTCTTTGCTTATTCTTCCTCTATCTGTTTTCGGTAAGGAAAGCACATGCATGATCTTATATGATATTTTTGTAGACAGTTGTCATGTTTCAGGGGCAGGATGGGATTTCCACATGAATTGAGGATGAAAATAAGACTTAATTAAAATTGCAATGAATGCCTTTATTACTAATTTACTTGTTGGCTTCTATCCTTTTCTAGTCATATAAAATATTTGAATTTTTCTATCCTTTTAGCCCCAAGGCCTTTCCCAATTTCCAGTCTATATTTAATGGGATTGATTTATTTAATAATTGCTAACATTTATTGAATACTTACTACATCAAGTATTCCATGCATCACATTATTTAATTCTTGCAGCAACCTTTTGTGATTAATATTTTTACTATTTCCATTTTCATATGGGAGAATTGAGATAATGTTGGTGAATAACTTGCTGAAGGTAAATTGGTGGAGCTGGGTTTCAACCCTGGGTCTTAATGACCATTTTCTGTATGTTTAATCACCATCATACTAAATCTGTTACACTTTTTTCTCTGAGTCAGCCATTCTCAATCCTGAGTGTCTCTCAGTGTCACCTGGAAGGTTGTAAAACCTTCAGGGTTTATGATTCAGTGGTTCTGGGGTAGGGCTCAAGAATCTGTGTTTGTAACACATTCCCAGGTGAAGGATGCTGCTTGCCGTTCCAGGCCAATACCTTGAGACATTTCTCAAGTCAGTGAGATTATTCCCTTGGCCTAATTGTTTAATATCTGTGAAAATGCTTAGAAAGTATAAATGCTACCTAAATGTAAAGCATTATTCTCTCTAGAGCAACATCTGAGCCATACAAGTGCCATTTCATGGGTGCACACACACAAGAATAAATGGTATGCCACTTCAAACTTTCATTTAAAGGCTTTCACTGCTTTGTACAGCTTGCTTATGCTTAGGGGAATATGAAGCATCTTTGTGTAATTGATGGGTTAGTATCTCAAGTACCGAGCTGTTTCTCCTAAATATCACAGTGAGGTGCATGACACTGAGTGTGAATTCACACTCAAAGAGATCACACTGAAGGGAATTTTTGGCCAACAAATTGATGGCTGCCAAAAAGAATTGCTATTTCACAGATATAACTCTAAGCTCAGAAGGGAGAAGGAATTGTGATCAAGATAATTTAAAAAGATTACAAGTTATGCTAATGGAGACAAGGAGCAATGTCTAGAAAGAAACTCTTTTGAATAAAGATTATTTCTTGCAGGTGATGCTCGATGTGTGTTGATAGCATTCTTTTGAACTCTCCATTTATAACTGTCATCTACCTTCATTTCAACATTATCTCAGTTTATTATTAGAATAAAAATTGATGCAGATTATGGTATATTTGTCATTATTTTCTGACTCAAGTCTCAATAACCCGTAACTATTATTACTTAAGGCGAACTCCACAAAGACTTTTTTTCTTATCTTGTAGAATTACCCTCTCAAAAGGACATTGTATTTCAAACTTGCCAAAGGCGATATTTTTTGATAGCACTGGGGGATAAGAATTTAACTTGCTCTCTTACTTATTTTTCTGCCTTTCTTCATTTCTGTCTATATATTAGCATGGAGATTGATGCATCACTTTTCTTCCTCCCTTATGGTTGAATCTTCAAAGCTCTGAGATCCTCTTTTCAAATTGGCATATGCCTTTGAATTTTAATTTTCATCATCTTCCCACAAAATATATACAATTTTTTCTCTTCTAGGTTGGATACTACTTCCAAATTAACACCAGAGTTTTGTCATCATGAAAAGCAAACTGACTCAGATAGATATAGACCTCTTGAAACCTTGTTCCCTCCTCCTTTCTTACTGTTCTGTGCACACTCTAGAGAATTTATCCTTCTGATTGGTACAGGTTATACAAATGACTGCAACTCTATTTTCTTTGCTAAGGAAGGTCAGGGTACATGTTTTTCACTAGCGCTGCCTCGGGTGTGCAGATTTGGAAACCGTAGCTTGTCTCTTCTCTTTTTAATAAGGAAAAATTTCATGAGAACATTGAAAAATTAGCATCACTAATCAATGAGAACCCTTCCTGCAAGCAGAGGGAAAAATAACCTAAACACATTTTCATATTATTCATGAGCACTAATTGGTGAAAATGTAATGCCAAGAGAAACAGCATAATCAGGAATTCCCCCTACCATGAGGTAAAATGAACTGGAGCTGATTGGAATTATCATCACTAAAGCCAAAAGCATTATGTGAGTTATCTATTGCTGCACAACAAACATATCAAAAATTTACTGGCATAAAACAACCAGTTTACTATGCTCATGGTTCCATTAATCAGGAAGGGCACAGCAAGAATAATTTTTTTCTGCTAGATATTGTCTAGGACCACCAGAAGGCTGGGGTTGACTTGATGGCTGGAATCATCTGTGCATTAATTATGCCTTTTTATTTTATGTATTTCTGATGCTTTGACCTCTGGGACCTTGTTGATGCTAAAGGGACTGCTCCTTCTATGGTTAGCAAACATAGTGCCTCTTCCATATGCAAACTAACCAATCCAGAGTCATGCTCTAGCTTCTTCCTTTTTGTGGGCTCTTATACTCCAGACCACTATTCTCCTGCCCTAATCACCCCAAGGCCAGGATCTAAATAGAGATAGCTCCTACACCCAAGATCCTTCTGAAATGATCCAAACCAGCCAATCCTAAGCCTGTTTACCATGCCTCACCTATTCCTTCCCTTGGAAACCACAATAAAGGCTCTTGCTCCCATTTTCCCTTCAGTCCTTCTGCCTCTTGCCCCGCCATGGAACATTCCTGCATGGCCCCCGTCCCCCTGCATTGTGTGTTGTGTCTCCTGTTTCTGAGGACCTGTTTGTATCAGCTTCTTCCTTCATGACAGTCATTCCCATGTCTATGTGTTTTATTATACCTTATTAATACAAATCTGGGGTCCTTTTTTTTTTTTTTTTTTTTTGAGACAGAGCCTTGCTCTGACACCCACCCAGGCTGGAGTGCAGTGGCATGATCTCGGCTTACTGCAACCTCTGCCTCCTGGGCTCAAGCATTTCTTGTGCCTCAGCCTCCCAAGTAGCTGAGATTAAAGGCAGCACCACCACAGCCAGCTAATTTTTTGTATTTTTAGTAGAGATGGAGTTTCGCTACATTGGCCAGACTGGTCTCGAACTCCTGGCCTCAAGTGATCCACCCGCCTCAGCCTTCCAAAGTGATGGGATTACTGGCATGAGCCACTGTGCCTGGCTTCCTGGGGACATTTTTGAACAATCCAAATGAGTCTTCACTTACACGTCTAGTAGTTGATGTTATCTGTTGGTCAGAATATCTTGCCCATGGACCCTCTATGTGGTTGCCATGTGGGGGCCAGTTTGGTCTTCTTCACAGCATGGTGGCTGAGCCCTAGAACAAGCTTCCTCAGAGAACAAGGCAGAAGTGCACAGCGTTTTTATGACCTAGCCACAGATGTCTCACAGCATCACTCTGTCCTACTCTATCAGTTGAAACAGACATGAAAGTCCACCAAGGTTCAAGGGAAAGAGACATAGTTTCCACCGCTAGATGGGAAAAGTACCAAGGTCAGGTTGAAAAAGAGCACGTGGAATGAGAGATATTGTAGTGATCGTCTTTGGAAAATACAATCTGTCCCCAGTATTTTACTTATGCATCTCTCCTGAGGGGTAGTGGAGACCATCCTAGACAGAATACAGCAGAAAGGACCCTCCCACACTAGAGGCATGCCACAGACATGCTAGACATCATACACTTTGGTGGAAGACTCCAGAATCCAAAAGGACTTGACTTTACATTGTGGCTGTTCTGACTGTGTGGCAGTGGGGAACTCAAACCTCCTTGAGCCTTGGTTTTCTCATCTAGAAAATGGGCCTCTGAGCAGCATATATCTCATTGGGATGTTGTGAACATTAAATGAGGTCTTACATGGAAGCATTTAGCTTAGTACCTGATAAATGCAAATGTACACTATTATTATTGTACTGGTTAATGTCACATTTATATTTCACCTCTCCTAGGACTTGGACTTGGAAAGATGATGAGACATCATTCTTACCATTAATGGCAGGAAGCAAGGTCATATTTGGTAACGATGTGATGTTATAGGTTTTATAAAGTGAAAGTTACTCTGAGTGGAAGAAGTTCTCATCACAATGCTTGGGATCAAGTTCTGGTCTTGCTATTTACCAGCTTTGGTATCTCTGGAAAACAACCACCTGACTTTTCCTATTTTTTAAGACATAATCAATAATTGTTTCCCCATCCTTGTATCCTCAAATAAACTGTGAATATAGAAACAATTTTTAAATGGTTCTACAATTGTTTTGCAATTATGTTAATTAGAATGTCAAGGGTCTTTTGGTCTGATAGAGTTGTCAAGCTGAAGTGCTTGGGTGAGGCCTAAGAACCCATATTCACACTGATTCCATGCTAGGGGCTGCGCTGAGCATGTGGCTGGATTCAGGTTGAATTTTCCTGGTATTCCTGTGGGTGCCACTCTCATTCATGGATAGGCATAGAGAGTAGCTTAGCAAAGGCCACGCAACCATTCAGGGATAGAACGTGGATTTGAGCTCAGTCGTCTGTCCGTGTACCCAACCTTTATCCTCTAAACCACAGCTTCTGGTCCTGAAAAGGCCCACGGGCCCTAGGTTTTTGGTAAGCTTCTTATGGGTACACACATTGGCAGGACTTAGGCTCTGTCACTGTACTTCATCCCTGTTACCTGAAAATCACCTGGCAGCACTCAGATGAGGGAGAATGCTTTCTTCATAAAAAAGGACTTAAAAATGCCCCCTTATCTCTACAAGAGGAGGTCCAGAGCACATTTCTTTTCAGCTGCCATATAAGAGAGAAAGGGTCGGATGATTTCTCTCTTTTCTATTTTTTTAAAGAGCAAGCATTATAAACAGTATATTTTTGAGATTTATAACATGTAGATATAAAATATATAACAATAGCAAATAGAATAGGAGGTAAATAGAATGTTCTACAGCAAGTTTTTTATATTTTACATTTATTGAAATAGTACTACATTAACTCCTGTGTAAGTTGTGATATGTTAAACTTATATTTTGTAATCCCTGCAACCACTAAAGAAATGCAGAGATTACATTTAAAAGCTAATAAAATAAATTGAATACAACAAACATTTATTCAATAAAGGTCATAAATGCTTTAGTCGTAATTTCCCAAAGCAGGAATCAACCCGATATCTATCAATAGGAAAATGGATAAACAAGTTGTAAAGGATACAATCCTAATACTACTCAGCAATACACAGCTACTGACACACACCACCTGAGTGAATCCTATAAATGTATTGAGTGAGACAGCTGGAAATAAAATAAACTATTTCATATGATTTCAGGCATAGTGAACCAATGGTTAAAAAAAAAATGGAATAGAGATGGCCCCCGAGTGAGGAAAAAGTTGCCTGGAAAATAACCTGAGGAAATTTTCTGGGGATAATGGGAAACTTCTGTTCTTAAAGGATGAAGTTCATATGAATGTATTTATCTGTCAAAACTGTACAGCTAAGATTTGAGCTTTCATTGTATGTACATCAGACCACACCAAAAAAAAAAAAAAAAAAAAAGAACTTACAAAAAAAAAAAAACCTGTGTGTAGGTGGGGAATGGCATATGATTAGGTGTTGTTGAGGCTGGGTGAGAAGTCTATTGTACTGTTTTGTTTATTATGTTTGTTTTTTTAACATTTGTCTTAGGTTCAGGGTTAGTTCAGGTTCAGGTGCAGGTTTGTTATGTAGCTAAAGTCATGTCACAGGGGTTTGCTGTACAGATTATTTTGTCACCCAGGTACTAAGCATAGTACCCAATAGTTATTTTTTCTGATCTTCTCCCTCCTCCCATCCTTCACCCTCACCCAGGCCCCAGTGTCTGCTGTTCCCCTCTTCATTTGCATGACAGCAAGCCATGCCTTTCCCTCTGTATCAGGATTCAGTGACAAGAAACGGGTTCCAAAAATTTCAAAGCCAGCAGTGTGTCCTCTTTCCTGTATTTGCTTCTTAATACTTAATAGGTTGATTGTTTCTAATTTTATATATTTGGAATATAAAAACCAAAGGGCCGGGCGCGGTGGCTCACGCCTGTGATCCCAGCAGTTTGGGAGGCCGAGGCGGGGGGATCACTTAAGGCCAGGAGTTCAAGACCAGCCCGGGCAACTTGGTGAAACTCCATCTCTACTAAAAATACAAAAATTAGCTGGGCATGGTGGTGCATAGTCTGTGATCTCAGCTACTTGGGAGGTTGAAGCAGAAGAATCACTTGAACCTGGGAGGCAGAGGTTGCACTGAGCTGGGATAGTGCCATTGCACTCCAGCCTGTGTGACAGAGTAAGACTCTGTTTCAAAAAAAAAAAAAAAAGATAAAAATAAAAATAATTTTTAAAAAATCAAAGGCTGCCAAATGGTAAATCTGATATCTGGATGGATGGATAGATAGATAGATAGATAGATAGATAGATAGATAGATAGATAGACAGACAGACAGGCAGGCAGACAGACAGACAGACAGATAGATAGATACCTATGTCTCCATTCTGCCAATGTTGCATTAATGTCCTTTCCATATGTTTAATAGCAAGTGAAGGTATTCTAGCCATGACTTTGGAAGGACTTAACATTTGTAACTTCTCAGTTTATCTTTCTTGTTGAGAAATTGTGTGAGAAGACTGGGAAAGTATCCTACTAAATATAATTATTATTATTGAGCCATTATTTTGTGGTGACTATGTACTTGGTACTATGTTAAGCACATTGCAGGTAATAACTAATTTTCACAAAACACAAGATGGTAAATACTGTTAATCCCATTTCACACATAAGAAAGCTGATATCACACTGCTAAGTGGTGAAACTTAAGAGTCCTTGTTCTTTTATGCTATGCTAATTCTCAACACAGTGAAAAAATCCAGGCTATTGATCTAACAAACCTATGAGAGTTCAGGATATTTTGCATCTGAGTGTTGAGCTTGGGAGACTTGCATAAGTGACTACAGTATCCACCAGATTTTTATCATAAGCCTGCCTGGGGACAGAGGAATTCGAATAATGATCCTGAAAGTGAGTTTGTCATCATGAAATACATCGCTCAACATGGCATACACTTAAATAACAACAAAAACTAGAATGGATGGGACATTGTTCCTCTCTTGTTTTAAGTGAGTCCTTGGCTTTTGCCAGAGAATTTGTTCTTCCAGCCCCACAGGCAATTGTATACATTTCACAGAGAAGTCTGAACATAACTAGAGTGCATCTTCAATCTACAAATGCACTGTGTTCAAAAGATAACAGCCAGTTTTTTTAATCTCAGAAGATGTTTTCCCATTGGAGGAATATTTTAATTTCAAATTATGGATATCAAAAATGTATCTACCTCTCCAAGTGGCATCTGGAGACACTATGAAGAAGTGCTTTTTAAAAACTGTCAACTTGTTGTTGACTCTTTGAAGTTCCATTAGAGAGAGACCTTTTTTTGGTCAATCATTCCACAGCATCTTACATTGGATTTGAACTTTCCCATTGCTTATTCATAGCGTAGATTATTTTAAATTGTGAATCCTTAGAATATGAGGTTTGGAAAGAAACATACAAGCATTGTGTGTGCACGTGTCAGGGACTGCCTCTAGGTAGGACTCTACTGTCTAGTGTGTTACAATGACAGGCATTGCCTCAGGCATTGCAGATGCTGGATGCTTTTAATAAATATGAAGATCTGTGTTGCATTATAATTTTACAAAGTAATGAAGTTATTGCAGCTTAGCATAATCAAACTTCATAAAAACAATTTCTTCCATCTTAAAATAATAATAGGGCTTGGCAAATGTAGAATTCTAATGTCAGCTCATCAGCTATGTGATCTGGTATGACACATCTTGCACATTATGTACCTGTAGTCTGTGTTGAAAAATAATTTTCAAAATATCTTCTATTTTCAGGCAAGGAAGGAACTTAGGAAAAGGCAACTTTTAGTTCAATTCAAAGCTTATTTAAAATTATGTGTGGGTGTTTCCTGAGAAAATTGCTGACTAGGGTAATTTTCCCTTCTTCCTGGGTTCCTCTATTGGCTTACATTGTAATCAGAAAAATGTGAAGAATTTTCATTGATGGCATTGCCACAAACTGTGGTCCATTTATGTCATTATCCATGGGTGGCACATCGTTCTCTGTGGTATAGGTCTGTCTTGTCAACCTTAAATTGTAGGGCTGGCCATTCGGATGACTGCACCTTGCAGGGCTTCATGCAGGAAAATACGTGTGATGTATAAACCAGTGTATATAAAATTTCTTTCTACCCTAGAAAGCTTGTTAAGTTCAAGAATTTTGCAGAAAGCTTAGTGGAAACACCTGCTCACACTTTCTATGACTTACCTGCTGGGTTCCCTAAAGACAGGACATACAATGGAAGGTGGCTGGGAACTGGACATATTACAGACATTCTTTGTTAGATTTTCTCTGATAATTTCATTAGAAGTAAACGTCCAAGCAGTGATCATGTCTTATTTGCAGTATGGGATCACATTTGTGAAAATATTTATTGGCTCCAGGGAAACCCAAATCAATCCTACACATAGAAATGTGATTTCTCTGCTTTTATGATACCTGCACCTGCAACTAACACCCCCACTCCTCCAACTCCCACTTTAATGGGTTAAGCAAATGTATCGAGATTTCTGCTGGATGGAGAAGCTTAGGCTCTTTAGGACTCATCTGCCAACATCTGGGGTCCTGCCCAGTTTGTTCCCTTGGAAACGTCACCCCAGGGTTTTCAGTAGATATTACAGATGAAGATTCTGATAAATAGCTGCCTCAGACAGACAAGATAAAAAGCTGTGCCTTTGCCAGATCCTTTGGAAGTCATGTATTTATATGTTTGTTTCCCCCACTAAACAAGAAATGCCACACGGATGGGTTTGGTGTCCACTCCATCTTGGTATGCCCTGCCCCTCACCCCACAGGGACTCAATACATGGTTGGTAAGGTGGACTTAATATAACTGAGCAAATCTGATCCTTTTAAACTGGGGAGTTCAATCATTTGTTTTTCTTTCACTTATTCAACAAATATTTATCAAGAACTTATTCTGTGTCAGGCTTTTTGCTGGGCCCTGAGTGAGGATATAATGATAAACAGGACAAACAAGGTCCCTGCCCTAACCATAGAATTCCATGGCTCCCCTGAAAAACCAAAGGCCTCATTAGAGCTTAACTTCAAAGCAGTGGCAACACAAAGGTGTCTTTCGTCTTCCTTAGAAACCCATTGGCAGAGACAGATATGTTTTCATTCCTTCTAGATACTCACCCTGCCTGAAAGACAGATGGGTAAATGTCCTTCTACTTCATAAAATAAAATCATAAACAAAATAAAATAACATGATACCAACAAGCAACCAACAAAAACACATTGACTTTTTTGTATTCTGTAACCAGGCTCTTTCTTAACTTTTGTGGTGCTTGAGGCAAAAGTACAAATGGAGGCCCACCTACTATTGGTATGAAGATTTAAACGTTATGAATCATGTTAGCAACTGTTAGAGTAGGTTCTATCTTCCTATCTTCATAATGATTTGAAAGGCCAGGTCTAAATTTAGGATTCTTGAAGCCTTTGCATTGTATTTTGGAGCCTGAACATAGAAGTGCACATAGCTTCAGCCCTGGGACCTAGGCTGCCCACTTCTCTCAAACTATGAAGGGCCTTGTGAGTCCATGTGTGAATAGCCCAGTCCATGTATCTAGGTTCTGTTACTCTCACCCCCACAAAGCTGCCATTTAGTGGCTCTGTGGGCCTGGGGTACACACAGGTAGCACACAGGTAGCACAGTTAAACCTCCAGAGAATGGCCCTGGGCAAGAGGCCAGCAGTATAGGATTGCAAAAGAGGCTTGGGCTTGTTTGGGCAGGCAGTTCTGATGACCCAAACACAACCATAGTCTAGAAGGACCTGAGCCGCAGGTGGACACATTCCTTTGACTCAGTGGAAAGGGATATAATCAGAGAAGGGCTGAGCAGAGGGCTTCTAAAGCATAAGGCACTTGTTTCCCTGTTCTAAAGGAGTGGCTTTCAACTTTTAAAAGAAATTAGCAGAAATTTTTTCAAATAAACCCATATATGAAACTAATCCAAGAAAATATCCCCATTGATGTCAATACAAGAAGCATAAAATCTGCCCTATTGTTTTCCACAATCCTGCCTTTCCTCTTCCCTATCTACACCTTCCCCCTGCCTCCTTACCCCTGCCCCACCCCAGGGCAGAAGCCCCTCCGAGGAACCCTAGGGTTCTGCCTTTAGACCAGACCAGTGGTTCTGAAACTTGAGGAGGAATCAATGACTACTCAAGGGCTTATTCAAACACATATTTTTTTTTCCTCACACATATATATATATATATTTTTGCCCTCCCCACCCTTTCAGTTTTTATTTTATGTCTGGGATGGGGCCTAAGAATTTGCGTATGTAATAAGTTCCCAGGTGTTGCTGATGCTGCTGATCCAGGGACCACACTTTGAGGATGGCTGGATTGGAGGATGAGGCCTAGGAATCCAGCCATGCTAATTCTCACATGAACTTTTGGGGCTTGTTGTCTTTCACTGGGACCATCCAAGGGATATCCATCATTTAGATGCCACATAAAGAGAGGAATAGGGAGGGACTTTGTGGGGTTGACTTCTGGGGTCTACTACCTGCTTGGTCTTTACACCATTCCCATCTCATCATCTTGTTTCTGGATGTGGGACAGGCTCTGGGAGTTGATATATAAATGGTTATAGGCAGGTCGCTACAATTTCCCACGTTCTGCATTTAGATCTGAAACAGCTGTTTAACGAAATGAAGATTTTTGAAAAGCCTTCAAAACAAAATGCAAGTGAATGGGTGAGAAGATTTTTGTCACTACTTTTTGAGTCAAAAAATAGAGACTAATTTGTTTTATGGGGAACTGGCAAAATTTCAAAATCTTGTCAGTGATTCATTAGAATTTTATTTTCAGTTAGAAAACAGTGTTTTATATTTCACTGATTCATTAAAGAATGACATAATCATATTTTGCTCTCACGTTGTGGATAACAACTTTGGGTCTGAATAGCATGTCTCTATCTCATTGTCTCGATTTTGAACTGTCAATGTTTTCCATTTAAATAATATTTTTGTTTAATGAACAGTCCAATTTCCAAATACTTAAGTTCTGTAAGAGATGTTACTGAACATCTAATTTGCTTGAGCTGAGTATTATTTTTCTATTAGATAAATGCGTTTTTTTGGCCAGAGAAATTACATTTTAAGTGAAATCTATTAAGAAGAAGAATAGATGATTATGAGAAAAGAAATAGCAGAAGTGACTGATTTGAGTTAAAATAGGAAATAAATGTAGCAAGCAGGACTCGGGCGGAGCCCCAGTCCTCCTGGCTGACCCAGAAGGGCCACTGAGGGTGAAGGGCTGACAGGAGAGCACTCCCAAGCAGCTGGCCAGGCCCTCAAAAATATGTACTTCTAAGGAGCTCCAAGTTAGGTCTGAAAATATTACTGGTTTACCTCACATTGAGAGCCAGGGTCAAAAGAGATGAAAGAAGATTGTCTTGCTCTATGGGAACTAAAGTTGAAATGAAATGAAAGAAAGATAAGATGACGTTACAGACTGAATTGTCCGCCTCTCATATTCATATGTCGACTCCAACCTCCAGGACCTCAGAATGTGGCTGTGTTTGGAGCTCGCGTCTTTAAAGAGGTAATTTAGTTAAAATGAGGTGCTTACGGTGAGCCCTAATCCAGTATGACTGATATCTGTATAAGAAGATGAGATTAGGACACAGACACACAAACACACACAGAGGGAAGACCACGTGATGGCACAGGGAGACGACACCCTCTGCAAGCCAAGGAGAGAGACCTCCAGAGAAGCCGGCCCTACCTACCCTTTGGTCGTGGATTTCTAGCTTCCAGAATTGTGAGAAAATAACAACTTTGTTGTTTGAGCCACTCAGCCTTGTGGTATTTTATAATGACAGTCCTCGCCAAGTAATATAGATGGGTATTCTAGAGGTTGCATTTTGAAACTGGGATGTGCTATGGGCATGCCCATTGAAGAGAGAGGCACCTCTTACATTCAGTCCCTGTCTGTGGTCTTTCTCTGCTTATGCCCCTTGGCTTTTCTCATCTGTCAGATGCCAGCCTATCCAGAATATGCCCTGCTTCACTGTGACTCCTCTATCCAACACATGGTATGCCTTCTGTGTTCACACCATCTTAAAGTATGTTAGGATCACTCAGAGTGCTGCTTCAAAAAGCAGACTCCTGTTCCCTGTACCCACAGACTCTGATTCGATGGGTCTACAGCGAGGTTCTGCATTTTTAACAACCATCTTGGCTGATTCTGTTGCAGGAGACCAGAGGAGCAACCCTTGAATTAAAAACACAAAACAAAAACTGCCTTAGAACATGCAGCAAGAGGAAAAGCTGCATTCTAAAAATTTGCCAAGGATAAAAATCAAATGAAATATTCTCATATGCTCCTTTTAGGTTTTTAGTGTCACCTTCTTGCTTAAAGCCATTCCTATTGCACTTAGAATAAACTCCACAGTTTTTGCCATGGTCAAGGAATCTCTGCATAGGGGTCTTCACCGGAGAGCCTCATTATGAGTTAATGAAGCCATCCCAAATCCCACTTACCTCGTAATTTTAGCTTAAATGTCATTTCCTCTGTAACATCCACTCCCAGTCAGTCCCTCTAATAGGATGCTATTATTTTCCTCCATAGTAGGTGTCATAACATAAAATTCTGTATTTCTTTGCACAATTAGTTGTTTACTTTCTGCCTTCCCCATTAACCTCTAAACTCTATAAGGGCTTGCCTCTCTACTGGTTCATCACTTAATCCCAGCACGTAGCAGTGTGCCTGGCACAAGATAAAAGCTAGATAGGTGTTTATTGAATGGACAAAGAATTGAAAAATTCTGGAAGTGTGAACAATGGTTTAGAGGTCATACATTCTTCATCTTTAAAGGTCCTCAGCATCAATTCTGATGGAATTTATTTTCAAATGCTTTCTCACTCTTTCCCGGAGCTGTCTGACCTGGGCTGGGGCTGACTGGAGGGTTTTAAGGGAAGTCACCAGTGGCAATGGAAACTAAAAGTAGCCTCGTCCAGTGTTTGATACATCTGGGCATGTTGCAGAGATTTTTGACAAGATAAATGACTTAATGATTTCCACCAGTCCTCATTCCAAGTCTGGAGGATTGATATAAAGGTGGTCAAAGCAGCTTTTGAACTGAAATCAATACTACTTAATATCTAAATTTCATTTTGAAATGTGACTAAGGATAAGCTAGTGGATTTTCATTAGTGGTAGAATTATTTTTAAAGTAATGATCCTCAGGGCCCCCATAGATTTTCCCATTACTGTTATAAGGGAGAGAAAACCTGCTACTGATGACCCCACAAGCTTCTGCCTTGATTTGCATATTAAAGATGTTTTGATATTTTTCAAGTAACAGATCAAAGCATCAGGGCTCCATTAGTCACTATATCAGGAACAAAGATAGAAATATAGATTTTGTTTTAATTTGAAAGCAAATAGCCTATCTTACATCTCATGTTATTAGGATCTCAGAGAAGTCCATTCATATTTTGCATGCTTAAATAGATTAAGAAAGAAGAAAATTAAGAAATTCTCTTGAATTAGTGTCTTCAAAGAGTAAATAAATGGAAAGCACCTTAATTAGTTATGCCAGTCCTTATTTCAGGGGGAGAGGCTATTTGATATTCATAGCTAACAGCAACCACATTTTAAAAATATACAAATATGTATAATTCTTAAACATCATATTTATGTTTGGGGGGGATAAGTATTATCCAAAATGTACCCAACATTTGTAACATGCTTCTTTCTAGAACAGTACTACTGCTGCTACTACTAGTTGTAGAAATAATAATACTGCTGTTTCCACTATTATTAATGATAATGATGATCCCTTCTATTTTACTGAGAAACTGTGGTGTTCCTAGCATTATGTGAGGTGTTTTCCATATATTGTTTTACTGAATAATGCTAACAACCCGTAAGGTTAGTACTATGATTTTCCCTGCCGCAGACTGGAACACTGACATTAGTAACCAGATCATCCAGCTAGTTAGAGGTAGAATCCACACTCACACCCGGATCAGCTTCACTTTAAAGCCCAAGTACTTTCAACTCTTCCACACTGTGTTTTGAGTAGGAAAGAAAAATAACAACACTTAGATTAAGCAAAGTTTGGCGCTGGATTTTCTTTCATATTGTTCTGTCATGCTACCTTTTCAAAGGATTATAAACTATTTGTATGTAGTACAAGTGCTCTATAAATTGGGTAAATGAGCCTACCCTTTAAATAAATAAACACACGCATTCTTGGCTCTAGCCAAACTGAATTAATCCCTGTTCCCCAGATTGAGCCCATTCTCGCCTCTGGTTCCAGGAGTGCACGGGGCTGGGAGGGCAACAGTGGCACAGACCTAAAAATAGATAAAAGAAAAACCATTGCTTCCCAGTAGCGGAGTGATAAGTGAGTTCGGGGCACCACAGCTTGGTTAGTTGGCATTCCACAGTGTGGCAAGCACTAGCTGGCAGGAGGGTGCTGCTTCCCCGAAGTAGGCTAGGAAGAGACTGGAGCCACTTTGGGCACAAAGCTTCAAAAGCTTTAAGATAAATCTGCAGAGTGAAGGATGCACAGGTGGATAATAGGAAATTAACTCTAGAGTTACAGGGTTTCAGGAAGCCACTGACACTGAAAACATCTGAAACAGTTGAGAAGGATCCCGATACTCTCTTGGCAGCTACGTTCAGCCACTTCCCTTCATCCCAGTCCTAATGGGCTTCTGATTGATCTTGCTTTCCAGCTTGCATTAGGACAGCTTTGGCCAAGTCTGTATTTCACTGAGGATATTCTAACAGAATTGAGAAAGACGGCAAAGGAGGAAATCAAATCATGCTACAATGAAAATTAGGTCGCTTTCAAGAGTAGTCTTCAGTTTTTGTTGTTGTTGTTGTTGTTGTTGTTGTTGTTGTTGTTTTGAGATGGAGTCTCGCTCAGTCGCCCAGGCTGGAGTGCAGTGGCGTGATCTTGGCTCACTGCAAGCTCCACCTCCCGGGTTCACGCCATTCTCCTGCCTCAGCCTCCCGAGTAGCTGGGACTACAGGCGCCTGCCGCCGCACCTGGCTAATTTTTTGTATTTTTAGTAGAAATGGGGTTTCACCGTGTTAGCCAGGATGGTCTCTGTCTCCTGACCTCATGATCCGCCCGCCTTGGCCTCCCAAAGTGCTAGGATTACAGGCGTGAGCCACCGTGCCCGGCCTTTTGTTTTGTTTTAATGTCAAGCGTTGTTTTTAACCATGCGGGCAGCCTTTTCATGCTCACTCAGTCTCTTGCGTTCACAGTCCCACAAGCTTCTGTAGGTGGCAACCCTCTGATATTTTCTGGGCTATTCAGTGATCCGATGGCACAAGCAGTGTTTTAAGGGCATAGACTTTAGTGCCAGATGGGTGGCCTGGGTTTGAATTTCAGTTTCCCCCTTTTTTGTGGCAAATTACATAATCTCTCAGATCTACATTTCTCTCTTCTGTAAAACCAGAGTGAGAATGATACATACCTCAGGTGAGTGTTGTGAAGATCATATGAGAATATGCAGTTTGTAGGCATTAGCCCTACCTCTAGTACGGAGTAAACATTCAATCATTGTGAGCTGCTGTTGTTATTATTATCATTATATGATACTGTTGGAAAGAAGGAACCATTTTGATCACATGTAGGACCCAGATTCATTCAGTGACTGCTAATATTTCACCCTATTTTCTAAATAAGGTCACTGACAGCATTTATATGCATTATGGCACTTTCTAGCTTGGCATTGATTTTGAATTCAGTACCAAAGTCAAAATGACAAATCTCTTTGATTATTTTTTTTCATTTGAAGTCAAAAGCCTTTTTTTATTCACTAACTGGTTCAAACAGGGCGATAGCTATTGCATTCTCCCAAGCACTTGTAAGCTTGTTACAAATGCGTTGTCTGGTGGATTTAAACCTCTCTTCCTCCCAGGAAATGAAACTGCAACACGTTACTGAGCCATGCCATGTATCTAATCATTTCCCATAGCTGAGAGCCGGAAAATATTTTGTTTTGTTCACTCAACATGAGAAAGGAAAAAATCCTTCTCCCTAACATCTGCCACCCCTAGATAAAATATAAAAACGCATTCCCAGATTTATACCCCTCAATTTAGGCTACAATAACTGGTTGGGGCAAAAAAGAGATAAATGGGTGGATTCTATTTTATTCTAAGCTCTAAAATGTTAATCTATTGTATAGGGTTGTCATTAAATACTTCCCCAGTTAAAGGGTTCTCAAATGTGAGCAGTCTAATCACTCAAAATACATGTGTTGAGGGGAGAGTTTCTACACATACCCATTCCCAATCCCCCTTTTTTGGATTCTTGGCTGTTTTAGAGGAACCCAAAGAAGTCCTTCCTTCTCCCTTCTTTGTTTCACCAAATCATTTTCTTTTCTGTTTCTGCTCAATTTTTATCTTTTACATGACGAATACTTAGCAGATATATGCTGGTTCAACTGCACACCTTGAAATCGTTTCATAGTGTTCATCAGTAGCCTCTATTCTAAGAAGCTCACTTTAAGTACCCCTGCTACTTCCCTGGTCTATTCCGCAGGATCCTCTAGACTCACCCCTAATCCTTCGGTAAAGGGTTGACCCCTGGCTGGCAGGAGCCCCCCAGACACTTGCTTCAGTTCTGCAGCACCAGCTTCCACTCTGCTTGGTAAGCACCCTCACCACACTGGGTGATAAATGTATTGAGGATAACTCCATTCCCCTGCTTTCTTCTGATGGCCCAGTAAACCCTGAATCCAAATCTTTAACAAGGTAAGATCTCTGTCTCCTTTCTCGGAAGGCAGTTTGAGTTTAATCTTCAAACTCTCCTGAGAGATGAAGAAAAACATTTCATCTTTCTAGTGCATGAAAGAAAAACAAAGCAGCTAAGTTTTCACATTAAAATTGTCTGAATT
Organism: Homo sapiens; assembly: GCF_000001405.40. Lineage (NCBI taxonomy): Eukaryota > Metazoa > Chordata > Mammalia > Primates > Hominidae > Homo > Homo sapiens. The sequence continues at coordinate 156,007,472 of NC_000005.10, forward strand.
TCCTTCCAGAAACTGTCACAGAGCCTTGTTATTTGTTTTCCACTGAAAAGTGTTGCATTTTACTAAGCCTCCAGTCTGGCTGAGTAGTGGAATAGAATTCTTAAACATCTATCCATATTAAAAGGGGAGGAGCTCAATCATTATCAGAACTGGGACCAGAGTAGGGCTCTGGGGGTAGTAGACAGAATGATAAACTTTATCTGCAAACACTAAGCCAGTAGGTGGGGGATGGCAGAGCTAGCATGCTAGTAAACCCAAAGTCTAAGTGGGGCAGACATGTAAGCGACTTGTTATAAAACAAAAACAAACAAACAAACAAAAAGCTATCCAGATGTTGGGAATAAGGCAAACGGGCTGGAAGAGGGAGAGAATACATTCTTTTAATGTCACATTGAAACATTATTTAAAGGCCAGGCTTTGGGAAGTTGCATGTTAATTTGCAGACATTTGTCCAGGAGAAATAGTTTCTCTCCCACGATGTAATGATTTTACTGCCCTATAGGACGTAAGTCAGGTTTTTATCTCCAACGATGTTATTCCAAGATTCTTTTTTTTCTCCATAGTGATGATAAATATTCACGTTCTCAGATGTTCTTTGAGTCAACTTTACCCGTTGTGCTAGTGTCCTATGGCTGCTATAAAAAAATGCCAAATTGAGTAGCTTAAAACAATGGAAATTTATTGTCTCATAGATCTGGAGTCCAAAATTACAATTCTCACAGTCCAAAATCAAGATGTTGGCAGGGTTATGCTGCTCCTGAAACATGTAGGGGAGCCCTTACTTTCCTCTTTCTAGCTTCTGGTGGCTTCCAGCAATCCTTGAAGTTCCTTGACTTACAGCTGATATGCTCCGATCTGCACACTCCCCATTCCCATTGTCTTCTTTCTTTCTTCCTCTTCTTTCCTTTCTTTTTATTTTTTTGAGACAGGTTCTGGCTCTGCTCTTCAGGCTGGAGTGCAGTAGCACGATCATGGCTCACTGCAGCCTCAAACTCCTGAGCCCAAGTGATCCTGCCTCCTTAGCCTATTGAGTTCCTAGGACTATAGGCATGGACCACCATGCCTGGCTAATTTTTTAATTCTTTGTAGAGATTAGGTCTTGCTGCGTTGCCCAGGCTGGTCTCAAATTCCTGGCCCCAAGCAGTTCTCCGGCCTCAGCCTCTCAAAGCATTAGGTTTACAGGCATGAACCATGGTGCCCAGCCTACATTGTCTTCTTATAAGGACACCAGTTGTATTGGATTAAGGGCCCATCCTACTCCAATATGACTTTATTGTAATTAATTACATCTACAGAAACCCTATATCCAAGTAAGTTCACATTCTGAGGTACTGGAAATTAGGACCTCAATGTATCTTTTGCAGGAGGCACAATTCAACTCATAGCAACCATCTTATTTGCTTTCTCATTAATGAATTAAATAAAATCTTCAGCACATGTTCAGTCTATATTTATACAAGAGTCATATTTTAATGCTTTGGAAATCATACCTTGACTATGTTTGGAGGTATCTGAAGTTAATAAGAAAGTTGGAATGGGGGCAGGTGTGAGACCAGCCTGAAATTCTCATGGTTATTTGATCTTTGGCCAGAGTGACTGGAGCGAAGGAGGGGGTGTCTCCAGTCCCACTGCCAGGTTACTTCAGCAGGTGGTGACAGCTATGTCCTTTGGTACTTTCCTCTCTGTAAAACATTTATTGACACAGTGATGTCCCTTAACAACATCACTTTAGATTTTTACATAAGATTTATGATGGGATATGTTTATGGATTTTTTCTCAGGTAAAATGACCCTTTGGGTTCCAAAGAACCAGGTTTACAAATTGTACTTACTTGCCCGTGTCCCCGCCCCTTAATTCTCCAATCCCCACAGTTGGAGGTGCCAATTTCTATTGGCCTCTACCATATACATACCTACACCTGGTCAAGATCTTGGCCAAGTGGCTCAGTGGGTTTTCTTACTACTGGTTGGTACTTCTCATGACTGTGAGTTTAGTTTTTAGCCTGCTATTTCAGATTGTTGGGGACATTAATCTTCGTTCTTTGGATCATGCTCCCAAGGCTCGGTCCACATATTCCCTGCTGCCAGATGTCCTGGATTTTGATTGCTAATACAACGTTCAGCACACATTTGATACATAAAACATATTTGAATAAAGAAACAATCAGGTTATGGCTGGCCCAGGGACCGCCAACAATTCACTTGCTTCTGTGGACTCTTAGCTTTTACATAGATTTTAAAGAATTGCCAGCTTCTCCTTGGCAGGCTTTTATTACTCACTTGAATTAGTCTAATCTGTCCTCTGAGTTATGGCTCACTCTGACGCCACTGAACTTCTGAATTGCTGTCTAGTCATAGGCTAACAACTGTCTATATTGATAATCCACTACCTTTGAAATGCGCATCCTCAGGCTTCTCTAAATAGACATTTTTAAAAAATAAAAAGCTAAGCATCAACATGGACCAAAAGGCCAGTTTTCTTTGTAGACTCAAACACGTTTTGGCAAATTTTTCTCTTTAATGATCTTGCTTTGCTCAAGTTCAAATATTTTACTCTTTGGTCTGCTTACAAGCTTGATGAGTTACTTAATTAGACCCACATATATTATTATAGACTCTAAGAGATTTAATTAAAATGTGTTAATTTGTGAAATCAAATGTGTGTCATTGGTTTCTTAATTTTTCCCAAGTTTAGATGGAGTGAAAAAGTGGTACTTATCATAACTTTCGGCCTATTATAGAGATTCTATACATAATAGCAATTAAAATCTCTGTTGATTAAATAACATCTTAATCTTTGGGTTAGGATATTACTGTTGGGAATGTAATACAGTAATTATTTTGTGGGTTTTGACAGATTAAATATTTACAAAATTATAATTTAGTGTGGGAATATGTCCGATAGTTGTTAACATGTCAAAACATGTTGAGCAGATCTTACAACCTGTTTGTTAGTGTTAAAATCCAATTAATACATACATTAACTTTATAAATACATTGTTACTCAATGCACAATCAAATGCAGGACTGCAATAGTTTTTCAGATAGTTGACATCTAATGAATTATGGTTTCTAGGTAATTACAGTATCTAGTCGACTGTAACTTTAATCTGTAATAACAACAGCTTCTGTTATTCAATTATTACTATTACCACATAGTAATTCGACAAACATCATGCTAAGTGCTCTACATATATTATCTCATTTAATCTTTGGCACAAACTTGGAATGGAGGTGCACTTCTAATATCTGTTTTATAGTTTAGAAAACTGAAGTTTGGTGAAATTAACTTACTTATCCAAGCAACTTACTAGCTGCCATGTAGAAGGTTAGAAGCAGAGCCAGGACTTGAATCCAGATCTATCTGATACCAAAGCTCACACTTTTACCTACTACTCATTACTGCCTTTTCCAGAAAATAATTACTGATATATATTGTTATGGCTTGTTTCATGTTTATAGCTCATTCACATAACTTCATTATGCTCTGTTTTGTTTCTTTGCCAAACTGAGTCATGATTACTTTGAATATCTTAGTGAAAGACATTAAAAGTTTTGATAATTAAAAACATGCATTTTTATGCATGTTTACCATTGTGGCTTTTAAAAAGACACATACGGAAATATAGGGATAAGAGGTAGAGACAAGGAAATGAGTATATTTTGGACATCTACTCTATTCTAGATACTGAACTAGATACTTTACATATTAAATCCTTATAATGGCTCTGTGTTATTAAATAGTACAGGTTTGCAATCTTCAATATCTTTTTCAAAATCCTTCAAGCCAGGTGTCTTTCAGAACTTAGAATTTTTTTAATTATAGGAAGGTACTACAGTATGCATATAGTGGGATCTTACTATATGGAACTTAAGTTTACTGAACTCTGGTTATAACATGAGAGATATATACAGGTTGGGTTTTCTAGACTTGGTATTTGATATACTACATGAGAAATAATCTGCAGAATTCTATTGTTTTTTTTTTTAGATGAGTCTCGGTCTGTTGCCCAGGCTGGAGGGCAGTGTCGTGATCTTGGCTCACTGCAACTCCTGCCCCGCGGGTTCAAGAAGTCCTCTGCCTTAGCCTCCCGAGTATCTGGGACTACAGGTGCCCACCACTGTGCCGGCCAATTTTTTGTATTTTTAGTAAAGACAGGGTTTCACCATCTTGGCCAGGGTGGTCTGGAACTCCTGACCTCGTGATCCACCTACCTCGGCCTCTGAATGTGCTGGGATTACAGGCGTGCGCCTCGGTGCCTGGCCCAGAATTCTATTTTTAAACATAAAACTTTGAATAATACCTGGATTCTTCTCTGCACTTTTTCTGTAAATCCAGATCTCTCACCAGGCAGATGGATGCTTTGGGCAGACTAGGATAAAAGTCAAGCACACAGAAAGGCACAAGACAAAAGCACATTCATAACTTTGAAAATACTACCCTCATTTGTAATAGACTAGATCTACCCCCAAGCAAGTTCCATTCTGTTTGTGGATATGAAAACATAAACCCTCTAAAATATATCTAAAACCTTACTAGAGGTTAAGTACTACATTAGGAATTTAAGGGAGGAGAGATATGTCACTATTGCCTGTATATGTTATAAAAACGGTGTATCTTCAATGCATATGCTTATATATTCATTTCTAATTTTTATTTGCACCTATGACAATGGATCTCTAAATGTCATATATACTTTAGCAGATAATCATTATTTTTTAAATCAGACAGCATAGCAGCAAAATTGCAGATAATTACGAAAGAAATTCTCACCACGCTATCAAAAATGCCACTTAAATGTTTTCATATTTGACTCCATATCCTATCTTACATGCTTACGTATTATTACAGAGTAGCAATCAATACCACACATGTCATTTTAAAGGCTATGTTTGAAAATTTATCTTAGAATTTTTTCATATGTTATGATAATTGTCATTTTAGAATAATTTGAAAGATTCAAAATTGTATAGAGGTGGAAATGTAAATGATTCAAATCCCACCATTCAGTGAAGTCAGTGATGACATTTTAGTGATTATCCTTATATATCCTTCAGGATATAAATGTATTCAGACATATCTATGTCTTTATCTCTAGAGTTATCTCTTTACTAAGATTGTTTAATATATGCACAGAGATAATTTTTTTTTTTTTTTTGAGAGGGAGTCTCGCTCTGTGGCCCAAGCTGGAGTGCAGTGGTGGGATCTTGGCTCACTGCAAGCTCCGCCTCCTGGGTTCACGCCATTCTCCCACCTCAGCCTCCCAAGTAAATGGGACTACAGGTACCTGCCACCATGCCTGGCTAATATTTTGTACTTTTAGTAGAAACGGGGTTTCACCATGTTAGCCAGGATGGTCTCGATTTCCTGACCTCGTGATCTGCCTGCCTCGAAAAGTGCTGGGATTACAGGCGTGAGCCACCGCGCCCAGCCCACGAAAGCTTCTTTTTAATGATTTATAGCATTCCATTTATATATATATTTATTATTTATATATATAATATGTATACAAGTAGTGTCTTTTCATTTCCATATAGCTGGACATTTAGGTGTTTTTTTTTTTTTTCTTTTGTGATGGAGTCTCGCTCTGTCGCCAAGGCTGGAGTGCAGTGGCACCATCTCGGCTCACTGCAACCTCTGTCTCCCGAGTTCAGGCGATTCTCCTGCCTCAGCCTCCTAGTGGCTGGGACTATGGGCACACGCCACCACACCCGGCTAATTTTTGTATTTTTAGTAGAGATGGAGTTTCACCATGTTGGCCAGGCTGGTCTCGAACTCCTGACCTCAAGTGATCTGCCGACCTCAGCCTCCCAAAGTGCTGGGATTACAGGCATGAGCTACTGCTCCTGGCCTAGGTGTTTTTGAAGTGTTGCTTTCTTCCTTCAGGTTTGATGAAAGTAGAACTTAAAATTAAAGTGAGTAGAAAATTTTGAAGCTCTTAATACATCTTGTTAAATTTTACACAAGAGCGTTTGTGCTGGCTTATCCTTGCCTTGGTGTTTTTAGAATGCATATTTCCCTGTGCCCTTCTGAACAGGGACACTATCAGTTTTTATTTTAAAATATTGTCAGTTTAATAATGGAAAATTATATTGTATTTAAGCTTTTTTCTTTGATTACTGTAGTGTTTGAACATGTCTTCAGGAATTCGTAGACCATTATTATTTCTTCTTTATAAATTGATTCTTCATGTCTTTTGCCTATTTTTATATTGAGAGTGTTTGCTCTTTTAAATGTTAAGGTTAACGTTTTATCTTCCATAACTGATATGAATATTTTTTCTAATGTGTCCTTAATTTTATTTATGGTATTTTTTACATATAGCCATTTTTAATGTCTATGTCAGAATAATAGTTTTATCATTTGTTTTTATTTTTTAAGAGACACTCCTAATTCTTAATTTAGGTATTTATTCTTTTGTATTTTCCTTCCACTTTGTGTCTTTGTGTGTACGTGTGTTTATTTGTTCATGCTTTTTGTCTCCGAGATATGTTTTGGTTATTTACGAGATAGGGATGCAGCTTACTTTTTTTTTTCTCAAAAAGTTAGAAAATCCTTCTAGCATTTTGCTGGATCAATCTTTTGCTAAGGGATGAAAATTCTAGCTTTAACATACATAATTATAGAATCTCTTTTTGGGCTTTTAGTTGTCTTTCTTTGGTCTGTTCATCAATCCTTGGAGTAGTACAACATTCTAATATTTTAAATCTTTATAATGAGATTCAATATCTGGTAGAGCATGACTTTCCTTGGTACTTTGCTCATTCAGTTTCCTTGGCAATCACTTACTGTTTATTTCTTCCAATTAAATGTAGACCCCTCTCCTTTTTAAACTTTTATTTTGAAATAATTTTAAACCTGCAGAAAATTTACCAGAATAGCACAAACAACTCCTGCATACCCTTTACCCAGATTAACCTTATTAAACATTTGCCATATTTGCTTTATCATCCATGTGTATATATTATTATTTATTTTTTATGGGAGAAAATTACCAGATTAATTTTTAATATTTTTTCATTTGTAAGTAGTTTGTATATACCACTTCCCTTAATGTTTCAATGTTTACATGCTAAGAATAAAGCTATTCTCTTATACAATCTTAGTAAATTTATCAACCTCAGGAAACGTCGTAGTGGATTTTCATGTATTTTTATGTAATCTACAGTCCATATTCTACTTTTCTTCCAGTTTGCTCAATATTGTCCCAGTAATGTTCTTTGTCACATTTTTTCCTTGTGTACAGGATCTTGTCCAAGAGCAGTTTATTTTTCCTGTTTTTTATTTTAGTGTCTTAGTTTAGAACAGCCCTCAACCTTTCTTTATCTTTCATGCTATGACGTTTTTGACTAATACAGGGTGGTTACTTTCTATAGCGTTTTGCACTTTGGGTTTGAAAATGCTTCCTCGTAGGGAAGTTCAGGTTATGCATTTCCAGTCAGAATACCATGTAAGCGATGCTATGTTCTTTCCTGGCATCACATCTGAAGGCATGTCGTGACCATCTCCCCTTCGTAGATATTGCTAATTGTGACACTAGTCAGGGGCTTGGCCATTTTTCTCCAGTGAATGTTTAGTACTTTCCACCCTGCAGCTAAGAAGCAGTGTGTGAGGAGATACTTCGAGAACATTATCTAGCCTGAATCTACCTTCACTTGGTTGCAAAATGGTGTTTTTCTAACTCCTCTGTACCTTCCACATTCATTAGGTTCTCTAAAGTAAGGAAAAGGCCTCCCTTTCTTCTTTCTTATTAATATATCCATTTATATTCAGTATGGATCCATGGATTCTTTTTTATTCAATAGGTTAAAATACCTTAGTGATCTGAATTATTTTGCTGCTAAATTTATTCCACACTTGGCCAGTAGGAGCCCCTTGAAGGTGATTCTTCTGTCCTTTTTATACATCTTCATTATCTTTTGAGCATTTATTCCCTTGCTTTCTGGCACGAGATGTTCCAGCTCCAGAAGCATATATATGTATATATTTATACTTCAAGAAGCCCTGGTTCTATTTACTGGGGAATAGTATTTACTAGCTAAGTATTAGGTGGCTCATTATTACTGGGGTGTTTTTTCTTGTAAGCCTGTTTACCAGACAGAAAAAGGGTGCATATATACATATATATGTATGCATGTGTGTGTGTGTATATATATGTATATGTATATGTATACCCTTTTATTTATATGCTTTTATATATATCCTTACCACTTTTGTAACGAATGAATGATATATGAATGACGTGTATAATATGTATATATGATGTATGATATTCATATATCATTCATTCTTTCCAAAACCAATGCAGTCCCAATGAACACACAAACACACACACACACACACACAGTGCACTGCATTGGTTTTGGAATGAATGAATGAAATTATATATATAATATATGTAATTATATGTCTATCATCCACATATATTTTATATATATATATATATCATCCATATATCATTCATTCATTTCAAAACTGATGCAGTTCCAATGATTTCTTACTTACCTCATAAATCACTGATGTCTTAAAATACAATAACCTGACCTTTAAAACAAAACAGAAAACTTATGATTCTTTCAAATTTCACAATTTCAATCTCCCTTCTTTCACAGTGAGAACCCTGATCCCAACATCAGCACATTTACTCATTTGCTCAATTCTGCAATACACATGTAATAGGCTCAGAACAATACCTCGGTAAAAACAAAACAAAGCAAGAAAACAAAAGCAAAACAAGCCTTCTTTTAAAAAGTTCAAGATTTCATTTCAATTTTTTTTCCACTAGACTGAAGATATTCAAAGTATTGTGTTTAAAAGTGGGTTTGTTTCGCTCCCTTCAGTGTTGTTAGTCATTTTAAATGCAGTTAGGTTTGTTTCTGTTTGCATTTAGTTTTACATTTTGTTCCCATTCTTGCTGATTTAATTTAAATAATTTAATTGTTTTGGCATACATAGAATATTAACAAGATTCCAAAAGTCAAAATTATACCAAAAAAGTATTGAAAGGTTGTCCCATCCCTTATCTTTTCCAACCTGTAGCCCTGCTCCACCCCTTTATAGATAACAAATTTTGTTGGTTTCTGATTTACTCTTTCTGTATTTCTTTTTTTACAAAAACTAGCAGATACACATATGTTTTCTTACTTTCTCTTGTTTCTTACACAAAGATAGCATGTTGTATGTACTGTCTTGTAATTTGCCGTGTTTACTTAAATGTAACTTGGAACTCACTCTCCATGCACTTCATGGAGATCTTCCTTATTCTTCTTTGTAGTTGCTGGGTTCCTCATTTGTGTATGTACCATAGCTTGTTCAACTAATCACCTCTGTTTGGGCATTTAAGAGAATTGTCAATACTTTGCAATTGTCTATGATGTTGCAATAAATGACCTTGTGCATATACATTTTTGTATGTTTGTGTTGGAGGTATACATTTGTGTATATTCCTTGATATGTGATTGCTGGATCAAACAAGGAAGCATACGGAGTTTGTTACTCATGTGCATATTCTCTTCTGTTGGGGTTTTACCTTTGAGTTCCCACCAGCAACATACGAGGGTGCCTATTTTTCAATAGCCTCACCAATAAAGTAAATCATTATGCTTTTGAATGTGGCCAACTAATGGTTGGGAAATTTGCATTTCTCTTAATGTAAGTGAAATTGAACATCTTTTTATATGTTTAAAAACCATCTAAAAATATCTTTGTAAAGTGTCTTGCCTGCTTTTCTGTATTGTTTCCCTCAATACAAAAATGTTGCTTATATATTTGAGATGACGCTGCAAATATCTTCTTCTTATTTTTCATTTGTGTTCCAGCTTTGTTTATATAGTGTTTTCCCCATGCAAAAGTTTTTTTTATTTATTATTTTTATGTAGGCAAATGCATCAATTTTTTAAAATTGCAACTGAATTGTAAATCATAGATAAAAACTTTTATGTTTACCTAGGTTATAGAGGAATTCATTCATGTTTTCCTCTAGCTTGTATAGTTTCATTTTTTTTACATTTATTCAAGTTTTCTAATTTTTCCTACAATATTTCTATGTATTTCTTTTAAGGAGATTGCTAAACATTTTATCATTTTAATTATTATAGTTAGAAGACTTTATCCATTAACTTTTCTTATTAGTTATTTCTGATATGTAAGAAATTCAATGATTTTATGTAATTATTGAGAAACATTTACTATATTACTCTGAAATAGTCTCTAGTTCAGTAACATTTCAAAAATGGAAATGTTTTTCTAAGAATGAATCATATTGTCTTATTTTATAGTTTTTATATATTTTCTTCACTTATTGCATTAGCAATTATATAATTATATGGCTTTTATTGTATTACATTTAAAAAAGAACCATCATCTCCTCTTTTGACATTCATATTGACATTTAAATTAATGTTAAAGTCAGATGCAGTGGCTCACTCCTGTAATCCCAGCACTTTGGGAGGCCGAGACTGGAGGATTGCTTGAGCCCAGGAGTTGAAGACCAGCCTGGGCACCGTAGGGAGACTCCATCTCTACAAAAAATAAAATAATTATCTGGGCATGGTGGTGAGCACCTGTGGTTCTAGCTACTCAGGAGGCTGAGGTGGGAGGATTGCTTGAGCCTAGGAGGTCAAGGCTGCAGTGAACCATAATTGCACCACTGCAATCCTGAGCAACACGGTGAGACCCTGTCTTAGTAAATGAATGAATCAATGAATGACTAGATAAATAGATAAATAAATTAATAAATAAATGTTAAGATCCTATTTGTGATAGTGGAAAATTCTCATTTTTTTTCTAACTTTAATGGGAGTGTCTTTAGTACTCCATCATTAAGGATACAAATATCCGCTAGTGTCTGTTAAAATTAAGTTTTATAACTACACTATCCCATATTATGTCCCACTATGAACATGTATATATTTTAAAAAGTACAGCATGTGTTTAGAAACAGAGATAGATATGATTAACAAACATACACAAATATATGGGGTTAACAGAGATATTGGATATTTATTTTTATGAAGATACATGCCACACTTTTATATTGCAGACTTATGTACACGTGTATTGGTAAATTGTTTTTAATAGGGGATTAAGACCATAGAATAAAATGGTACTCCTTCATCCAGCCATCATTTATCCATCTCTGCATCATCCCTCTATCTATCCAGTTGATAAATATCTCCCATTTACCTAATAAGTGTTGAGCACTGAGCTAGGTTATCAGAAACAAACACCTCCTAAAACTTTTTAACTTCTGGAAGGCTAAAATGTGCGTAATTTTGTCTTTCATAGCAAATTTCCTTTTTTATGGACCTACTTCAGCATTCATACACAGGCACTTTTTTTCTTCACCAAAGCATTGAGGGCAATTTCTCAAATAGTAACAAATAAATAGGAAACTTAAATCTTAGCAGTTGACACTGCATAATTTTTCCCGGATTTTCATCAAATTTTAACCATGTAATTTTATTTACCTATAATTCAAGAGATTCATTGTCTTTTTAATAGGAAAAAATCTGTCAGTCAGGGAAATTCATAATGTCCATAGAGAGACGTTAAATTTGTCATTGTAAAGACAAAATTAACTATATATTAATCTATCATCTGTTTCCCTAGCTCAATCTAATTTGACATATTTAATGAAAATCACTGATGGCTTCTAGTATAATAAACTGATCTTTAAAACAAAACATAGAAATTCTAATACTCACATATTTCACATTGAAAGAGTGATGAAAACTTCACTTGAAACATTTATTTTGTGATTTCAAAAACTGTAGTTAAAATGATAGCTAGGGAGCAGTAAATCACCATATGCTACGCTACTTCTAGGCTTGGACTCAGAACCTTGAACGTTGACAGAATTAACATATTAATTTGAGTTTTCCCTGGATGTTTCAGTTTAACTTTTGATATTCTTCTTTCCAAAGGCTGAAAAAAAAAGCCTTTCATTTAAAATGCATTTCTTAGAGAACTGTTAATGATCTCCCTTCCTTTCATTTAGCAGGCAAAATAACATTTCTTTGAAAAATGGTTATCTGCTGAGAATTTGATTATTGAATAAAGATCAGTAATTTTGGGGTGTGTGGAACATCTGTCAGGAATTTTGGAAAGGAATCACTGACTCCATTCATGTGACTTATTTCATATGAAAGCAGCATACACATTATATCAGAGAGGACAGCTAAAGCTATATCAACACAGTGCCGTAAATTCAGAGGGAAGAACTGGAGAACTTGTGGTAGCATCCATCCAGCATGACATCATTCTTTGCTCCCTCCACTCTTTGCAAGAAGCCCTTTCTCATGACCATCCATAATGTGCGGTAGTGATCGTATTATTTCTTTCTTCACTAATCTTCGGCAACTTTTCAAGGCCTATGAGATAAAATCCAGATGCCTAGAGTTAGCATTTAAAGCCCTGTGCTGTGGCCTAACTCATGTCTCCAATCTCAGCTCCTGCTACTTATGCACCTTCTCTAAACTTTCTTCTGGCAGCTGCAAACTCTTACCTCACCCTGGGCATGTCCACACGTTATTCTGCCTCCAAGCCCTTGCTTCCTCTGCCTCGAATTCCCTTCTCAGATTTTCCATGTCACTTGCCCAGATCGACTGTAAAACATTTCCTGATCCTTCCACCTAGATGTGATCAACTACATGTACTTACTTTTATATATTTTCATATACACAACAGAGCTTATGTTGCACATGTTATTTTATTCTTCACTCTTTCCACTTAATGATATGTCTGAAAGATCTTGAGATATCAACTGAGAACATATATCTCCTCTTCATTTTTGTATTTAAATGTTTTTATTGAATAATTTAGAAGAGTAAACAAAGAATGTCCTTCCTTCTTTCTCTGTAATTCAAGATAAAGCCAAAAACCTTAGAGAAAATTTGAAGGGGCTGAGAATAGGGCTATACTGTCACTTGGTTTTTGAATAGCCTGCTTCATATTTTTAACAGCCACATTTTATCACATCATATGGGCGCACACTATAATTTAATTCATCAACTAAATATTTTAGTTGTCCCTAGTTTTTTTTTAATCTGTTAAAACAATGCTGTTTGTAATAGAAAACACTCTTACACATTTATATTGGAGAACTTTGGCAAGGGTTATCAGTAGGATTAATTACTAGCAATGAGGATATTTTCAATCTTGAATTATAGGTATTTATAATGGTGTCTTTACACCACCACCCTCTGCTCCAAAGACCTGTGAGCTTCTTGAAGGTAGAACGAATTATTATTACCATCATCATCGCTAGTGTGTATTGGTCAGGCTCTATGCTAACTGTCTTACAAGTGTTTCTCATTTAGTTCTCATAACAACCCCTTGGACTTTGGATTATTTTCATTTCACAGTTGATGTGCAGTTTATGAGGCTGCATTTGAACTTCCTCCTAACTGCTGTGACCTCTTGCACTCGGCTGGCCTTCTGGAGATATTTATTGAGTGATTATGTCTGGAACAGAACAAAACTTGCACAGAAAACAAAACAATCATTGTTCATATTTTTAAAAAGGCTTTTCTTTCTTCATCCACAAATTGTCTTTGCAATTCTGTTGGTTATTTTGCTTGAGGACATTTATCTTCTGGAAGAAATCACTGGGGAAAAAATCAGTTTTATGTTTAATACCAATGGTTCCACTAATATGCCCCTGAATTAACAGTTATGTGCAAGTTTTTAATACATTCTCACCATATTTCTTTGATAGAGAAAAAAACAGGGAGAAAAGGAGTTGTGTAGGGGCTTTTCATAATTTTTTAAAAAAGTTTAAATAAATCATTTATTTTTCAAATATGTATTGAGCATGTATTGTATGACAGGTGCTGTGCTTCCAGCTGGAGGAACAAGATAAGAGTAGAAACACCTTAATTAGCCAAGCATGGTGACTATTAGCCAAGCATGGTGGTGTGAACCTGTAGTCTCATCTACTTGGGAAGTTAAGGTGGGAGGATCGCTTGAGCCCAAGAGGTTGAGGCTGCAGTGAGCTGTGATCACAGCACTGCAGTTCTGCCTGAGCAACAGAGTTAGAGCCTGTCTCATAAAATAAAATAATAAAGGCCTAAATAAACATGCAGGTGTATAGGGTGATTGTGAGTACTCTGCAAGGATGATACTGGAGAGTCAGGAAAGTCACATGAAAGCTGCAATGTGATGTTCAAGAAGAGCAGAAGTTAACTTGGGCCTCGGCAACCTGTGGTGGGTTGGAGGTAGCGGAAACGGTGGGAGGGTGTACAGTGGGAAGAGCAGAGGTCTGGTGTGAGCCGGAGCCTGGCATATCTCAGGAGCCAGAGGAAGGAGCATGAGGGTGAGAAGCAGAAAGCATGAGAAGAGTGATTCGAGGAGCAGCTGCTATTTGGCCCTGGTGGTAAATGATCTTTTTAACATAATATCTTTATTCAGATGTAATTCACATGCTATACAGTTCATCCATTTAAAGTGTATAATTCATCGGTTTTTAGTATATTCAGAGTTGTACAACCATCATCTTTATCAATTACAATATTTTCATCACCCCCAAAAGAAACCCAGTATCTGTCACTTTCATTTTCCCCTACTCATGCCCCCATCTTCTCAAAACCACAAATCTACTTTCTGTCTCTACAGATTTGCCTATTTTGAACATTTCATATAAATAGTATCATACAATACATGACTTTTGTGTCTGGCTTATTTCTCTTAGCATAATGTTTCCAAGGTCCTCCATCTATCAAATCTTCACTCCTTTTTATTGCTGAATACTTACTGAATTTTATTGCCAAATACATTTTGGTAATATTTTATGTTTGTTGTTATATTGTGATTTCATAAGCTTCTAAAAATACCTCACAGACTTTAAGTACTGAAACGAGCTCACCTTTAAAACAGTAGAAATGTGAAATTAAGTCCTGATTATTAATTGTTATTCTTAAAACATTTAAATATCATGCTATGGAATTATTATAAATGTTCAAATGTGACTTCTAAAATAGAATAACATGTAGTTTCTTTTTTGAAGAAATTATTTCAGCATTTTGCAATGCTTAATTTTTGCAACATTATCAGAGCATGAAAACATAACACATTTTATAACTTCAATTATAGAAGAAACGAGTTGACATAGATTTGTTCTACTTTCCCAATAATGGATATAAATTGGTTTTAGTGATGGTATGTAGGGAATATTTTTGTGGCAAATATTTGTACCTGTTTTTATAGAAAGGAATATGTGAGGCAAGTTACTTTCTATTAAATATTTTTAATTGTTTTAAATACAATATTCATTGTCATTTTGCCTTTTCTTTTTTCTTTTCTCCTTTTCCTTTTTCTTATGCCACAATAAAAAGATAGGAGTAGAACCTGATAATAATACTTTTCTTTCATTGTTATATGAGAAACTCACCCTGGAAAATAATCTTCTGCTGTCAGATTACTATGAATCGCACAGAGTGAAAATACGGTACAAGGTGCTTTTCCACCCAGCTGTCACTTCTTTGTTTCCCAGCTAAAAAGCTCATCATTTTTCTCTTAAGTGTAGCACAGTGGGGAGAGCACAAACTTAGAATTAGAAAGAGCTAGCAAAAACAGAATTTGCATTATAACTCCATGACCCACACAGTGATTCTTTGGTCAATCATTGAAACTCTCTGAACTTCCTTTTCTTCACCTTTGAAATATGAATGATGACATCCCTGTCTTGGGACTCTTAGGAGGATTAAATTAGGGCACATGTGTAGGCACCCAACAGGGTGCCTGGCACATAGTAGGAGCTTGATAAATGGTGGTTATTAAAGAAGGAAAATTTTGAATCCAGGTGGTACAAATGATTCTTTGGGGGCTTTATACCTTGTCTTCCACATGAAAATTGTTCCCCCATGTTGCCATGAACTGTGCTTAATATTCTCCTCAACCAACCAGTCAAGTATTGGAGTGAGAATTAGAATTAGAGTATGGGCTCTGAGAGTTCAGGAACTTTTCTGTCTCATTAAATGCTGCCTGCACCTGAGATTGAGTAGGTATGTCAGTAAACATTACTGGCACTAATTACTTGTGCATCTACTATTGTGCAAGCCTTTATGATTTAGCACTATGGGTGGCTTAATAAAATGATTAGCACTAGTCACTTCTCTCAAGTAACTTAGAATGTGAGTTTGATGAGTAATGGCTGAGCTCCTTCAGGTGCCAAAGTGTTGAGATGGGCTCAGGTTACCTAAGAGGAAGTGTGAGAACGTTCAGAGAATTATCTCAGTAATGCTAGCAAGGAGCTATGGGTACCTGGAGCATTGTTCAAGATGCACAGTAGCTTTATTGGCTCAATACATCTTCGGCTGTCTAACAAGCTAGAGTTTTCACGAAGCTCTGCCATACTTAATGCCTCTTATTTGGTCTCAACTTCTACTCTGCAATTGCTTCTTCCCTTGCTATCACTTGTCTGGCTTTCTGACTTTGACGCTTCTCAAGAGAGGTTTAGTTGGATTTCTGATTGGAATCCAGTGTCGAGCATCCCTGTCAGAAAGGCTCTTAGGACAGGTCACCAGATGGCTGCAGTTCTCCTGTGGTTTGCTGTTGCTACCTTTAATTTCCACAGTGATCATGATTTAGTCAGCTCTGGCCAAGGCTGCAGATTCTGGAGTTCCAAGGATGGCAGCGTAAGTATCGGAAGGTATAGGAAGCTGAGTCATTTCAGACCTTTCTTCTACAAAAGTGAATGGATATCTATCGACACAGGGAAGCTTGAGGTAAATGCCAAGAGACTGAGACAGGCAATGTGTGCTTTGATGGAGAAGATACCCCAATGGGATGGTGATCAGGGAGGAAGAAAATAGAGTGTAAATTGAAAATGTGGCTTATCTTGTATGACGTCCTCAAGATGCACTCAATAAATGCTTGCCCTATGAAATGTTGAAGGAAGAGACAACATTTGGCCTACAAGATTGTGAAAGTTAGTGGGGAAAGCAGACACAGATAAAATTCAGTTTTTTGCATTTCCAACCTAGTTGTCTGGCCTCTAGTACCTCTCTTGACCTTTTGAGTAAGCTTTCTGGATTCTTCCTCTACCTTTTTTGTAGGCTGGACTATATTAGCTTGTTTAATGAATCACTGTGGCCGAGAATTCAAAATGCTCCAGTTATGGTTCCTGGAAAAACTCTATTTTAGATAGTATATTGATTCCTGCAGTGTTTCCCTGTAATAATTTTTCTGTGATATTTATTTTTTATAAGGATAAAGAGGCTGGACACAGTGGCTCATGCCTGTAATCCCAGCTGAGATGGGCAGATTGCCTGAGTTTAGGAGTTCGCAACCAGCCTGGGCAACATGGTGAAACCCCGTTTCTACTAAAATACAAAAAATTAGCCGGGCATGGTGGCGTGTGCCTGTAGTCTCAGCTACTCGGGAGGCTGAGGCAGGAGAATTGCTTGAACCCTGGAGGCAGAGGTTGCAGTGAGCCGAGATCGTGCCACTGCACTCCAGCCTGGGCAACAGTGCGAGACTCCATCTCAAAAAAAAAAAAAAAGAAATGGCTAAAGAAAGCTGTGGCCAATAAGTTGAGGAAACATTGTATTGGGGTAGATTATACTGGAGTAACAAATTATTTTCCATATTTCAGTGGCTTAACTTGGAGAAAGTTTCTTTGTTGCTTATCCAAAGTCCAATGGTAGTGGGAGGACTTTCCAGAGCAACTGGTTTCCGTGTGGTGATTTAGTGATCCTCATCACTTCCATGATGTGGTTCTACCATTGTATCAGCATGGTGTTCATGATCTCCCCATAGGAAATGAGAGGGCTGGGAGGTCACACAGAAGCTTTCCTCTGCCTCAGCATGAAAGTGGCCCATGAGTCTCCCACTCATATCTCATTAGTTGGAGCAAGTCATAAGGTCCTGACTAATGACAAGGGCTGAGAATCTTCTATTTGCCCAGGAAAGGTATGAAAACTCAGATGTGAGTGAGCACTAAAAATCCTTACCACTCTCAGTCAAATTGTAGTATATTTTCATGTTTGCCAGACTTTGTTGGAGCTTTAGACCTGGTAACATACTTTGTCTGTCTTCAAGATGGGTCCATCCTTTGCAGTTTTACCCAGATTCATTTGCTCATAGCACTTTTTATTCATGGAGCATCTTAGAGCACTACTATTCTATGGGCCTATTTTGATAAATATGAGATTTTTCTCCATTTTCTTTCTCACTGCAGCTATAAGCATCATATTTCCTAATCCCCTTGGTGGTATTATGTTGTATTATTTTGTTAACCTTTATTATAATGGAAATTGCTGTAAGTGTGCTGTTTGCCACTCTGATTCTCAGACTAATCTCAATGTCGGGAAAGAGCACATTCAGAAAAGCAAAACACTGTTGGAATAGAGCAGAAGTGATTCCTGGGTGACAAGAAAGAATTGCCATCTGGTGGTAGTTTTGTTCATGCTGTTTAAACATTCCATTGGCCCTTTATTTTAAAAGTATAGGAGATGAAAGTATTATCACTTATGTGAAATAACAGCTGTCACCAAGTTTCTTTGAGCCACAAGGTGACATCATTATCTATAAAGTGAGTGCCAGAAATGGTGGCTCTAGTCAGCTATTGTTAGATCAAATTTAGTTAGACTTTCAATTTACCAAAGAACAGTCACTGAATTATTGATAAATGCAAGGCTCATTGCCAGGCTCTCAGGAAGATAGAAATATGCAACTTAGTACTGTGGGTGGTAGGCAGCAAAAAATACTTGTTGTTAGATTGACAACAAATATCAGGCAACATATTTATTGAGAATGTACTTTGTGCCCCAAATATAATGTTAGAGAGCAAGAAATGGACATTACAACAATTATCATCAATGTTACAGTGTATTGGAGACAATCAAATAATTACAGTTATTAGTATATGAAAACAACCTGAGATAAATGTTCTGAGGGAAGTGGATATATAAAATCCTATAACAAAGAGCCTGCTGGATATTAGGGTTATGAGACTTAGTCTGACCTCTCAGGAGGAGAAGGAACCCCAATCTTGGAACCAGTAGGGGACAAAGCCAGAATTTAAATTTATTTCTGTGTGACTTAATGTACTTTCAATTATACAAGTCCATCTTTTTATATGAAAGCATTGTTTGAGCCCAAACTATTCAAGAATTTTGTCCTTGGGAAGGCTTAAGTAAAATTTGTTAAGTTTAATCGTCAGCTTCCTGCTAGTATCAAGCCCAATTCACAATTGATACCAAGATTAATGTTACTTTGTCCTCCCTAGTGCCTGGGTTCTAGTCACGTTCCCCAGGTAATCCCTCAGATCAGGCGGTTGTAAGAGAGTCCATAGATCATGGAATATGGGTCTTTGGGAAAAATCTGACTGATGGCTTACACCAGGAGTTGGGAAACTTTTTATGAAGGGCCAAATAGTAAATATCTATTAGACATTGCCAGCTATGTCTCTGTCATGACTCAGCTCTGTCATTGTAGTACAAAAATGATGAAAAAAAATATGAATGAATTGGTGTTACTGTGTTTCAATAAAGCTTTACAAAATCAAGTGGCAGGCAGGACTTGGTCTATAGGTGATAGTTTGCAGACTGTTAGCTTAATCCACAATCCCTGAGTAACTTATTTTACTTGCTGTTAACCAGCAGTATTTTTTCTCAAATAAATAAAGGCATTTTGGTGACGTAACTTGGTATTTCAAACAGGGTTAGCAAATGCAAAACATCTTTAGGAATATCAGAAAATATTTTTGGCTTTTTCAATCACAAACAATCCTTATTCATTCCTAGTTGATATTCCAAACTCTTCTTCTGGTGTATTATCTATTTTAGGTGTTTAAATCCAAGTTGGGCACCAAGTTTCTAGAAAGGGAGATACGTTACGACATCCCAGATTCAACAACTTGGTATGAAGAAAGGGTTTAAAAGTGAATTTTGAATAATTGGAAGGGATTTCTGAGGACCTGCCTATGTGGGGACAAACAAAATGGAATAATGCCAATACAAATATGTCTCCTACTCTACAACTCTTATGGATCTGACACTGATTCCAATTTTATTAGAATATGATGACAATTGAATAGCAGATATCATGATGAATTTTATTCTAGTCTTTTTTCCTTAGATGACAGGGGAGGTGGGGTGGAAAATCATCTTTTAAAATGCTATACATTTCCCAGAAAACCTCACACATGGTAGGTACTCAATATGCTGACTATATATTAAAGAAAAAAAGAATGAATGATCTAATGAGGGCTAAGACAGATGTTACATTATTTTGTATAGTACATCAGTCTACATTCAACATTTCAGGTTAAAAGGAAATAATTCTACTGCTACTTAATATTAAAATATTTATTTGATAATAAATTTGGCTAATTGTCATTAATAGTATGTGATATAATGTTAAGATTAAGGCACTGGCAAGTTCAGTTTCTGGTGAGTGCCTGGTCTTTGCTTCCAAGATGCAAACACTGTATACTCATATGGCAGAAGTGCCTTAAACACTGTATACTCATATGGCAGAAGGTGGAAGGACAAAAAAGGGTGGACTCTGTGTGAAGCTTCTTTAATAAGATGTGAATCCCATTCCTAAAGGTCCCACCTTACTTCCTAAAGCTCCTGTCTTTTAAAACTATCACAATGGCAATTAAGTTTCAACAGAGGGATTTTGGAACACTTCAGCTAATAGCACTCTCTCTAAAGAAGGCAATGGAGTTTTACTTCAACATCTTCTGAATCTTGTGCTGTTTCTGGGTTCAGTGACTATCATTGTTAGTCATAATGGCAGTATCGAAGACAGGGTAGAATGTGCGTTCAGCCCAGAAATAGCCCTTGAACATGACTCTATGATTCTTTTTCTAAAATCATCTGGTTTTCTTATGGTTTACCTTTTTTCAGTTCAAAAATAAATAGAGAATAATTTAGTAAAGAGCATACACTTTCTAGAGTCAGACAGAACTGAATTAAAATCAGACACCTTGAATTAGTCACTTTGTGAACTTGGGCCAGTTATTTACCCTCTAATATCTCAGTTTCTTCCTATGTAAAATGATAGCAATAATTTTTAGCTCAGTGTTGTGATGATGATGAAATTAGCTATCTTAATGCTCTGCCTTAATGAATACTGAAAACTCTGCATGGTATATAGGAATTGGTCAATAATTGCTTGCTATGATGATAAGGATAGTGAGTTCTATCAGTCAGAATATTATTTTTGATTTTCCTATGCTTCTGTATATAATGAAGGCAGTGATCCTAGATGAGCCATTAAAATATTTGTACCACACATCATGAGAAAGTCATGGAGAAAATTTTTTCTTTGAAAGAGATTTAATATTTTCTCTGAATCACAAGATAACAATTTAATAATCGTCTTTCACAAGGAAGAGAATACAGCATGATGTCGTCTGAACCTACTGTTGCTTGTCAAAGAAAGATTTTTAATGTTAATATTACTAATTAAAAGACATACCACTCAGCACGAAATCACAAACTGTATCTGCTGCTTGTTTAATACACTTTAAGTGTGTGTACGCAGGAGGAAATTTGGGGAAAATTATGAACAAAATCAAACATTTTTCATCTAGCTTTTAGGCTTTTATGTTTTTTTTTAGAGTGCAATTAGAGAATTAATTAATTAAGGTCACCATTCTCAACCTCATCATCTGCTTTGAATTTGAATACAAACCGGTTCTGCATGAGTAGTGTCTGATATAATGTTAATCAAGAAAATGCTGTGTTTAACTGAATATGAAACAGATATAAGCACAGGTTCTGTCTAATGGATTAATAATATAAACAAGGTTGAGGACTAAGTAACAAAAAATGGAGTCAAATACACTTTCAGAATCTGTAGTAATAGAGTTTTATGGTTATTTTTCTGTAATCAGGAATCTATAGTTAATGGGATGGAATGACACTGACACACATACAAACACACAAACACACTCACTCACCCTTATAGTTGTCTTGTCATCCATCCATTCATTCATTCAAGATATACTTGTGGAGCCTGTTTTGCATGACAAGCCTTGGAGATACTGTAGTAACCAAGGTAGATGTGATCTTTATCCTCACTCTCTAGCTTGCCCTCTAACATGAGAAGATGCTTAGTATCAGGAGAATGAAGTCCAGGGTTGTATGGGCATATTCGGCTGCCAATTCAATTATCTTCTCTCAGAAACAGAATTTAGAAGCCAGCCAGGGAGTAATAAACTAGCAGGAAAAATAGAGAAGAGACCAAACAATGATCACTGAACTAACAAAAAGAACAAGTGATGGATCATTTCCCATTTCTGTTCAATATCCATCTTCTACCTCCAGATCTGTTCTCTAGGGCTCTGGCTATGCCAACACAGAATTTTTTTTTAATTTCACTTTACCTAATTTTTTAAAAAAATTTGTATTGACAATATTTCGTTCATACAGCTTCGCTACTTGGAAACTTACAGCCTCTTTTCTCTCTGTCTCCAAATCCTGTCTACTCATTAAGCAGCCTTTCTTCCCCCAGAAAGCCTTCGCCAAGCCCTCCAGCCCTCATAAACCTACCTCCCTCACCTCCCAATTTCCCACACTGAATGGACCATGTCACATAATTTTGTGCTCAGATACTAGTTAAGGTAACGGGTGCTTAGTTACATTCTACTTTATGTCTTTAGTTTTCTGTTCATTAACCAATACAGGGAAATGAAAATAGGAATGAGCTAGAGTGCTTGCTTTCAAGGAGCTTACTCTTGATTAGGGGTGATATGTAATATATGCAAATTACCATGGTTGAATTGTGTTCCCCAGAAAGATATGTTGAAGTCCTATCCTGTAGGATCTAAGAATGTGACCTTATTTGGAAATAGGGTCTTTGCAGATGTAATCAAGTTAAGGCGAGGTCATATTGGGTAAGAGTGAGTCCTAATCCAATAATGGCTTAATAATGTTCTTATAAGAGACCCATAGTCATAGGGGAAATGCCAGGTGACGGCAGAGGCAGAGATGAGAGTGGCATGTCTACAAGCCAAGGAACAGCAAGGATTGCTGGCAGCACCAGATGCTAAGAGAAAGGTGAGGCCCTGCTAACACACCAACACCTTGATTCCAGACTTCTAGCCTCCAGAACTGTGAGAAAATAAAGTTCTGTTATTTTAAATCCCCCTAGTTTATGGTCATTTTTTATAGCAGCCCTAGTAAACTAAACATTGTGGTGATACCAAGGAAATGAATGGGGGAAAGGACGGGTGAGTTGAATGCTTTTGTTGTTCTGAGAAGGAAGTAGTCATTTCCATAGGGGGTTGTGGGCCTATTGAGAGAAGTTTCATGGGGGGGCCCTGGGTCTTGAGAGTGAGCAGGGTTGGGACATCTAAGGTGCAAAGGAAGAAGAAATTACATGTAGCTTTAGGAAATAGTGCAAATAAAGGTACAAATAGTACAAATAGAAACACACATAGAATATACCATGGACTGTGTCTAGGGAGAATTACATGCTTTAGTTGTACTAGGGCATGTTTTTGAGTGAAAAAAAGTAGTGGAAAATGAGCCTGAAAAAGTAGATTGGTGCTAGACCATGGGCAGAAGGCCTCCAGTAGCAGCATAAGAAAATCTGTCACCATCTACTCAGTAGCCAGAGACAAGTGGGGGATATGCAGTGACAGAAGCTTATGTGCTTTGGGGAGACTGATCTGCCAATATTGTATGGAGCAGAAGTTCTCCAGCTGACATGCACATCAGGATCCCCTAGAAGGCTTTTTATGACACAGATTCCTGTGCTCCATCCTTGGAGTTTCTGATTCAGTTAGGATCCAAGAATGTGCATTTCTAACAAGTTCTCAGGTGATATTGATGCTGCTAGTCTGAGAACCACTCTTTGAGAACCACTGATGTAGACAGACAGGAACTTGAAAATGAGACAAGAGGCCTAGAAACCCTTTGGAATGTAATACAGTGAGCAGGCAGAAGAGAAACATGAACTGGAGGAGGAGGAGTGGCAGTGGGCATGATGGGGAAAGAGCTTCCCACCAGGCAGGACTTGGCATCTCATCGAATGTAAAGGCTGCTTGAGACAGAAGGCAAAAATTATTCCAGATTTTTGACTCTAGGAGGTTATTGTAAGGTTTTCCTTTCATTTCTTGTGTGTTAGTCTTATTATTCTTACCAAATTAAAAGCTCCCTGAGGATAATGTCCATATTATTTGACAGGCTTACATAGTCTAAAACTTATTTCTTTGTATTTGGCATAATAATAGCTAAGATTTATCAAGTGTATGATGTATGTCAGGCATTTTGCACGGATTACCTAGTTTAAAGTTCAGCACCAATCTGTGAGTTGAATATTATTGTTTGCTTTATAGTGGGGGAGAGTTGAATAATTCAGCCAGGCCACACAGTAACCAAGGGGCTTAACCAAGATTTGAACCAAGTGGTCTGATTCCAGGGCCCAAGTCCTAATGCCTACATTATGGCACCTCATTACTGAAGAGCTAGGTGCTTATTAGGTGCTAAGTCATTATATCAATTTATATTATATGATAAGTCATAGCCATAGAGGAAAATTAGATGATATAGATAGATAATCATAAAAATAAACTTACCTATAAATCTACAATTCAGTGAGAATCGCTGCTTACATATCAGTGTGTATCTCTTCAGGTTTCCTTCTAGGCCTGCATATGAACACGTGTATAGATCACACTATATGGCTTATGCTTGTTTTATAACTTAAAATAAAAAAAAAAACCTAACAGTATCATGAACAATTTTCTTGTCAATAAACATACTTCTACAATATCAATGTTAATGGTGATTTGTTTTTCTATTTTATGACTATGCTATAATTTATTTAACTCTTCTTGTTTAGTTAGGCATCTAGAAATATGCCCTGACATTGAGACTCACCCTGTCTATGGGTTGTATTCTTTTTTGTTTTTTTAACTCTTTGAGTCTTATTCAAATTTATTTCTGGCTTGAAATGAGTCAACTTTTAGATACATTGTCAATTGAAGGGTAAAAGAGTGTTTAATGGCCGGGCACAGTGGCTCACACCTGTAATCCCAGCACTTTGGGAGGCCAGGGCAGGCAGATCACAAGGTCAGGAGATTGAAACCATCCTGGCTAACATGGTGAAAACCCGTCTCTACTAAATATACAAAACATTAGCTGGGCGTGGTGGCAGGCGCCGGTATTCTCAGCTACTAGGGAGGCTGGGGCAGGAGAATGGCATGAACCCGGGAGGTGGAGCTTGTAGTGAGCCACTGCACTCCAGCCTGGGCGACAGAGCAAGACTCCGTCTCAAAAAAAAAAAAAAAAAAAAAAAAAAAAAAGAGTGTTTAATTCCCAAATACACCTAGCACCAGGCAGAAGCTCAAATTTGGGGCGTGGCACAGTGACTCACATCTGTAATTGTAGCACTTTGGGAAGTAAAGGCAGGAGGATCTCTTAAGCCCAGGAGTTTGTGACCAGCCTGGACAACATAGGGAGACCCTATCTCTACACAAAAATTAAAATAAAAACATTAGCCAGGTATAGTGGCACACACCTGTGATCCCAGTTACTCAGGAGGCTGAGGCAGGAAGATCGTTTGAGCCTTGGAGGTCAAAGCTGCAGTGAGCTGTAATCACACCACCATACTCCAGCCTGGGAGACAGAGTGAGACATCGTCTCAAAAATAATAAAATTAAAAATAGAATACTTTATAAAAAAACAAAAAAAAAGAAGCTCAAATTTGTCTGTTTCTTCATTCTGTGGTACTTGTTGAGATCCTTGTGAATTGATGCCTTCAGGAACCATGGCCTCCTGAACCAAACTTCAACAAATCTAACAATTAAAAAAATTTTAATATATTTAGGGGATACAAGTGCAGGTTTCTTACATACATATATTGCATAATAGTAAGGTTTGTGCTTCTAGTGTACCCGTCACCCAAATAGTGAACACTATACTTAATAGGTAATTTTTTAACCCTCACCCTCCTCCCACCCTCTCTCCTTTTGGCGTCCCCAGTGTCTATTGTTTCCTTCTATATGTCCGTGTGTACCCACTGTTTTGTCCCCACTTGTAAGTGAGAACATGCAGTATTTGACTTTCTGTTTCTGAGTTATCTCACTGAGGGTAAGTGAAATAAGAATCCATGGATGAATTCTTAACCTGAAGTGTAGACCTTGAATTTGAATTTGTTGGAAGTAATAAAAGTCATCCAGTTAAACTCTCCTCTTTAATGGAGGTGAAAGCCAAGGCCCAGGGAGGTAAAGTAGCTTTCTCACATTTGCAAATTAGAAACTAAGACTATTGTTTGCGCCCTCAACCATTCAACAAATATTAGGGAGGGCATACTATGTGCAATGAATGTCCTTTTCTGTGTGCAGGGAATACAGCAGTGACCAAAATAGACCAAAGACCCTGCCATCATTGGAGTGAGCATATGATGGGGGTTACTCTGAACCTCTTTTTACTGGCTCACATTGCCCATTTTTGCACTTAATTTTTTATATCAAAGATGCCAGCCAAATCAAACTGTTCAATGCAAGACACAATCTTTTCCTCACCAACTTTCTACCAAGGGAAAACTGTGTCTTGCTAACCAAAATGAACTGCTGTAATACCCTCCAGGGATATTTTTCATCCACTGCCCAGAGGTATTTAGGTATGCCCTGCCAATTTTTAATAGTCCCTCTCTCCTACCCCACTCCTCACACTTGAAGAAACACTTTTTGTCTCCTGCAAAAGACTCCAGTCAAGCAGAAAAATGCTTTCTTTCGTTTTCACATGAGCCACCCACAGCTGAAAGATATGCAGGTGTTTCCAGCAGTGATGGAGCTGCATTTAGGATCCAGATCCAAGGGATTTGCTCTGAATTCTGTCTTTCCTTGTTCTGATGAACCTTCCTCCACCAAACCTTTTGAAAACATTTCATTAATTAGTGCGAGTCTAGATTTGGACTCTGAAGTATAAAGTACCAGAAGATATATTATCATCATTACATGAAATCAGGTCATGTAATTAGGTGCCAGAACAATGAAGCTTCAAAGCTTTCCTTTCCCACATATGAATGTGGCCATTTAGCTTTCCTAAACCTTGTTATCTTCATCTGTAAAAGAGGGCTAACCATCCGTAGTTCATATAACTCTGTACTTCTTTGTAATAGCACTTACTATAATCAATTGTGTCTTGTGTGATTTTGCTAAGTGACCAGTTATTCTCCTTCCCCCAGTACTGAGAAAGTTATTCTCAGGATGTGAAATTTCCAGTATAAAAACCAGGAAAGTTCAAGGCAAGTCAGAATCAGTTGGTCATGTGAAATTATGCAATAAACATTAAGAAACTGTTCAAGATGTGTCTCACCCACTAGATTTCATCCTTCATGCAAGCAGGAACTATGTTTGTCTTGCTGTAAGTACAGTGCCTCATGCATAGTAAGCACTTAGTCAATATTTGTTGGATAAATGTGTCATAGGATCCAATGAAAACTACTTTAGTTAAAATGTGTAGTTCAGAGCTTAGCATATTGTAAGTGCTTAATAAATGTAAGCAAGTTTTGTTATTTTCTTTTTGTGAACACCTTCTAATATCATACTTTTTGGCAATTTTTATAATACATAAATACCTTCTACATGTTTCCAGTGTAAGTTTCATAAGGCAATTAGTGAGACATAATGGATACCATTAGATAACCATTCTGTTATTTCAGGAATCAAGGCTCTTCAAAGGAATTTAATCCTAAGGTGTTTCTTAAAGTTTTCCTCGGTGAGTCTGTTTGTTTTTCTACTTTGAAATGCTAATATTATTCCCTTTTGTCTTGTGCATTTTAAAGTTTGGGATTGAATTCTACCATCTACTCGTGCAACTTTAACCTGCTGCCAAAGCCTTAACAGAGTGGTTAAAACAGTAATTTTGTCTGCCTGAAAAGTGGAATAGGGCCAGTCATGGTGGCTCATGCCTTTAACCAGCACTTTGGAGGCTGTGGCGGGAGGATCACTTGAGGCCAAGTGTTCAATACTAGCATGGGCAACGTAGCGAAACCCTGTCTCTACAAAAGAAAAATAAAAACATTAGCCAGGTATGGTGGCACATGCCTATATTTGCAGTTACTCAGGAGGCTAAGGTGGGAGAATCACTTGAACATAGATGTTTGAGGCTACAGTGAGCCATGATTGTGCCACTGAACTCCAGCTTGGAGTTCAATAGAGGGAGACCCTGTCTCAAAAAAATAAAAAATAATAATAAAAACAAGAGTAGAATGGGGTGGCTATTTAGGTGGTTCTCTAATGGCAGAGGAGAAATGTAATTTGCCTTTCTATAATCCAATAAAATGGATTGTAAAGTGACTACTTCCTGTTAACTTCCATTAGACGTGTTTCTGTGAATTATATTTAACCCATCTTCATTCTTGGAATAAGATCAGAGAAGGAACACAAAGTGATAATCTTGAAGCGTAGCATTTTGGTGAGCAAAGTATCAAAATGGTGTTTAGGAATAGTGATACCATCACAAGAAAAATTGCAGAACTGTTATAACTCTAAGAAATATTTTTTAATAGGGAAGCTGTTAGTTATATCACAGCTTTATAGTTATATACATGCTGGACACAAGAATGTGCTTTCACCTATATTATCTCATCTAAATCCTTTAAAGGCTTTTGTGATGAGGTTTCATGATCTCAGATAGACCAGGGCTTAGGGAAGCTAAATAAGCTGTTATAATTTACAGAGCTAGCTAATCACAGAATTGAGATTGTCACTAAATAAAACTTGAGTCTGCTTGCCTGGTGGGCTGAAAAAGCCAACACTGTCACCAAAATTTGCAGTGAGAGGTCATAGAGACTTGTACAGCAGGTGCCAAGCAAGGAGAATCAGGTGGCTAACACTTAAGATCCAAACTCCTCAGTGGCTTACAAGCAGAGTTTTTAAAGGCAGGGGTACATTTCAGGAAAGCAGAAGTTTCAGGCAAAATCATCAGCAGAAAGAAATGTTCAGGTCTGTCCTGTAAGCATGACTCTATCCAGGCTCCTCAGGAAGAAATTTAAAGCAAAGAATGACAGTCAGATCTCAGTCCTCATTTTCCCCTTATCTAAGGTCTATGGGAAAGCACTAGGCATTTTCCATCTGATGAGGGCCGAGGTTTCTGAAAGACAACTCAGAGACATACGTTAAGATGCTACCTTTGGTTTCTTTAGAGAACAAAACATCTTGAGACTCTAACTTACTTGGGTTACTGTTATTTAAGCTTTTTTTACTTTCTTGCTTCATGGGTTATTTATTCCCTTCCTCAATTGCTGGTAACAGGGCTAGCTAGGTGCCTGGAATTTCCCTTGGAGAGACTCAAATTTTCCTTTATTTCCATACTTGGTGGGGCCTGGTAGGTTCCTAAGAGTGGCTCATACTCTGTGTTAAGATTTGGAACCAAATATGCTTCACCCCAGAGCACATGTTTCTCCTTCTATGTCATGCTGCAGTTATTTGTTTAATAAATATAGACCAAGCTTTTTCCTGCCAAGCTCTTTGCCAAGCACTAGTGATTCAGGGTAGAGCAAAACAGACATGCAGAACCTCTCCTCATGCCACTTACAGTTTACTGGAGAGCTGGAAATTGATCAGATTGTGTCTCAGTGTCCCCATGGTTTTGTTTTGAAGACTGAATGAGAGTTGTAGTGCTTGGCACACATAAAGAGTGCTCAGTAATTTTTAGGTGACATTATTTTTATTCAATTACAACACAGACATGTAATTACAAATTTTATTACTTGCTATGATGGAAAAACATGTGGAATTGTAAAAGTAGATGACGGAGGACCAGATCTATTCTGGGAGGTGGGTGAAAGCTTCCCTGAGAGAGGCAAAAGAAGCTGGGGACAAGGAGCCATCTGAGCAGCAGGAGTGGCATGTGCAAAGGCCCTGAGGCAGAAGGGAACACTGTGTGTTCAAGGCAGTGACAGCAAGTGTGATGGAGCTGATAAAACAGTGCAGCTGCAGTCATTTTCTCCTCAATGTTTTCCCCAGTCCCAGGCATTTCTTCACATCTTTGCATTCCCCTGATGGCACCTGCACAGTTCTCAGGTCCTAATTCCCTAAACTCTGTAAGCAGGCAATTTGGCCTGTCAAATTGACCTAAAATGAAAGTTACCTACACAAACTTATTTAGGACACATAAAACATCTTGCATCTGTTGTGTTCCATCTTTAAAGATTCCACTCATAGATTAGGTAGCTTGTTGATGGCTGTGATTTAAATTCAGGAAGATGGCTCTGTCTACAAGATAAAAGATAATTGGGAATGAGTCATTGTCTTTTTAAAGAACAAACAGTGAGGTCTGGAAAATTTGCAGACACAGGTCTTGCACGTGTTAATTCCCTGCCAATGTAGACAGACTAGGCTATCTAGAAAGAAATTCCCTGGGGTTATTAAAGACCAAAAGTAATCATGCTAAAAAAGCTCTTTGAAGAAACATAATACTTATCATGTCAATATAATATATTGCATCTGTAGTAGCTACAGGGTGCAGGGAGAAGGCAAAAATGCAGGCAATGAATAGAACAAATAAAGTTTGAGGAGAGTCAAAGGTTAATGAGCCCCCTAAAAAGAAAACTAGATAGTACACAAGCCTTCCCGTAACTGTCCTATCTTAAACTTCTTTCATATCTGATATGTGGATTATTCTGGATCTGGTAGAGTGAAGATGGGGATAGAGACCAGGGAAATTACCTTTCTTATAACACCCAGAGCTGTTAGAGAACTTCAAATCATTAGGCCAATGAGAAGGCATCCTTCCCTGAAATTCATATCCTCAGCCAATCATGAGAAAGCATTAGATAGATCCTAAGGCAGGGAGACATTCTACAAAATACCTCACCAGTACTTTTCAAAAGTATCAAGGTCATGAAAGACAGGGAAAGATGAAGAGACTGTCATAGATTGAGGGAGACTAAGGAGACCTGACAACTAATTGCAATGGGATAGCATAAAGTAGGTCCTGGAACAGAAAAAAAATCAATGACATCTGAAAAAAAGTCTATAATGTAGTGAATAGTATTATGCCAATGTTAATTTCTCATCTTTCATGAATGCACCATGGCTATATAAGATGTTGATCTTAGGGAAAATTATTAGGATGTGATACATACAGGAACTCTGTACTGTATTTGCAACTTTCCTGCAAATCTAAAATTATTTCAAAATAAAAAGTAAAAAAAAAAATGGCTCCCACACACACACACACAAAATGACCAAAGCTTTCTCTTTACGAGTCAAGAAAGCAAAATTTACAGAGGCAACATGGCTACATAAAGCCTTACTTTGTTCCTTACTTTGTTAGATGGGGAATATGGGGATAAACAGCCTTTCTTCCTTGGGGATCTTTGCACTGTGTTTCTAGAAAAGGCGCAGAAGAACCTACAAAGGGCTCTTTCTCCCATACCACACATTGAGGCTGTTTTAATTTTTTTCCTGTCTAACATTGTTTTTACAAATATGCAAAGTGGTATATATTAGGTAAAAGGCAAAATCCTTAGCAGGGCCTACAAAACCCTGCTCAGTTTGGCCTCTGACCATGTCACCAGGGCCACCTGCTTGCTCGCTCTTCAATTCAGACATCCTCATCTTCCCCCTAGAAACAGAAATAGCCCTTTCCTGCCTCAGGAGCTTTTTATCAAGGTAGCATCCCAGTCCCCATATACGTAAAGACATTTGGGTTCTATCCTAAGTCAACTTCCTTTAAGAAGCCCTCCTTTATGGCCCACTCCACCACCTAGCCCTAAGAACCAATAAGACCATTTAGTTTTTGCTCCTGTCATACCCTATGCCTCTCTAGTGAATCAGCCAGCACACTTAGTTCTGCATGTTCATTTTTTACCTTCTACAGCATACTATTAATATATGCATTTCTAACTGACAATATTGATTTTCAATTTTTAAAGAAAATTTCAAATGCTGTTTGCTATTTTTATCTCTGTATGCCCCCACCCAGACCCCTCAGCATCCTGAATCAAAATTAAAGGCAACATCCTCCATTGACAAGGAAAGGAGCAAGCTCCTTGGGAGGTTTTGTTTTTGCATGATGGTATCTAAGCATGTGCTCTTTCTCACAAATTTATGGCTGGATTGCTAGGGTCTAATAAAGTACAGGCACATGGTAGATATTTAAACTATCTGTTGAATAAAATAATAAACTGAAAACTAGACAATTGAAACATTTGTCTGAACATCAACTGAGCAGTTAAGGAAAAGCAACACTTGGAAATCTAACTTACCTAGACTTAAAGAATTGTATGTTTTCTCATTTCTCATTTCAGCTTTTATACCTTGCAGGGTATCCAATGAAGCTCCTTTTACTACGGAGAGAGTAGTTTCCTTTTTCTGTTTCAGCATCGTGAAAGAGAAAGAGAAGTAACATATCGTGGGAGATGTATTTGCAGAAAAGCTTCAGTTGGCTCTTGTCATGACTCCTATATAAAAGAAAAAAAATCCTCTAAACTGCTCTAGAAATGAAAGAGATTGATGTGCAGTCTCTTCAAATTCTTCTGAATGGTGCACTGTGAAGATAAGTTACAGTGAGTGTCAGGCCATTTGTAGGAGCAGCAGGTTCCACACAAGGAGTTTTATGTGGGAGAGAGTAGCTAAAAGTGGAGCTCCAAGACAATGGAGATTAGCAAAGAGCTGTCATCCAGCTTCTGACATAGGTTTATACTGACCAATGGCAAAAGCATGAAGTGATACAGAGGTAAGCGCTGTATAAATATAATCATTATCGTCATCACCATCATCATTGGTGCTTCACCCCTTGCATATTCCTTTTACATTAAGCAGACCATTTGCTAGATAATTTTATGGGAATTGTATGTAGCACTACTGTGCTACAGCCAGAGAAGGATTTACTGATGAAGCTTAAGCCTTGGCGTCTCCGACAAGCGGGAGCCCCTTTCAAGAATGTCCACTATATTTTGTGTTTATAATTTTATATTCTCTTTCTTAAAGAGCATCCCACAAATTGTGTAAGCTTCTAGCCCCACAAAATGTGGATCTGTCCCTGATTATAATTATCCAGTAGAGGAACTCAAAAATACCATTGTGGAGTACACAACAAGCCAGATGACACGTGTTTTTATGCTTTAGGGCAGCCAGCACTACTAGCACACTGCATACCAAGTAGAAACTGATTAGATCCTTGTTGAATTAAAATCGGTGAGTGTGAAAAGCCACCACTTTCCACTCTTCTGCATTTGCTGTCAGAGCAAATGAATTCATAGGCCTAGGTGGTGTGGTGTAGTGTGCAGGATCTCTCATCCAGCTGTTGGTGACCCTCCCATGAGTGTGGGCAGATGCATGCCTTCATTTCCACTTAGATAACATTTTTCATTATCTCTTATAATGGGGCATCTAATATTAAGTCTTACATCAGATTATTTTAGGGCTTTGAAAATCCTCTACTGAATCTAGTGCCATCCTGATGGAGCTTGGCCCAGTGATGTGTAAGCCTCTAATTTAGGAATGTACTGGCTGAAGGCCCATTTTGATTTTATAGTAGCCTATTAATAAAACATCATCAGATTTAGAATCTCAATTCAAAAAAAGTAAACTTCTTGGGATTTTTCTGTTATTGTTCTGAGGCATAAACTGTGATGTTCTGTGTTTCCTTCTGAAGTAGATTTGAAATAGTGTTTTTTTCCAGTATCCTTCCCAGCATCAGCTCAATGTCAGGACTTATAAAAGCATAATCAGATGTGTATCTGGAGGCACATCATACCCTTTTTCCCTCTGTAAGTTATAAACCAATTGAAAAGTCAACACAGGCCTCACAGATAAGCTGAGCTAATAAAGATGGCCTAGGCCAACAGCACCTCTGAATCAGGTTGACTTATCCACAGTCTAGCGTGCTGAGCCCCAGAATGGGTTGATTGCCTTGTACTTCGGTCCAGTTCCTTCCTTACTGGGAAGATTATCCCATTCTCCTCATTTGCGCATGGAAGAATGAGGAAGGATAGGAGCACAGGTAGAAATTTTTTTCCGATACTTCCGAAAGGCAGACACTGTTATTTAGTAGGGAAGGGTAGAAATATCAGAAGAGAGATGGTGGAGAGGAGGGCCTGAAGGAAGAATGTTCTGCCTAAAGTAGAGATCGAGTTTTTTAATTGATTTTCAACAGGATTGAAGTTATTCATTTATCATTCATCCATCAACCATTTATTGAGTACCTATTATGTAAAGAACTCTAGACTTGGTGTGTCTTTTCGCAACTGTGTGAAAGATACACACTTGAAGAGAGAGTGCTCTCTATAAAATGACAAACCTTTGAGAAGTGAGGCATGTGTTGCAGGGCATGCAAAAAGGTTTCCTGTAAGGAAGATCATCATAAGGCAAAATAGAATAAAATAAACATAAAAGAGAGGTAATCTCTAAATACTGTGAAGAGGTTCCAGAAAGAATAGTAACTTCTGATTGTGGATTACACAACTTCACAAAGGCAGTGAGTGACCTTTGGACTAAGCCTTGAAGTATGATGGAATTTGACTATACTGAGAATAGCAGCCAAGGACATGCTAGGAATAGGAAAGAAATAGGTGTCAAGGCAAAGGTATAAAGAGCTTGATCAAAGTGAGAGCTAGTGACCAGGCTGGCACATGTGGAGAACTGAAGTGGAGCAACACCAAGGGCCTTGGGTTGCAACTACTATAATGATTCTAATGTGTTCCGTTCTTGTCTAAAACTGCACAAGTAGACTGTTTCCTCCAAATCTGGAAGTTAGGTACACTCTGAATTTTGAATTTATAAGTAATTAAAATAGGTATTTTTTTTTTTTGTCGATAGAAGAAAATAACAGAACCTCCACATTTTGAGAAGTATGTGTCAGGTGTTAAGCACCTGAAAGTGTCACTTGGCATTTCATAGATGACAAAACTGAAGAACTGAGAGGCTAATACCCTTGCTCCAAACCACACAGCTAATAAATGACAGATGCAGGAATTTAACACAAATTGGGATGACTCCACAGCCCATGCTTAACAGTGAGTGTAACCACCCAACAAGCTCATTTTGCCCACTGCCCAGATAGAGCCAATTTATCAAGATGGAGAATTGCAATAGAGAAAGAGTTTAATTCATGCAGAGCTGGCTGAATGAGAGACTGGAGTGTTATTACTCAAATCAGTCTCCTCGAAAATTCAGAGGCTAGAGGTTTTCAAGGATAGTTTTGATGGGCCTGGAAGTGGGTGCTGCTGATTTGTTGGGGATGCAATCATAGGGTTGTGGAAAATGGTTCATTTGTGTGCTCAGTCAGCTTCTGGATGGGGCCACAGGACCAGCTGGTGGGCCTGGGGGGAGCCATCAGTTGTCAGATATGCAGAAACCTGAAAAGACATCTCAGAAGGCCAATCTTAGGTTCTGTAAATGTTATCTGCTGGAGTAATTGGGGAAGTTGTGAATCTTGTGACCTACAGAATAATGGCTGGTAATCATTTATATCTACACCTCAGCAGAACTGGGCTCTTCTCAGCCTCCTCACTTAGTGGTCCTTTCATTAGCTCAGCCTCCTCACCTAGTGGTCTTTCATTAGCTTTACAAAGGCAATTTAGTTTTGGGGAAAGGCTATTGTCATTTAAACTATGTCTCTCAACATTAGCTTGGCCCAACCCCAGGAATGATTAAGGACAGTTTGGAGATTAAAGATAAAATGGGGATTGATTAGATCAGATCTCTTTTACTGTCATAATTTTCTTACGGTTACAATTTTTACAAAGGCAGTTTCATGACCAGTTTTTGCTGAACATAGAGCAGATCAGAAGTTCTGGAAGAACAAGTATCAATACATGAAGCTTCCCATGTTGCTAAATGCATCCTTAGAGCATGGAACAGAGCCACCTTGTTGCTAAGATCCTTTGCCTTAAAAAAATGAAATTGGATGGCACCTGCCTCTAACTAAGAGACACACATCAAGATCCAACAATTTCACATTGTTATTTTTTTATCATACTGATGGAAAATTAGGCAATTTCTCAATTAAATGTCACCTATCCTCTTGCATCTCCAGCAGCAACTGTCTAATTTCTCAGGGGTTTGGCAAAATTTCACCTCTCTAGTGTCTCCTATTCTTGGCTCAGCACTGGGAAAGTGGGGGCAAAGATACAGCTTTTAGCTGGCTGATTCTTGCTTCTTAAGACACTTTCTCAGCAGAGAAAGAACAGTTTTACTGCTTGGAAAAAGCTTTTATTTTGTCACCTGGTGCATGACTGTGGAAACCTTCAGTTCTCATTATTTCAGCCCATCTGGCACAGACTGGAAGGAAGAGATTTCTTCTTTGTATTGTAAATTAACAAAACAGCCCTACCCTTTTTAAAACCAGTTGAAAAAATAGAGTAATATCCAACACTCTTTAAAAAAGGAATTATTACCATGTTTAGAGAGTTGGCATCCATTTCAATAACTATTAACTGTACTCTCACAGTTTTGTACCACAGTTTTGGACCAAGAGAAAGGCAAATCCCAAATCTGTCAGTTAATCAACAAACATTTATTCAATGTCTTCCAAGGGTAAAACACTGGAGAAAACCGAGAATTTTTTTAAAAGACTCTACCATACAGCATCCTACAATCTTCTAGGGGGAGAATTAAACATGTTTAAATAACAGAGTGCTCAATATTTGTATGTATTCAGTCAAAGAGCCCCTAAGCACCCTATGCTTTCAGAGGCAGGGGATGTTTGCTCTGGACTGGGGAAGTCAGAGAAGTCTTCTTAGAAAAATTGGAATGAGAGTAAGGTCTTTAAGAAGAGGTAAAATTCATATAGTTGGTGAGGAAGAAAGAATGTAACATTTCAGGTAGGAGGGAGTGAAATGTTCAAGCCTAGGGCTTTGAGCACATTAGATGCTCAACAAAGGCTGTTGAATGGAGTAAAATCAAAAAGTTGTATTTCTGTTTTGGCCCTACATTTCCATGCTTGATTGTTTTCTGAATTGTCAGACCAGAAGATGGTATTATTCTCTTTAATACTTAGAGGAATATTTTCATAGGGAGGTTGATTTAATTCACCTAGGAAGATTCATTTGAATTAGTTGGATTGAATCATGGGTTGCTTCAGCTATAAATGAATGGAATCTTGCCAATAGGCAAGTGATACTTGCTGTCTTCCCCTTTTTAATCAGGCAGAGTATCTGTTAGTAGCTCTCCCTACAGAAAACCATTGATCATAATTGTAGTTGGTTCACTGGGAGAAAGGTGTGACAGTGGAAATTGGTGTAAGGTATGAAGATCAAAGCATTCTATAAACCGACAGAATTTTTTTCATATAGAAGGACTTACCATCAATTACGTTAAATGATATTTCATTTTTATGGAAGCAGTACATATGCATTGTAGAAAATTAATGAATACTCAGAGAAGCAAAATTAAAAATAACATTTCTACCACTGAAAGATCCAAACCATAAGTTTGTGTATATCTTTCCAGGTGCACACACACACACATGTTTTACATATGTGTGTGAATATACACACATGCACACTGCCTAAGTTTGTTTTCTGCTACTATAACAGAATACCACAGACTGGGTAATTTATATAGTTCAATTGGCTCACAGTTCTAGGGACTGAGAAGTCCAAGGGCATGGTGCAGTGTTTGCTTGGCATGTGGTCAGGTGAGCACCTTCTTGCTACAGTTATTCCATGGCAGAAGTGCAAGTGAACATTTGAGACAGAAAGAGAATTGGGGACATTCCAAACCTATCCTTTTATCAGGAGCCTACTTTCTCAACACAGACATTTATCCATTCCTGAGGACAGAGCCCTCATGACCTAATCACCTCTTAAAAATCCAACTTCTTAATACCATCACAACAGCAATGAACTTTCAACAAAAGTTTTGGAGGTGACATTCAAATCATAGCATACATGCTCACATACACATATACCTGTATATTTTACAGCGTAAGATAATACTATACATACTGTTTTGTGATCTGTGCATTTTCCTTCTATAATCTACACTTTTCCGTTCCAATATATTTTTATCTCATTTAATACCCATGCTACATTAAAATTTTGCCAATTAATTCAGAAATGTCCTTTAAGACTGACTTGCGTAAATCAGTATTCAATGCAGGACCACACAGGCATCTGATTGTTATGGACCTATATAATTCAGCCTGGCTGCCATCACAACATACCATAGACTGTGTGGTTTAAACAACAAAAATTTACTTCTTTACACTTCTGGAGGTTTGATGTTCTAGATCCAACTAAAGCAGCATCAGTTTCTGGTGACAGTTCTCTGCCTGGCTTGTAGATAGCTGCCCTCTCACTATGTCCTCCAATGGCCATTCCTTGGTTCATATGCATGGAAAGAGAGAGAACAAGCTTTCTGGTATCTCTTCTCCTGAAGACACTAATCCTATCAAATCAGGACCCCATTCTTATGACCTCATTTAACTTGAATTACTTCCTTAGAGGCCCCCCTCCAACTGTAGCCACAGTGGGAGTTAGGGCATCAACATATGAATATTTTGGGGGCACACAAACATTTAGTCTATGACAGGTCCTTAAAACTCTGAATCTTGCATAGCTCCTCTCCCACTTTTATTTATGACACTAGGTTAATTTTTTAAAATTATAATATGCTCCAATCCATGTAATTGTTTACATGGCCCTTTTCACATCCATTGTAAAAGACATTTTATTATAATACATAGCTCAGTGTAGACAGTAATCCTTGCTGCTATGGCTTGGGGAGTCCATTTTGCTCCAGTCCAGCTATAGTCATTTTGGCCTCAGTACATCATCTCACTTTCATGAGCTTCATTTCCTATATTAGACTAGAATTAATGAAACAGAATATCTATAGAAGATGCAAGGGATGTTTGTGCTTTCAATGAATTCCCCACATGACTCTTATCAATAGGCAAGTTTAGAAAATAGCCAAGTAGATTTTTTGTTTTGCTTTTTTTCATCTACACTTCTGCTGTATACTATGCAGGCATACCTAGTTTTATTGTGCTTTGCTTTATTCTGCTTCACAGATACTGTGTTTTTTAAACATTGAAGGTTTGTAGCAATTCTGTGTCTAGAAAGTCTATTGGTGCCATTTTTTTCCAAAAGTGTGTGCTCACTTTGTGTCTCTGGGTCACATTTTAGTAATTCTTACAAATTTTAAAATCTTTTCAGTACTATTTTACCTGTTATGGCAATTTTTGGTCATTGATCTTTGATGTTACTATTGTAATTGATTTGGGATGCGACAGACCCTGCCAATATAAGACGGTGAACTTAACCGAGAAATGTCGTGTGCATTCTGATTGCTCCACTGACCAGCACTTCCCCTACTTCTATCTTCTTGGACCTTCCTGTTCCCTGAGTTACAACAGTGTCAAAATGGTCCAATTAATGGCCTCCAATTGTCTCAAGGTATTCAAGTGAAGGGAAGTATCACATATCTCTCACTTCAAACACTAAAAATGATTAAGCTTAGCAAGGAAGGCATGTCTAAAGCCAGATAGACTGAAAGCTTGGGCTCTTGCATCAGTTAGCCAAGTTGTTAATGCAAAGGAAAAGTTTCTGAAGAAAATTAAAAGTGCTATTCCAGTGATTACATGAATGATTAAAACAAAAAAAGAAAGTGAAACAGCATCATTGCTGGTATGAAGAAAGTTTGAGTGGTCTGAATAGAAGGTCAAACCAGCCACAACATTTCTTTAAGCCAAAGCTTAACCCATAACAAGGCCCTAACTTTCTTCAATTCTGTGAAAGCTGAGAGAGATGAGGAAGCTGCAGAAGAAAAGTTGGAAACCAGCAGGAGTTGGTTAATGAAGTTTAAAGAAAGAAACCAACTCCATCACATAAGAGTGCAGAGTGAAGCAGCAAGTGTTGATGGAGAAGCTACATAAGTTATCCGGAAAATCCACGCAAGATCATCGATGAAGGTGGCTATACCCAACAACAGATTCTCAATGTAAATGAAACAGACTTCTATTGGAAGAAGATGATGTCTAGGACTTTCATAGCTAAAGGGGAGAAGTCAATGCCTGGCCTCATTGCTTCAAAAAACAGGCTGACTCTCTTTTTAGGGGACAATGCATCTGGTGACTAAGTTGAAGCCAATACTTATTAACTGATACTGAAAATTCTAGGGCCCTTAAGAATGAGGCTAAATCTACTCTGCCTATGCCCTAGAAATGGAACAACAAAGCTTGGATAACAGAAAATCTGTTTATAGCATGGCTAATTGAATATTTTAAGCCTGCTGCTAAGACTTACAGCTTGGGGGGGAAAAAGTTCTTTTCAAAATATTCCTGCGCATTGACAATGCACCTGGCCATACAAGAGCTCTAATGGAAATTTACAAGGAAATGAATATTGTTTTCTTGCCTTCTGATACAACCTTCATTCTCCAGCCCATGGATCAAAGATTTATTTTGAATTTCAAGCCTTATTTCTCTTTTCTTTTTTTTTAATTATACTTTAAGTTTTAGGGTACATGTGCACAATGTGCAGGTTAGTTACATATGTATACATGTGCCATGTTGGTGTGCTGCACCATTAACTCGTCATTTAGCATTAGGTATATCTCCTAATGCTATCCTTCCCCCATCCCCTCACCCCAAAACAGGCCCCGGTGTGTGATGTTCCCCTTCCTGTGTCCATGTGTTGTCATTGTTCAATTCCTACCTATGAGTGAGAACATGCGGTGTTTGGTTTTTTGCCCTTGCAATTGTTTGCTGAGAATGATGGTTTATAGCTCCATCCATGTCCCTACAAAGGACATGAACTCATCATTTTTTATGACTGCATAGTATTCCATGGTGTATATGTGCCACCTTTTCTTAATCCAGTCTATCATTGTTGGGCATTTGGCTTGGTTCCCAGTCTTTGCTATTGTGAATAGTGCCGCAATAAACATACGTGTGCATGTGTCTTTATAGCAGCATGATTTATAATCCTTTGGGTATATACCCAGTAATGAGATGGCTGGGTCAAATGGTATTTCTAGTTCTAGATCCCTGAGGAATCGCCACACTGACTTCCACAATGGTTGAACTAGTTTACAGTCCCACCAACAGTGTCAAAGTGTTCCTATTTCTCCACATCCTCTCCAGCACCTGTTGTTTCCTGACTTTTTAATGATTGCCATTCTAACTGGTGGGAGATGGGGTATCTCATTGTGGTTTTGATTTGCATTTCTCTGATGGCCAGTGATGATGAGCATTTTTTGATGTGTCTTTTGGCTGCATAAATGTCTTCTTTTGAGAAGTGTCTGTTCATATCCTTCACCCACTTTTTGATGGGGTTGTTTGTTTTTTTCTTGTAAATTTGTTGGAGTTCATTGTAGATTCTGGATATTAGCCTTTATCAGATGAGTAGATTGCAAAATTTTTCTCCCATTCTGTAGGTTGCCTGTTCACTCTGATGGTAGTTTCTTTTGCTGCGCAGAAGCTCTTTAGTTTAATTAGATCCCATTTGTCAATTTTGGCTTTTGTTGCCATTGTTTTTGGTGTTTTAGACTTGAAGTCCCTGCCCATGCCTATGTCCTGAATGGTGTTGCCTAGGTTTTCTTCTAAGGTTTTTATGGTTTCAGGTCTAACATTTAAGTCTTTAATCCATCTTGAATTAATTTTTGTATAAGGTGTAAGGAAGGGATCCAGTTTCAGCTTTCTACATATGGCTAGCCAGTTTTCCCAGCACCATTTATTAAATAGGGAATCCTTTTCCCATTTCTTGTTTTTGTCAGGTTTGTCAAAGATCAGATGGTTGTAGATATGCAGCATTATTTCTGAGGGCTCTGTTCTGTTCTGTTGGTCTATATCTCTGTTTTGGTACCAGTACCATGCTGTTTTGGTTACTGTAGGCTTGTAGTACAGTTTGAAGTCAGGTAGTGTGATGCCTCCAGCTTTGTTCTTTTGGCTTAGGATTGACTTGGTGATGCGGGCTCTTTTTTGGTTCCATATGAACTTTAAAGTAGTTTTTTCCAATTCTGTGAAGAAAGTCATTGGTAGCTTGATGGGGATGGCATTGAATCTATAAATTCCCTTGGGCAGTATGGCCATTTTCACCATATTGATTCTTCCTATCCATGAGCATGGAATGTTCTTCCATTTGTTTGTATCCTCTTTTATTTAATTGAGCAGTGGTTTGTAGTTCTCCTTGAAGAGCACTAAACGTGGAAAGGAACAACCAGTACCAGCCACTGCAAAAACATGCCAAATTGTAAGAGCATCAAAGCCTTATTTCTTAAGAAATATATTTTGTAAGTCTATATCTGTCATAAATAGTGATTCATTGATGGATTTGAGCAAAGTACATTGAAAACCTTCTGGAATGGATTCACCCTTCTAGATGCCATTAAGAACATTTGTGATTCATGAAAAGAGGTCCAAAGAGCAACATGAGCATGACTTGGGAAAAAGTTGATTCCAGTATTAATGAGTGACTTTGAGGGGTTCAAGGCTTCAATGGAGGAAGAAATTGCAGATGTGGTGGAACTAGCCAGAGAACTGGAATTAGAAGTAGAGCCTGGAGCTGTGACTGAAGTGCTGAAATCTCATGATAAAACTTGAATGGATGAGGATTTGCCTCTTTTGAATGGGCAAAGAAAGTGATTTCTTCAGATGGAGTCCACTCCTGGTGAAGATGCTATGAACATTGTTGAAATGGCAACAAAGGATTTGAATATTACATAAATTTAATTGATAAAGCAGCAGCAGGATTTGAGAGGATTGACTCCAATTTTGAAAGAAGTTCTACTTTGGGTAAAATACTCTCAATCAGCATCGCATGCCATAGAGAAATCTTTCACGAAAAGAAGAACCAACTGATGCTACAGAATTCATTGTCATCTTATTTTAAGAAATCGCCACAGCAACCTTAATCTTCAGCAACCATCACCCTGATCAGTCATCAGCCATCAACACTGAGGCAAGACTCTCCACCAGCAGAAAGATTATGACTTGCTGAAGACTCAGACGCTAGTTAGTGTTTTTTACTAATAAAGTATTCTTTAAATTATAAAGGGTACATTTTTTATACCTAATGCTATTGCATACTTACAGTATCATGTAAACATAACTTTTCCATGTACTAGGAAACCAAAAAATTCTTATGACTCACCTTATTGTGATATTTGCTTTATTCAGGTAGCCTGTAACTGAGCCTGCAATATCTCTGAGCTATGCTTTTATGCAAAGCACAAACTATATAGCTCTCTTTAACCATAAACCATAGTTTCCTATGGCTGCTGTGGTAAAGCACCACAAATGCAGTGGCTTAAAACAACATATATTTATTATCTTGCAGTTCTGGAGGTCAGAAGTCCTAAAATCAAGGTGTCAGCAGGGCTGCATTTCTTCTTGATGCTCTAGGAGATAATTCATTTTGCCTTTTCTAGCTTCTAGAAGTTATCTGCATTCCTTGGCCCATTTATTTATCCTCCATCTTCAAAATTAAAAGTATAGCTTCTTATAACCTCTTTCTCACCATTGTGCCTCCATTTTACAAGAACCCTTTGATTACATTGGGCCAACATGGATAATCCAGGCTAATCTTCCCACCTCAGGATCCTTAATGTTATCACATTGCTAAGTCTCTTTTGACATAAAAGGTAACTTATTCCCTTGTCCCAGGGATTGGCACATGAGCATTCTTGGAGAACCATTACTCAGCCTTTCACATATACCTTTACTAGAAACTAATATTATAGCTGAAATAAACACTAAGCATTTCATTTTAAAAAAGGTTTGTTTGCCTTCTTAAAATACATTATGAAATTTGATAAATGAGTATTATGGATTGTTATTAAAAACAGAGAGAAACCAAGGAAGAGAGGGAGGAAAGAAAGGGGGAAAATATTTTCCCAGAGAAGTTTGAATTTGAGTTTATCACTCTAGAAAATTTCACTTTCCTCTCAAATTTAGCTTACTAAATTTCCAAAGTGACACTGCATTTCTCTTCTTCCATGAATTACTTAAGATTCATAAGTACCCTGGTT
Source organism: Homo sapiens (assembly GCF_000001405.40). Classification (NCBI taxonomy): domain Eukaryota; kingdom Metazoa; phylum Chordata; class Mammalia; order Primates; family Hominidae; genus Homo; species Homo sapiens. The sequence goes on from NC_000005.10 coordinate 156,051,364, forward strand.
AATAGTCCAGTGACTGGGTTGAGACTTGAAAATAAATATGCAAATTTATATTTGACCACATGGAGAGAGATGGGAGCTGTCTGCTTTTTGGCAAACTGAATAACTATATATAATATACCCAGTGTTCCAACTTTGAATGCTTCCAAATCTTTATGCAAGATAGTACAACAAATACTATAATATATTTATTCATTTAACAATTAATTGTTGAGCTCCATGCAGGAGGTACTAAGGTGAGAACCCAATATAGGTTGATTAAGAAAACAGACATGCTTGTGTGTGTGAAACATATAAACTAGAGGGGAAGGCAGACAGAAAAAGTAAAAAACTAAACAAACAAATATATAAATGAGCACTCGTGGTAGGAAGGAACAAGCATAGTGCAATAGGAAGGCTTAGGAAGGAGATTGAAGAGTTTTCTCTGTGGATAAACCTGAAGTTTGGGAAGGAGCCAACCCTGTCTGTATGTTTTAGTGCATGTAGTGTGTGCTGGGGGAAAGAGGTGGGGAAGGGTTGTTGTTCTGAGCAGAGGGAATGGGATGTGAAATGCTGGTGGAGGTGGAAGGCGTTATGATGTTGTGTCAGGCCTTTTCCTTAGTTCAGCTAAAGACAGGGTTCTTGTCCATCCCATGGCCACAAAAATTTATGCTCACAGACAGTTTAAAGGGTAAGTAAAGCAGGATTTTATTGGGTGAAAAAGGGAAAAAAGGGGAAACAGGGATCCTCCATAAGTCCAGAGTTCCTGCTAGAGCACTTCCGCCCACAGCTTGAATCCCAAGTTCCACCCAAGAAGAGGAGGGGCCAGGCTGCCCTCTGCTGCAAATGTCGTGAACTTCCTGAGGCTCCACCTCAGTAGACAGGCTGGTTGGAGTTTCTCCAGGGATCCCCTCCCACCTGGCTGTCTCAGTGTCGGGGGTAAGGGGTGAAGAGTTTGGTGTGTTCAAGTGGTAGGACAGAAGCCATTGTGGCTGGAATATTACAGATGAAAGGGGAGAGGCTGGCAGGGTTTGGTTCACACAAGGCTTTGTAGGTCATGAGAAGGCCTTTGAACTTCATGCTAAGTGTGATGAAAGGAAGCCTAGGGGCTTGGAGGACTAAGTTTATAAAAGATTACTCTGGGTATTGTGAGCAGAATAAACTGTTGGGCCAGGGCTAGTTGGAAGGTTAGAGAAGCAGGGTGGTGAGATATATAGAAATGAAGACATGTGAACATGGAATATATTTTAGTGGTAGAAACAATAGAGTTTGCAGATAGAAAATATATGTCGTATAAATGAGGACTCCTAGCAGGGCTGGCTGCATACTTTGTGAAACACAGTGCAAAATGCAGGGTTCCTTGTTAAAGGAGTAAAAAAAAAAGTGCCATTAAAGGTACTAAAGTGTAAAACTGTTTGCTTTCTTCCATGTCTCTCTTGCCATCTGTCATGATGGTGTTTTATTTGCTGCTTAATGTCACATTAACTTGGGCACAGGGATATTTGCCAGACAAAGTCCAGACCCTTGCAGGCTCCCTGGGGTTTTGCCCAGAGACTCAATTGGGGCAGAGTTAATCACTGCTGGGTTTCCTCTTATGCAAGCTCTAGGACCAATGTGTTGTGCCCCCCTGGGGACAGGAAAGTCAATCTTCCCTTCCCACAGGTCCACTGCCTCGTCCACAGCAAACAGGCAACCCCCAAGGTTATTGGAGCCCCTGATCCAGGACACACTTGATACTTGAATTAGGGTGGGCAAAAGGCTTGTCCCTACCTAGTAGCTAGCTGAACATACATATGGCACTGCCAGTTGGGGCATTTACAACCACTACCATGCCCTACTTGAGACACCACAGGGTGATTGGTGTGTGTGCTCATCCTCAACCCTCCCCTTGCCCAGGCTGCTGCTGAAGGTTAAGGGCTATAGCAGAATGCAGCACCACTCCCCAGTCCCCGGCCATGTAACATGGTCACCATCCTGGACAGAGGGCAGCAGCTGTCACTGCTCAGTGACAGGGAAGCCGAAGGTGAAAAAGGCCCAGGATGAACAGGAGACAGGGGGCTGAGAATCCATCTAAAAGGTAGTGAGGGGGTGAGAGGCAGGACTACATGTGAGCCAAACTCCAAGCACTCAGTATGCTCCTTTGTCCCATTGAACTTCACTTATAAAATGCAAATTAGAAGATAAAATTAAGAATGTAAAGACTGCAACCACAGAACATTAAACTCCAAGTGCAGGACCCTCTGAGCTTGGAGCTCTTGTGTGATTCCCCTGGCCATGTGCCTATGAAGCCAGCCTTAACTTTTGGGGTTTTGACTTAAGCACCTTGGCAAATGTTGGTACCACATAATGAAATAGAGAAGATGGAAACAATCCAGTTTGCAAGATACCTTAGTGCATTCAGGCTGCTATAACAAAATACTTTAAGCTGGGTAGTTATAAACAACAGAAATTTATTGCTCACAGTTATGGGGCCTGCAAAGTTCAAAATCAAGATGCTGGCAGATTCAATATCTGGTGAGTGCCATTCCTCACGGATGACATCTAGCTTTGTCCCCACATGGTGGAAGGGGCAAGGGAGCTCATCTGAGCTGCTTCTGTAGGGGCACTGATTCCATTGACGAGGGTAGAGTTCTCATAACTTAATGACTTCCCAAAGGCCCTACCGCTTAATACTATCATAGTGTGAACCAGGTTCCGATATATGAAATGAGAGGGACACCAACATTCAGACCACAGCACAAAGGCAAATCATATATATTTGGGTGGAGATGTCAAGTAAGAAATTGGGAATATAAGTCTAGAGCTTATTTAGTTCCGGAGGTTTTGAAATATTCAGGGCCGTAGTCTGATATTCCCATTACCACTTTCTTGCAAAGCTAAAGTGCAACACCAAACATCTGGATGTTTGGATTCCAGTTAAACCAATTAAACATGAACTTTCCTTCTTTTTTTTTTTTTTTTTTTGAGACAGAGTCTCGCTCTGTGGCCCAGGCTGGAGTGCAGTGGCGCGATCTCGGCTCACGGCAAGCTCCGCCTCCCGGGTTCACGCCATTCTCCTGCCTCAGCCTCCCAACTACCTGGGACTACAGGCACCCGCCACCACGCCTGGCTAATTTTTTGTATTTTTAGTAGAGACGGCGTTTCACCGTGTTAGCCAGGATGGTCTCAATCTCCTGACCTCGTGATCCACCCGCCTCAGCCTCCCAAAGTGATGGGATTACAGGCGTGAGCCACCGCGCCCGGCCCCTAAACATGAACTTTCTATATTTAAATATCTCAAAACATTTTTGCAAAAGGCCAGATAATGTTTATTTGACTGCAATATTAATGTATTTTCAGAAGCCTTTCTTTATCATATACATGTGTATATTCATTATCCCATTTCTTTTCTCTTTCCTAAACTTGAAGTAGCATTTTTGTTTGTCAGGCTAATATTAACTCTTGAATTATTCTGATTTATTGAGTACATAATTCTATATTAAGTTATAAATACACAAACAGGGTTACTGGACTTTACATTATTCTTAAACTCAAAATGGAGAGCTGGGCTTGATTCTTTCACCTCAAATATAGTTGAAACCAGAAAACCTGGACAGTGTGCCAGTCATTCTATTTTTTCACTCATTCAGTTTATAGGTGTGGTCCAAAAGGAAGCTGTTTTAAGCCCACCCTGTCCCTGTTGTGTGTGACAGGGAGCCAAAAATATGTCTGTGCTCAGAGGAGTTAGGAGATGTTTGCCTTCAGGTAGTATGTGAGAGAAAACTTTCTCCAATTCTTTGCCTATAGCAGTGCCAGCTTCCAGTTTTCTATTTTTTTTTTTCCCCATAGAAGAATTCAGCCCTGAGGCTACTCCTTTTTTTTCTTTCTTTCTTTCTTTTCTTTTTTTTCTTAAAAGACAAAATAAAGTAGCCTCTGATAGACTATGAGAAGAAAAGTAGTAAAGGTGGCTGTTGATTAAGCTGTGACTTATGTCTTTGACATCTATGCGGGTCACTTCTAAATTGGGTCTCTTCCAAAGAACATCAGAGAAAACTAGAAACATGTTTATTAAAGTCCCCAGATGATTATTCTGTATCCTCTTCCAGTTAATGCTCCAGACACCCCACTGAAAGCAGGGACATATCTAGAAATTATGTTAAAGGTAAATCTCTCTTGTAGATGAATATGGATTTGAAGATTGTTACTTGGTGTTCACCCAGTCACAGTGACCTAGTTTTAAGGAAGTACGTCTCACATATACCTCTACTATCATTAGGTGGCAAAGAAAGGAGATTTCAAGGGACAGTGTTTAGACTATATATTTTAAAGGAAATGTACTCTTTAACAAACCTAATTTATCTGAAAATTAGATTTAAACTAGCTGGATGCCTGGTAAATAAGAGGCAGTCAGTAAATATTTGTAGGACTTAAATTAGGCATGCATCTCTTCTAGCCTCAGAGCCATATACTCTAGTTCAGCAGCCAGAAAGGAGTCTAAAAAGTTAATTCATCATGCAGGTAATAAAGCTTGCCACAATGAAAGCATGGTATTACATGCTTAGTGGAATAAAAAACAGAATGGATAGGTAGAGTAACAGCCCTGACTTCTAACGACTTAGAGGACACTAAAACTTACAAAATGTGTTAGAATTATATATATATTTAAAGCTAAAGGAAAATTTTAAAAAGTCACCTAGTCTAACCAGTGTGGACTAGACTTATCAGTCAGAAATAGTGACAAAGTTGAAGTCAGATGCTGCTCTTAGTCCAGTATTCATTCCAACTGATGTCACTCTTGCAAAAATTGTGACAGTAAGAAAATTATAACAATGACAGAGATCTGACCTAACTGACTCCATCTTACTTCTAACCTCCAAGCTACCCTTATTTATTCCTGAGTGTAGGCTGAACTAACTTTGGGAGGAACTTAGTTTATAGTTTAACTCTGAAACAAAGATGATAACAGCCCTTTACTGAAACAAATCCCTTTCTTGCCTGGGGACCAGACTGCCTTTGTAGGACTAACAAATTATGGTTTAGGAGTCATGCAGCCAGGGGCCACAAGATTCCAAACTTCTCCAGTTGTTCCTATGAATAACATCAATATTGTAGGACCTAATATCAGTGCTCAAGATATTTTTCAGACCCCGAATTCTGATGCACCAGCTGATGCTACCCCAGACCAGTAATCTGGCTCAGCTAGTTCTGCCATCTCACCCAGGAACAGAAGACAGCAAGAAGAACACACTTTGATCTATGATTTCATCTCCTACCCCAACCAATCAACTCTTCTCATTCTCTGGTCCCCTACCTGCCAAATTATCCTTAAAAAAAAAAAAAAAAAAAACAGTCTCCAAATTTTCAGAGAGGCTGATTTAAGTAATAAAACTCCAGTTTCCCATTTAGCCAGCTGAGCGTGAATTAAACGTTTTCTCTATTGCAATTCTCCTGTCTTGATAAATCAGTGCTATCTGGGCAGTAGGCAAGGAGAATCTGTCGGGTGGTTACACAACTATAACCACTGGGCATTTTTTGAAAGTACTTTATGAATCCTCTTGTTGCCTTATCTGTGGCAAGCGATGACTGATACCTACTTAGTGTAATAGGTTGTTCAAAGCAGTTTTATCAAGACAGGGTGGAAACTAGCGCATCCCTAAGTACGTTTGAAATACTCCATGCAAGTGGTTTATCTATACAGATAGTCATTAATGCATTTAAAATTGTGATCCATAGAAAACAGCTTGGATGTTCAGTAATAAAGAATAAATAGACTATCTCTTAGCTGTCAAAAATGAAACTGTAGAAGAGTAGTTAATGACATAGGAAAATATTCACTATGTAAAATTATGTAGAAATATATCTTGCATTATAGTATTATCCCATTAATATATGCATTGCCTATCATTTCATACAGGGACACTTCTTCAAACCCACCCCAAAGATAAACTTGCAACACTATAAAAGGATACAGGCAAATGGCCATTCATTCAGCAGTATTTATAATAGCAAAAGACTGGCAACAACCTAAAAGTCTATCATCAGGGTCAAATGAGGAATTATGTTAGTCATTGAGATGCAGAGTATTTTGTGTGTGAGAAATAAAAAACAGCTGTGATAGATGAGTTTAAATAAAATCATGACCTGAATTTGATTTGTAAATATCAGTTTGAATGAGGATGACTTTATTTGGGAACAAAACAAAACATCTTTAGTAAATCTGTCCTCTGAAAAAGGCCAGAGAAAATGATCATCATTTAGTAAGTCACACTTCTTGGAGGAATTTCTGACCCAGGTCTGAGGTAGAAAATGCATGAACTGAAAGGGACCATCATCTTGCCATGTCAGAAAACAGAACAAATTACAAAGGCTATTGAGAATATGTCAAAGAGTGAGGATCCAAGTGAAACTGTCTCCTGCTGGCCAATGATGGAAGGATTTGGGCACTAACAAATATAATGGCCATAATGATTGGAAAACATCAGATATGTTTAAAACCATGAGTACCTAAGAATGCTAAAAAAAAATCAATCACTGGTCACTTTTAGTATGATTGGGAACAAATTATCTTGGAAAGTAATAAAGGAAAGAATTAAGCATTCATCTTGTCTTACATATACAGGGTATAACTCAAAGGAATCAAGTTACTCATATGGAAAAGATGCACTTTTTAGACATCTTCAGGCAGTAAATGAGGAAAGCATCAAGCCATTTACAATACATAATGAAATAATCTACAGAATGACCATTAATGTTGCTAACATTATAAAATGGGTGAACCAAATTATATGGGCTTCTGGTGCAAAGACCACACCAAAACTTATGTTTATTCCTACCCAAAAAATCAAAACTGATTCTGAGCAAGCCTTTAGATATAATTACCAATTTATATTAAAAGCAGGAGACAGAGGAACATGTTAAGTAATATTATGAGGGATTAAATTAGTAACATTCACACTGTGGGAAACTTCAGGAGACAACCTAGATTCTTCTAAAAATATCTTACAAAGAATAAAGCTGAAGTGAGAGGGAGTGGGATACCTCACATTAAAAGAGATTTCAAACTAAACCAATGATCCTTAAACTTTATTTAATGTGCATGTGAATCATCTGGGATCTTGTGGAAATGCAGATTCTGCTTTAGTGGGTCTGGGGATGGGGGAGGCTGAGACTCAGCATTTCTAACGGGCTTCCAGGAATGCTGCTGGCCCATCAGCTACACTTTGAGTAACTAAGATTTAGGAGACATACTGATCAATAGCAATGCGTGGGCCTAAATTTTATCCTGATTCAAACAAGTAACCTAAAAAAATACTTAGGAGACAGTTGGAAATATGAATGTTAAATATGGATATTTAATAATATTAGCAAACCATCATTAAGTTTGTAGATGAAATAATGGTATTACATTATGATTAATGAAAAGTATATTTGTTTTATAAAGATATATAATGGAATATTTACAGTTGAAATGAGATGATGTCTGGGTTGGCCTCAAAGTAACCTGGAGAAAGGGGAAACTGTGTAGGAATATAGATGAAACAAGATTGGCCGTGAGTTATTAGTTATACTGAATGATGGGTGTATTGGATCTTTCTGTACTGGTCTATCTATTTTTGTGTATGTTTGAATTTTTCCATGATAAAAGTTATTTAAAAATATATATTGCTTATGCCTAGAAAAAAGAGAATTATGCACTGCAAATTGTAACAGCAGTTATAGATTTTTATTTTCTTTTTTGTGCTTCCTCATAATTTTCAAATTTCTACAAGTGGGTATATCATTTTTTAAATAAAAAAAAAAAAGTTTTGGTTTTTGATTTCTGGGAGTTTTTGAGGGCAGTTCTGTTGATTAAATTGTCCCACCTCGTGAATGACTAGGCTTAACAAGCAAAACCCAAGCCCTGTCTAGAGGAAAGCAAGTTAATTAAATTAACGTAGTTTCCCAGCTGAGAGAGAGACAGTAACCAGGAAAGGGAAGGCGGGTTTATTTAGCTTCTTCCTCTGCTAAGGAAACTTGTATTGTGAGAGAAGGCATTGTTGTCTCAGCCTCCAAGAACTAAGAACTTGAGGGTTGGAGGAGAAAGATTTGGGGAATCTGAGTGAAGCTCTTTTAAACTTTTATCAGAAAAGGTGCATTAGAAATCCAAGATTGCAACACATATAAGACTCTGTGAGGTTGGAGTGGCAGCTGGATTTATCTGTCTTCCTAGTGTGCATTGGCAGGGGACCCTATGACCAGTGCAAGGTAAGATAGTGTGGTGTTTTTAAGGCCCGCTGGCTTTGAAGGTAACACAGTTTAGGTGGCAGTCCTGCTCTGTGACTTAGCTGCTACCTGGCTTTGCCAAAGTAATTTGCCTTCTCTAAGTCTGAATTTCCCCATTTGTAAAACAGAGAAACAATAATGGCACTTCACAGGTTTGGTAGTATAGTACCTGGAAACAGTGCACATGCAATAAATACAAGTCGTTTCGTGGCTATTGCTGGTAAGAAATAGAATATCCAGATTTGCCATTTAAACCAATCTGTGAACTATTTCCCAGTTTGCTGACTTTTTATGTTTTTATTTCTCTTCCTCTTTTCTTTTTAGCTGCTAATGGACCTCAGATTTGACTGTTCTCACAAAAGTGCTGAGGTGTTCTCAGTCCATCAGTTGTCTTTATATCTATATGGTTGTCACAAAACTGTTCAGGTCAAATATTCTCCCAAGATGCTCATAAGTCAGTGGAAAAAATCCTGTATAAATTATGAACTCTTCATACAGAACAATTAATCTAAAATATTAACCTGCATTTTTTGTTCAGACTATTTCAAAGGAGTTTTAGAACCCCAATCGTCCAATTGCCTACTTCATTAACATCCTGTCCTATAAGGTGTGCAGGAGTAGATGCAATGATCAGTAAGTGTAGAGGAGAAATGTGGAGACCAAACTGAGAGAGCCTTGAATGCCACGCTAAGAAGTGTGGCTTTGAATTATCAGACAGTGAAGCACCTGTCAAAATTTTGATCAATAATATTACCTGATGAGAGTTGAACACTACAAGATTTCCCTGGAATTGGTTTTCTGGATGATCAGGTTATAGAGAAGGTTTAGAACAGCTAAAAAGTCTTTCTATCTTCTAGCCCAAAACAAGATAGTAAAAGACAGGATTAATTGGATGGCACCTAAGTTCCTTCAAATATTCAGTTCATTTCTTAATGAAGTTTTTTACAAGGGGCATTTTGGGAACTAACCAATTGAGACTGGTTATAATGGGAATGGGGTACTTCCAAAGAAATTTATGTACCTTCATCAATGCTGGAATATATGTTGTTTTGTTGCATAGAAATAGGGTGTAAAGATGTTTGGAGGTGGGAGGCCCTATGAAGAATTTGGGTGGATTCAAGTTTAGCCTAAATATGGCTGTTTGAATCTTAATAGGTACAATTTGGATGTTGTAAGCATACAGAGTGGGAAATAATATACTTTTTAATATTAAAAACTAAAAGATTGACATTAAATAATTTTACTTATTAAATGCATTTAATTGAAGTGCTAGAAAATTTATATCACTATATTTTCCTAGAAATATAGCCATAAGAAAGGGCCACCCAGATGTGTGTTTTTCCCATATGCCACCTCATTTTAACATCCCCAGTTCCTATCACCGTGGTCAGCGGAATCCCTCTGTCTTTTCTCTGTGTCTGGACTCTCACAAAAATTGATTTAAAAATCTATTCATTCCTGAAAATGGCAGCTATTGTTAAAAAAAATAAAAATCTATTCAAGACTTTATCCTTACCTGAGTCAAAGCACTAGTCTCACAGAGACGTTATTAATGAGTCTATAAGATTTTAACCCCTGTAAAAATTGCAACTATTTTTTTTTTTTGCTAAAATTTTTCAGTAGTTCCCAGTGTTATCCAAACCATACATAGTATGTCCAATCTCTACTATTCTTCAAGGCTAAGAGAATATAAGCGTTGGTCTTTAGCTGAAGATCCTTCAAGGATCAAAACAAAACAGAGCTAGACAAAAGAAACAGAGACAGGGAGTTAATTAAATTTCTGTTAGGTCTCATGTCTAATTCCTATAGGCTCCCTTCATGGTTTCTTACCATAGAAACCAAATGTGACAGGCTAATGGATGTTTTTAAATTCATACACTATAACTGGTATCCTGAAAACCAGGATTCGACTTAGCTTGGGTTTCTTCCTTAAAGGATGGGAGGAAAATATTTAAAAACAAACCCACTGCATGAATGTTAATGAATTGGACCCCTCAATGGAAATAAAGCTCTTTTCAGGGGAAGTGTTAAATGTAGGAATCACAGTAGAAATTTGATCTATGCCAGGTGTTAGTGGAAGGACAATGCACAATTGTTGTTAATTAGGAAGAAATAGAAAACTAGGAACAGGAGAAATTTATTCTCAATGTAAAGAAAAAGTAAGACCCAAAGGCAACAAATATCTAATGGGTTGTCTGGACAGTTTCATAGATGAACTGACAGTTTGGGGACATGTGTTGGAGTGTTCCTCCAAGTTACATTAATATATGTCTTTGAATAATTCAGTCATTGAGATTGGCAGGTAAAAGATATTTGGTGATAATTCCAGGAGTTTTCACTTTTTTTTTTTTTTTTTTTTTTTTTATTATACTCTAAGTTTTAGGGTACATGTGCACATTGTGCAGGTTAGTTACATATGTATACATGTGCCATGCTGGTGCGCTGCACCCACTAATGTGTCATCTAGCATTAGGTATATCTCCCAATGCTATCCCTCCCCCCTCCCCCGACCCCACCACAGTCCCCAGAGTGTGATGTTCCCCTTCCTGTGTGCATGTGATCTCATTGTTCAGTTCCCACCTATGAGTGAGAATATGCGGTGTTTGGTTTTTTGTTCTTGCGATAGTTTACTGAGAATGATGGTTTCCAATTTCATCCATGTCCCTACAAAGGATATGAACTCATCATTTTTTATGGCTGCATAGTATTCCATGGTGTATATGTGCCACATTTTCTTAATCCAGTCTATCATTGTTGGACATTTGGGTTGGTTCCAAGTCTTTGCTATTGTGAATAGTGCCGCAATAAACATACGTGTGCATGTGTCTTTATAGCAGCATGATTTATAGTCCTTTGGGTATATACCCAGTAATGGGATGGCTGGGTCAAATGGTATTTCTAGTTCTAGATCCCTCAGGAATTGCCACACTGACTTCCACAATGGTTGAACTAGTTTACAGTCCCACCAACAGTGTAAAAGTGTTCCTATTTCTCCGCATCCTCTCCAGCACCTGTTGTTTCCTGACTTTTTAATGATTGCCATTCTAACTGGTGTGAGATGATATCTCATAGTGGTTTTGATTTGCATTTCTCTGATGGCCAGTGATGATGAGCATTTCTTCATGTGTTTTTTGGCTGCATAAATGTCTTCTTTTGAGAAGTGTCTGTTCATGTCCTTCGCCCACTTTTTGATGGGGTTGTTTGTTTTTTTCTTGTAAATTTGTTTGAGTTCATTGTAGATTCTGGATATTAGCCCTTTGTCAGATGAGTAGGTTGCGAAAATTTTCTCCCATGTTGTAGGTTGCCTGTTCACTCTGATGGTAGTTTCTTTTGCTGTGCAGAAGCTCTTTAGTTTAATTAGATCCCATTTGTCAATTTTGTCTTTTGTTGCCATTGCTTTTGGTGTTTTGGACATGAAGTCCTTGCCCACGCCTATGTCCTGAATGGTAATGCCTAGGTTTTCTTCTAGGGTTTTTATGGTTTTAGGTTTAACGTTTAAATCTTTAATCCATCTTGAATTGATTTTTGTATAAGGTGTAAGGAAGGGATCCAGTTTCAGCTTTCTACATATGGCTAGCCAGTTTTCCCAGCACCATTTATTAAATAGGGAATCCTTTCCCCATTGCTTGTTTTTCTCAGGTTTGTCAAAGATCAGATAGTTGTAGATATGTGGCATTATTTCTGAGGGCTCTGTTCTGTTCCATTGATCTATATCTCTGTTTTGGTACCAGTACCATGCTGTTTTGGTTACTGTAGCCTTGTAGTATAGTTTGAAGTCAGGTAGTGTGATGCCTCCAGCTTTGTTCTTTTGGCTTAGGATTGACTTGGCAATGCGGGCTCTTTTTTGGTTCCATATGAACTTTAAAGTAGTTTTTTCCAATTCTGTGAAGAAAGTCATTGGTAGCTTTATGGGGATGGCGTTGAATCTGTAAATTACCTTGGGCAGTATGGCCATTTTCACGATATTGATTCTTCCTACCCATGAGCATGGAATGTTCTTCCATTTGTTTGTCTCCTCTTTTATTTCCTTGAGCAGTGGTTTGTAGTTCTCCTTGAAGAGGTCCTTCACATCCCTTGTAAGTTGGATTCCTAGGTATTTTATTCTCTTTGAAGCAATTGTGAATGGGAGTTCACCCATGATTTGGCTCTCTGTTTGTCTGTTGTTGGTGTATAAGAATGCTTGTGATTTTTGTACATTGATTTTGTATCCTGAGACTTTGCTGAAGTTGCTTATCAGCTTAAGGAGATTTTGGGCTGAGACGATGGGGTTTTCTAGATATACAATCATGTCGTCTGCAAACAGGGACAATTTGACTTCCTCTTTTCCTAATTGAATACCCTTTATTTCCTTCTCCTGCCTGATTGCCCTGGCCAGAACTTCCAACACTATGTTGAATAGGAGCGGTGAGAGAGGGCATCCCTGTCTTGCGCCGGTTTTCAAAGGGAATGCTTCCAGTTTTTGCCCATTCAGTATGATATTGGCTGTGGGTTTGTCATAGATAGCTCTTATTATTTTGAAATACGTCCCATCAATACCTAATTTATTGAGAGTTTTTAGCATGAAGGGTTGTTGAATTTTGTCAAAGGCTTTTTCTGCATCTATTGAGATAATCATGTGGTTTTTGTCTTTGGCTCTGTTTATATGCTGGATTACATTTATTGATTTGCGTATATTGAACCAGCCTTGCATCCCAGGGATGAAGCCCACTTGATCATGGTGGATAAGCTTTTTGATGTGCTGCTGGATTCGGTTTGCCAGTATTTTATTGAGGAT